>NC_000023.11:155675606-156030895 GCF_000001405.40 Homo sapiens | reverse complement strand
ACCACACCCACACACCACACCCACACACCCACACCCACACCCACACCCACACACCACACCCACACACACCACACCCACACACACCCACACACCACACCCTAACCCTAACCCTAACCCTAACCCCTAACCCCTAACCCCTAACCCCTAACCCCTAACCCCTAACCCTAACCCTAACCCTAACCCTAACCCTAACCCTAACCCTAACCCTAACCCTAACCCTAACCCTAACCCTAACCCTAACCCTAACCCTAACCCTAACCCTAACCCTAACCCTAACCCTCACCCTAACCCTAACCCTAACCCTAACCCTAACCCTAACCCTAACCCTAACCCTAACCCTAACCCTAACCCTAACCCTAACCCTAACCCTAACCCTAACCCTAACCCTAACCCTAACCCTAACCCTAACCCTAACCCTAACCCTAACCCTAACCCTAACCCTAACCCTAACCCTAACCCTAACCCTAACCCTAACCCTAACCCTAACCCTAACCCTAACCCTAACCCTAACCCTAACCCTAACCCTAACCCTAACCCTAACCCTCCCTACCCTACCCTACCCTACCCTAACCCCTAACCCCTAACCCCTAACCCCTAACCCTAACCCTAACCCCTAACCCTAACCCTAACCCCTAACCCCTAACCCTAACCCTAACCCCTAACCCCTAACCCTAACCCTAACCCTAACCCTAACCCTCACCCTCACCCTCACCCTCACCCTCACCCTCACCCTAACCCTACCCTAACCCCTAACCCCTAACCCTAACCCTAACCCTACCCTAACCCTAACCCCAACCCCAACCCTAACCCCTAACCCCTAACCCTAACCCTTAACCCTAACCCCAACCCCAACCCCAACCCCAACCCCAACCCCTAACCCCAACCCCAACCCCAACCCCAACCCCACCCCTACCCCTACCCCAACCCTAAACCCAAACCCTAACCCCAACCCCAACCCCAACCCCAACCCCAACCGCAACCCCAACCCCAACCCTCACCCTCACCCTAAGCACATGAGGAATGTGGGTGTTATATTTTGGGTATCATGTGTGCATTAGGAATGCTGCATTTGCGTTCCGACGCTGCAAGTGGACCCTGCAATGCAGCCCCTCCCCTTGCCTTGGGAGAATCTCGGTGCGCAGCATTCAGAGGGGCTTTTGCTTTCCCGTTTTCCGCACTGAACCGCTCTAACTGGTCTCTCACCTTGATTATTCATGGCTGCAACCGGGAAACATTTTTATTCACCGTTGATGCGCCCCGAGTTGTCCCAAAGCCAGTCAGTGGCCCCAACGTCTGTGCTTAGGGGAATGCTGCTCCACCTTTACGGTGACCCCCAGGTCTGTACTGAGCAGAACGCAGCTCCGCCCTCGCGGTACCCTCAGCCCGCCCGCCCGGGTCTGACCTGAGGAGAACTCTGCTCCGCCTTCGCAGTACCACCGAAATCTGTGCAGAGGACAACGCAGCTCCGCCCTCGCGGTGCTCTGCCGCTCTGTGCTGACGAGAACGCAACTCGGCCGTCGCAAAGGCGCGCCGCGCCGGCGCAGGCGCAGAGAGGCGCGCCGCGCCGGCGCAGGCGCAGAGAGGCGCGCCGCGCCGGCGCAGGCGCAGAGAGGCGCGCCGCGCCGGCGCAGGCGCAGAGAGGCGCGCCGCGCCGGCGCAGGCGCAGAGAGGCGCGCCGCGCCGGCGCAGGCGCAGAGAGGCGCGCCGCGCCGGCGCAGGCGCAGAGAGGCGCGCCGCGCCGGCGCAGGCGCAGAGAGGCGCGCCGCGCCGGCGCAGGCGCAGAGACACATGCTAGCGCGTCCAGGGGTGGAGGCGTGGCGCAGGCGCAGAGACGCACGCCTACGGGCGGGGGTTGGGGGTGCGTGTGTTGCAGGAGCAAAGTCGCACGGCGCCGGGCTGGGGGCGGGGGGGTGCGGGGGCGCCGTGCACGCGCAGAAACTCACGTCACGGCGGCGCGGCGCAGAGACGGGTGGAACTTCAGTAATCCGAAAAGCCGGGATCGACCGCCCCTTGCTTGCAGCCGGGCACTACAGGACCCGCTTGCTCACGGTGCTGTGCCAGGGCGCCCCCTGCTGGCGACTAGGGCAACTGCAGGGCTCTCTTGCTTAGAGTGGTGGCCACCGCCCCCTCGTGGCGCCGGGGCACTGCAGGGTCCTCTTGCTTACTGTATAGTGGTGGCACGCCGCCTGCTGGCAGCTACGGACATTGCAGGGTCCTCTTGCTCAAGGTGTACTGGCAGCACGCCCGCCTGCTGGCAGCTGGGGACACTGCTGGGCCCTCTTGCTCCAACAGTAGTGGCGGATTATAGGGAAACACCAGGAGCATATGCTGTTTGGTCTCAGTAGACTCCTAAATATGGGATTCCTGGGTTTAAAAGTATAAAATAAATATGTTTAATTTGTTAACTGATTACCATCAGAATTGTACTGTTCTGTATCCCACCAGCAATGTCTAGGAGTGCCTGTTTCTCCACAAAGTGTTTACTTTTGGATTTTTTGCCAGTCTAACAGGTGAAGCCCTGGAGATTCTTATTAGTGATTTGGGCTGGGGCCTGGCCACGTGTATTTTTTTAAATTTCCACTGATGATTTTGCTGCATGGCCGGTGTTGAGAATGACTGCGCAAATTTGCCGGATTTCCTTTGCTGTTCCTGCATGTAGTTTAAACGAGATTGCCAGCACCGGGTATCATTCACCATTTTTCTTTTTGTTAACTTGCCGTCAGCCTTTTCTTTGACCTCTTCTTTCTGTTCATGTGTATTTGCTGTCTCTTAGCCCAGACTTCCCGTGTCCTTTCCACCAGGCCTTTGAGAGGTCACAGGGTCTTGATGCTGTGGTCTTGATCTGCAGGTGTCTGACTTCCAGCAACTGCTGGCCTGTGCCAGGGTGCAAGCTGAGCACTGGAGTGGAGTTTTCCTGTGGAGAGGAGCCATGCCTAGAGTGGGATGGGCCATTGTTCATCTTCTGGCCCCTGTTGTCTGCATGTAACTTAATACCACAACCAGGCATAGGGGAAAGATTGGAGGAAAGATGAGTGAGAGCATCAACTTCTCTGACAACCTAGGCCAGTAAGTAGTGCTTGTGCTCATCTCCTTGGCTGTGATACGTGGCCGGCCCTCGCTCCAGCAGCTGGACCCCTACCTGCCATCTGCTGCCATCGGAGCCCAAAGCCGGGCTGTGACTGCTCAGACCAGCCGGCTGGAGGGAGGGGCTCAGCAGGTCTGGCTTTGGCCCTGGGAGAGCAGGTGGAAGATCAGGCAGGCCATCGCTGCCACAGAACCCAGTGGATTGGCCTAGGTGGGATCTCTGAGCTCAACAAGCCCTCTCTGGGTGGTAGGTGCAGAGAGGGGAGGGGCAGAGCCGCAGGCACAGCCAAGAGGGCTGAAGAAATGGTAGAACGGAGCAGCTGGTGATGTGTGGGCCCACCGGCCCCAGGCTCCTGTCTCCTCCCAGGTGTGTGGTGATGCCAGGCATGCCCTTCCCCAGCATCAGGTCTCCAGAGCTGCAGAAGACGACGGCCGACTTGGATCACAATCTTGTGAGTGTCCCCAGTGTTGCAGAGGTGAGAGGAGAGTAGACAGTGAGTGGGAGTGGCGTCGCCCCTAGGGCTCTACTGGGCCGGCGTCTCCTGTCTCCTGGAGAGGCTTCGATGCCCCTCCACACCCTCTTGATATTCCCTGTGATGTCATCTGGAGCCCTGCTGCTTGCAGTGGCCTATAAAGCCTCCTGGTCTGGCTCCAAGGCCTGGCAGAGTCTTTCCCAGGGAAAGCTACAAGCAGCAAACAGTCCGCATGGGTCATCCCCTTCACTCCCAGCTCAGAGCCCAGCCAGGGGCCCCCAAGAAAGGCTCTGGTGGAGAACCTGTGCATGAAGGCTGTCAACCAGTCCATAGGCAAGCCTGGCTGCCTCCAGCTGGGTGGACAGACAGGGGCTGGAGAAGGGGAGAAGAGGAAAGGGGGGTTGCCTGCCCTGTCTCCTACCTGAGGCTGAGGAAGGAGAAGGGGATGCACTGTTGGGGAGGCAGCTGTAACTCAAAGCCTTAGCCTCTGTTCCCACGAAGGCAGGGCCATCAGGCACCAAAGGGATTCTGCCAGCATAGTGCTCCTGGATTAGTGATACACCCGGCACCCTGTCCTGGACAAGCTGTTGGCCTGGATCTGAGCCCTCGTGGAGGTCAAAGCCACCTTTGGTTCTGCCATTGCTGCTGTGTGGAAGTTCACTCCTGCCTTTTCCTTTCCCTAGAGCCTCCACCACCCCGAGATCACATTTCTCACTGCCTTTTGTCTGCCCAGTTTCACCAGAAGTAGGCCTCTTCCTGACAGGCAGCTGCACCACTGCCTGGCGCTGCGCCCTTCCTTTGCTCTGCCCGCTGGAGACGGTGTTTGTCATGGGCCTGATCTGCAGGGATCCTGCTACAAAGGTGAAACCCAGAAGAGTGTGGAGTCCAGAGTGTTGCCAGGACCCAGGCACAGGCATTAGTGCCCGTTGGAGAAAACAGGGGAACCCCGAAGAAATGGTGGGTCCTGGCCATCCGTGAGATCTTCCCAGGGCAGCTCCCCTCTGTGGAATCCAATCTGTCTTCCATCCTGTGTGGCCGAGGGCCAGGCTTCTCACTGGGCCTCTGCAGGAGGCTGCCATTTGTCCTGCCCACCTTCTTAGAAGCGAGACGGAGCAGACCCATCTGCTACTGCCCTTTCTATAATAACTAAAGTTAGCTGCCCTGGACTATTCACCCCCTAGTCTCAATTTAAAAAGATCCCCATGGCCACAGGGCCCCTGCCTGGGGGCTTGTCACCTCCCCCACCTTCTTCCTGAGTCACCCCTGCAGCCTTGCTCCCTAACCTGCCCCACAGCCTTGCCTGGATTTCTATCTCCCTGGCTTGGTGCCAGTTCCTCCAAGTTGATGGCACCTCCCTCCCTCTCAACCACTTGAGCAAACTCCAAGACATCTTCTACCCCAACACCAGCAATTGTGCCAAGGGCCATTGGGCTCTCAGCATGACTATTTTTAGAGACCCCGTGTCTGTCACTGAAACCTTTTTTGTGGGAGACTATTCCTCCCATCTGCAACAGCTGCCCCTGCTGACTGCCCTTCTCTCCCAGAGAAACAGGTCAGCTGGGAGCTTCTGCCCCCACTGCCTAGGGACCAACAGGGGCAGGAGGCAGTCACTGACCCCGAGACGTTTGCATCCTGCACAGCTAGAGGTCCTTTATTAAAAGCACACTGTTGGTTTCTGCTCAGTTCTTTATTGATTGGTGTGCCGTTTTCTCTGGAAGCCTCTTAAGAACACAGTGGCGCAGGCTGGGTGGAGCCGTCCCCCCATGGAGCACAGGCAGACAGAAGTCCCCGCCCCAGCTGTGTGGCCTCAAGCCAGCCTTCCGCTCCTTGAAGCTGGTCTCCACACAGTGCTGGTTCCGTCACCCCCTCCCAGGGAAGCAGGTCTGAGCAGCTTGTCCTGGCTGTGTCCATGTCAGAGCAACAGCCCAAGTCTGGGTCTGGGGGGGAAGGTGTCATGGAGCCCCCTAGGATTCCCAGTCGTCCTCGTCCTCCTCTGCCTGTGGCTGTTGCGGTGGGGGCACAGGAGGGATGGAGTCTGACACGCGGGCAAAGGCTCCTCCGGGCCCCTCACCAGCCCCAGGTCCTTTCCCAGAGATGCCTGGAGGGAAAAGGCTGAGTGAGGGTGGTTGGTGGGAAACCCTGATTCCCCCAGCCCCCGGAGACTTAAATACAGGAAGAAAAAGGCAGGACAGAATTACAAGGTGCCGACCCAGGGCGGGCAGCGGCCCTGCCTCCTACCCTTGCGCCTCATGACCAGCTTGTTGAAGAGATCCGACATCAAGTGCCCACCTTGGCTCGTGGCTCTCACTGCAACGGGAAAGCCACAGACTGGGGTGAAGAGTTCAGTCACATGCGACCGGTGGCTCCCTGTCCCCACCCCCATGACACTCCCCAGCCCTCCAAGGCCACTGTGTTTCCTAGTTAGCTCAGAGCCTCAGTCGATCCCTGACCCAGCACCGGGCACTGATGAGAAAGCGGCTGTTTGAGGAGCCACCTCCCAGCCACCTCGGGGCCAGGGCCAGGGTGTGCAGCACCACTGTACGATGGGGAAACTGGCCCAGAGAGGTGAGGCAGCTTGCCTGGGGTCACAGAGCAAGGCAAAAGCAGCGCTGGGTACAAGCTCAAAACCATAGTGCCCAGGGCACTGCCGCTGCAGGCGCAGGCATCGCATCACACCAGTGTCTGCGTTCACAGCAGGCATCATCAGTAGCCTCCAGAGGCCTCAGGTCCAGTCTCTAAAAATATCTCAGGGGGCTGCAGTGGCTGACCATTGCCTTGGACCGCTCTTGGCAGTCGAAGAAGATTCTCCTGTCACAGTTTGGGCTGGGTGAGCTTAGAGAGGAAAGCTTCACTATGGCTCCCAAACCAGGAAGGAGCCATAGCCCAGGCAGGAGGGCTGAGGACTTCTGGTGGCGGCCCAGGGCTTCCAGCATGTGCCCTAGGGGAAGCAGGGGCCAGCTGGCAAGAGCAGGGGGTGGGCAGAAAGCACCCAGTGGACTCAGGGCTGGAGGGGAGGAGGCGATCTTGCCCAAGGCCCTCCGACCGCAGGCTCCAGGGCCCGCTCACCTTGCTCCTGCTCCTTCTGCTTCTTCTTCTCCAGCTTTCGCTCCTTCATGCTGCGCAGCTTGGCCTTGCCGATGCCCCCAGCTTGGCGGATGGACTCTAGCAGAGTGGCCCAGCCACCGGAGGGGTCGACCACTTCCCTGGGAGCTCCCTGGACTGGAGCCGGGAGGTGGGGAACAGGGCAAGGAGGAAAGGCTGCTCAGGCAGGGCTGGGGAAGCTTACTGTGTCCAAGAGCCTGCTGGGAGGGAAGTCACCTCCCCTCAAACGAGGAGCCCCGCGCTGGGGAGGCCGGACCTTTGGAGACTGTGTGGGGGGGCCTGGGCACTGACTTCTGCAACCACCTGAGCGCGGGCATCCTGTGTGCAGATACTCCCTGCTTCCTCTCTAGCCCCCACCCTGCAGAGCTGGACCCCTGAGCTAGCCATGCTCTGACAGTCTCAGTTGCACACATGAGCCAGCAGAGGGGTTTTGTGCCACTTCTGGATGCTAGGGTTACACTGGGAGATACAGCAGTGAAGCTGAAATGAAAAATGTGTTGCTGTAGTTTGTTATTAGACCCCTTCTTTCCATTGGTTTAATTAGGAATGGGGAACCCAGAGCCTCACTTGTTCAGGTTCCCTCTGCCCTAGAAGTGAGAAGTCCAGAGCTCTACAGTTTGAAAGCCACTATTTTATGGACCAAGTAGAACAAGATATTTGAAATGGAAACTATTCAAAAAATTGAGAATTTCTGACCACTTAACAAACCCACAGAAAATCCACCCGAGTGCACTGAGCACGCCAGAAATCAGGTGGCCTCAAAGAGCTGCTCCCACCTGAAGGAGACGCGCTGCTGCTGCCGTCGTCCTGCCTGGCGCCTTGGCCTACAGGGGCCGCGGTTGAGGGTGGGAGTGGGGGTGCACTGGCCAGCACCTCAGGAGCTGGGGGTGGTGGTGGGGGCGGTGGGGGTGGTGTTAGTACCCCATCTTGTAGGTCTGAAACACAAAGTGCGGGGTGTCTAGGGAAGAAGGTGTGTCAGCAGGGAGGTCCCCGGCCCAGCTCCCATCCCAGAACCCAGCTCACCTGCCTTGAGAGGCTCGGCTACCTCAGTGTGGAAGGTGGGCAGTTCCGGAATGGTGCCAGGGGCAGAGGGGGCAATGCCGGGGCCCAGGTCGGCACTGTACATGAGGTCGTTGGCAATGCTGGGCAGGTCAGGCAGGTAGGATGGAACATCAATCTCAGGCACCTGGCCCAGGTCTGGCACATAGAAGTAGTTCTCTGGGACCTGCAAGATTAGGCAGGGACATGTGAGAGGTGACAGGGACCTGCAGGGGCAGCCAACAAGACCTTGTGTGCACCTCCCATGGGTGGAATAAGGGGCCCAACAGCCTTGACTGGAGAAGAGCTCTGGCAAGGCCCTGGGCCACTGCACCTGTCTCCACCTCTGTCCCACCCCTCCCACCTGCTGTTCCAGCTGCTCTCTCTTGCTGATGGACAAGGGGGCATCAAACAGCTTCTCCTCTGTCTCTGCCCCCAGCATCACATGGGTCTTTGTTACAGCACCAGCCAGGGGGTCCAGGAAGACATACTTCTTGTACCTACGGAGGCGACATGGGGGTCAGGCAAGCTGACACCCGCTGTCCTGAGCCCATGTTCCTCTCCCACATCATCAGGGGCACAGCGTGCACTGTGGGGTCCCAGGCCTCCCGAGCCGAGCCACCCCAGTCACCCCCTGGCTCCTGGCCTATGTGCTGTACCTGTGTCTGATGCCCTGGGTCCCCACTAAGCCAGGCCGGGCCTCCCGCCCACACCCCTCGGCCCTGCCTTCTGGCCATACAGGTTCTCGGTGGTGTTGAAAAGCAGCAAGGAGCTGACAGAGCTGATGTTGCTGGGAAGACCCCCAAGTCCCTCTTCTGCATCGTCCTCGGGCTCCGGCTTGGTGCTCACGCACACAGGAAAGTCCTTCAGCTTCTCCTGAGAGGGCCAGGATGGCCAAGGGATGGTGAATATTTGGTGCTGGGCCTAATCAGCTGCCACCCCATCCCAGTCAGCCTCCTCTGGGGGACAGAACCCTATGGTGGCCCCGGCTCCTCCCCAGTATCCAGTCCTCCTGGTGTGTGACAGGCTAAGTTATGTGCGCAGCCAGCAGACCTGCAGGGCCCGCTCGTCCAGGGGGCGGTGCTTGCTCTGGATCCTGTGGCGGGGGCGTCTCTGCAGGCCAGGGTCCTGGGCGCCCGTGAAGATGGAGCCATATTCCTGCAGGCGCTCTGGAGCAGGGTACTTGGCACTGGAGAACACCTGTGGACACAGGGACAAGTCTGAGGGGGCCCTAAGAGGCTCAGAGGGCTAGGATTGCTTGGCAGGAGAGGGTGGAGTTGGAAGCCTGGGCGAGAAGAAAGCCCAAGGTACAGGTGGGCAGCAGGGCAGAGAATGGGCGGCCTCAGAGGCATGGGGAAATGGAGGGACTGCCCAGTAGCCTCAGGACACAGGGGTATGGGGACTACCTTGATGGCCTTCTTGCTGCCCTTGATCTTCTCAATCTTGGCCTGGGCCAAGGAGACCTTCTCTCCAATGGCCTGCACCTGGCTCCGGCTCTGCTCTACCTGCTGGGAGATCCTGCCATGGAGAAGATCACAGAGGCTGGGCTGCTCCCCACCCCCTGCACACCTCCTGCTTCTAACAGCAGAGCTGCCAGGCCAGGCCCTCAGGCAAGGGCTCTGAAGTCAGGGTCACCTGCTTGCCAGGGCCGATCTTGGTGCCATCCAGGGGGCCTCTACAAGGATAATCTGACCTGCAGGGTCGAGGAGTTGACGGTGCTGAGTTCCCTGCACTCTCACTAGGGACAGGCCCTATGCTGCCACCTGTACATGCTATCTGAAGGACAGCCTCCAGGGCACACAGAGGATGGTATTTACACATGCACACTGGCTACTGATGGGGCAAGCACTTCACAACCCCTCATAATCACGTGCAGCAGACAAAGTGACCTCTGCAGAGGGGGAACGGAGACCGGAGGCTGAGACTGGCAAGGCTGGACCTGAGTGTCGTCACCTAAATTCAGACGGGGAACTGCCCCTGCACCTAGTGAACGGCTCACTGAGCAAACTCTGAGTCCCGACCACCGCCTCAGTGTGGTCTAGCTCCTCACCTGCTTCCATCCTCCCTGGTGCGGGGTGGGCCCAGTGATATCAGCTGCCTGCTGTTCCCCAGATGTGCCAAGTGCATTCTTGTGTGCTTGCATCTCATGGAACGCCATTTCCCCAGACATCCCTGTGGCTGGCTCCTGATGCCCGAGGCCCAAGTGTCTGATGCTTTAAGGCACATCACCCCACTCATGCTTTTCCATGTTCTTTGGCCGCAGCAAGGCTGCTCTCACTGCAAAGTTAACTCTGATGCGTGTGTAACACAACATCCTCCTCCCAGTCGCCCCTGTAGCTCCCCTACCTCCAAGAGCCCAGCCCTTGCCCACAGGGCCACACTCCACGTGCAGAGCAGCCTCAGCATTCACCGGGCACGAGCGAGCCTGTGTGGCGCGCAGGGATGAGAAGGCAGAGGCGTGACTGGGGTTCATGAGGAAGGGCAGGAGGAGGGTGTGGGATGGTGGAGGGGTTTGAGAAGGCAGAGGCGCGACTGGGGTTCATGAGGAAAGGGAGGGGGAGGATGTGGGATGGTGGAGGGGCTGCAGACTCTGGGCTAGGGAAAGCTGGGATGTCTCTAAAGGTTGGAACGAATGGCCTAGAATCCGACCCAATAAGCCAAAGCCACTTCCACCAACGTTAGAAGGCCTTGGCCCCCAGAGAGCCAATTTCACAATCCAGAAGTCCCCGTGCCCTAATGGGTCTGCCCTGATTACTCCTGGCTCCTTGTGTGCAGGGGGCTCAGGCATGGCAGGGCTGGGAGTACCAGCAGGCACTCAAGCGGCTTAAGTGTTCCATGACAGACTGGTATGAAGGTGGCCACAATTCAGAAAGAAAAAAGAAGAGCACCATCTCCTTCCAGTGAGGAAGCGGGGCCACCACCCAGCGTGTGCTCCATCTTTTCTGGCTGGGGAGAGGCCTTCATCTGCTGTAAAGGGTCCTCACCCTGACCCTGACCCTCACCCTGACCCTGACCCTAAAACCCTGACCCTAAAACCCTGACCCTAACCCTGACCCTGACCCTAACCCTGACCCTGACCCTAACCCTGACCCGGACCCTGAACCCTAACCCGGACCCTGAACCCTAACCCCGACCCTGAACCCTAACCCCGACCCTCACCCTGACCCTCACCCTCACCCTGACCCTCACCCTACCCTGACCCTCACCCTGACCCTGACCCTGACCCTCACCCTGACCCTGACTCTGACCCTGACCCTCACCCTGACCCTGACCCTGACCCTCACCCTGACCCTGACCCCTGACCCTGACCCTTGACCCTGACCCTGACCCTGACCCTTGACCCTGACCCCGATTTCATTCATTTGATCTTCAATCACTGATACCCTTTCTTCCAGTTGATCGCATCGGCTACTAAAGCTTGTGCATTCGTCACATAGTTCTCGTGCCATGGTTTTCACCTCCATCAGGACTTCTCTGCATTGGTTATTCTAGTTAGCCATTCATCTAATCTTTTTTTCAAGGTCTTTAACTTCTTTGCACTGGGTTCGAACTTCGTCCTTTAGCTCGGAGAAGTTTGATCATCTGAAGCCTTCTTTTCTCAACTCGTCAAAGTCATTCTCCGTCCACCTTTGTTCCATTGTTGGTGAGGAGCTTTGTTCCTTTGGAGGAAGAGAGGCGCTCTGATTTTTAGAATTTTCAGTTTTTCTGCTCTGTTTTTTCCCTATCTTTGTGGTTTTATCTACCTTTGGTCTCTGATGATGGTGACGTACAGATGGGGTTTTTGTGTGGATGTCCTTTCTGTTTGTTAGTTTTCCTTCTAACAGTCAGGACCCTCAGCTGCAGGTCTGTTGGAGTTTGCTGGAGGTCCACTCCAGACCCTGTTTGCCTGGGTATCAGCAGTGGAGGCTGCAGAAGAGTGAATATTGCTGAACACCAAATGTTGCTGCCCGATCGTTCCTCTGGAAGCTTGGTCTCAGAGGGGTACCCGGCAATGTGAGGTGTCAGTCTGCCCCTACTGGGGGGTACCTCCCAGATAGGCTACCCGGGGGTCAGGGACCCACTTGAGGAGGCAGTTTGTCTGTTCTCAGATCTCAAACTCCGTGCTTGGAGAACCACTACTCTCTTCAAAGCTGTCAGACAGGGACATTTAAGTCTGCAGAGATTTCCGTTGCCTTTTGTTCGACTATGCCCTGGCCCCAGAAGTGGAGTCTGACAGAGGCAGGCAGGCCTCCTTGAGCTGTGGTGGGTTCCACCCAGTTCAAGCTTCCCAGCCACTTTGTTTACCTACTCAAGCCTCAGCAATGGCGGGCACCCCTCCACCAGCCTTGCTGCCACCTTGCAGTTCAATCTCAGACTGCTGTGCTAGCAATGAGCGAGGCTCCGTGGGTGTGGGACCCTCCGAGCCCAGGCGTGGGATATAATCTCCTGGTGTGCGGTTTGCTAAGACCGTTGGAAAAGCGCCAGTATTAGGGTGGGAGTGACCCTATTTTCCAGGTGCCATCTGTCACAGCTTCCCTTGGCTAGGAAAAGGGAATTCCCTGACCCCTTGTGCTTCCCGGGTGAAGGCGATGTCTCGCCCTGCTTCGGCTCAAGCTTGTGGGCTGCACCCACTGTCTGACAAGCCCCAGTGAGATGAACCCAGTACCACAGTTGGAAATGCAGAAATCACCCATCTTCTGCGTCACTCAGGCTGGGAGCTGTAGACTGGAGCTGTTCCTATTCCATGTCTTTATCTTTTAATTGGGTTGTTTTTCTTCTTGTTGAGTATTAGAATGTCTTTGTATATTTTGCATGCAAGTCTTTTTTTCAGGCTTGTTTTATAAATATTTTCTCTCAGTGTGTGCCTTATTTTTTGATTCTCTTAACAGGATATTTCACAGAGTAGTCATTTTAAATTTTAATGATGTCCAAATTATCATTTTTTTTCTTTTATGGACTGGCTTTTGGTATTGTATCTAAGAACTCATCACCAACCCAAAGTCACGTGGATTTTCTTCTATAAAACTTTTACAATTTTATATTTGATCATTTAAGGCTACAGACTATCTTGAGTGATTTTTTGGGGGTGAGCTATGAAGTTTTTGTCCACATTCAGTGTTTTCCGTATGGTTTCCGATTGTCTATTGCCATTTGTGGAACAGACTTTTCTTTCCCCAGTGAATTGCTTTTGCCCCTTTGACAAAATCAATTGAATGTATTTACTCGGGTTTTTTGGGTTCTGTATTGTGTTCTGTTGAGCTGTTTGTCCATTCCTTCACCAATATCACTCTCTTCATTGCTTTAGCTTTGTGGTAAAGCTAACAATAATGAGTGTACTGCTCCTAAACAAGGAGTATCTGCATTTGATTTAATATTTTTGATTCTTCTCAACCGTGATCTAAAGTTTTCTGAATGCATATTTGTATGTATTTTGTTAGATTTATACCTAATAAATTAAATTTGGGAATGCTATTGTAAATGGTATTTTTTTCAAATTTCAAGTTCAAATTATTCCTATACATTATTGCTGATGATAGAAAGAAAATCAGGCAGTGTGTGGTGGCTAACGCCCGTAATCCTAGCACTTTGGGAGGCCTAGTTGGGAGGATCATTTGAGCTTGGGAGTTCTAGACCAGCCTGGGCAACATAGTTAGACCTGCCCCGCCCATAAAAAATAAAATAATAAATAAAGGAAAATCAGGTGGTGCCGGACACAGTTGTTCACACCTGTAATCCCAGTGTGTTGGGAGGCTGAGGCTGGAGAATTTCTTGAACCCGGGAGCTGGAGGCTGAACTCGGGAGCTGTGATTACACCACTGCACTTCAGCATGGGTGACAGAGCGAGACCCTGTCTCTTAAAGAGAAAAGAAAGAAAATCAATTAAGTTTTGCCTACTGGCCATCTTTTTTTTGAGATGGAGTTTGGCTCTGTCACCCAGGTTGGAGTGCAGTGACATGATCTTGGCTCACTGCAACCTGCGCCTCCTGGGTTCGAGCAATCCTCCTGCCTCAGCCTCCTGAGTAGCTGGGATTACAGGCACGTGCCGCCATGCCCAGCTAATTTTTGTATTTTTAGTATAGATGCGGTTTCACCATGTTAGCCAGGCTGGTCTCAAACTCTGGACCTGAAGTAATCCGCCCGCCTCAGCCTCCCAAAATGCTGGGATTACAGGCATGAACTGGCCATCTTCTTTGCTTCCTTGCTCCATGAGTTCCGATCAAGGCATGGGATGGTGGGCTCCATTTCAGTCGTAATTTCCAAAATCCACAGCCTGGAAAAATCTAGACGCTGATTTTCAGAGACTCCCCATGGCTGCCGCAAGGGGGCGCATGGCCCCTGGCAACTCGGGGCGCCGTGCACGCACCGCGTCTCATCCACACAGCGGCAGTCACTTTGCGGCCACTATGAGGACTGAGCTTCCTCTCCCCAGGACCCGCATGGGAGAGACCGCGGCTTCGAGACACCTGGGGACACCTGGGGACACCTGGGGCGGCGTCCGCGGTGAGGACTGGGAGACGCTGCTGCATCTCCGGGACACCACTTGGGGCCGAGGCCAAGGTGAGGAAAAGGCTTCCCGCCCCCGGTGTGAGTGTGGCGGAGCGAGCGCGGCTGCATTTCCCGTCGTGCACTTTGTAGCAGGACCTCACTTTGTAGGAGATTCCCCTTCATGGAGGCTTGGGCGGGTCACCCCCAGTTCAGGCCAAGATGCAGGTTACGGATGTGAGTTTCTTTCTGGGAAGAGACCCTGGTACCGGGAGAGGAGGAAGAACGCGGAGACGCTGTCGGGAGATCAGCCTGAGGCCGAGGAAACAGGCCCCTGGGATCAGTGCTGGATGTTTGTTTTTGATTTTGTTTTTTGCTTTTTGTTTTTTTTTTTTTTTTTTTTTTTTTTGGAGACGGCGTCTCGCTCTGTCACCCAGGCTGGAGTGCAGTGGCGCAATCTCCGCTGACTGCAACCTCTGCCTCCATGGTTCAAGCGATTCTCCTACCTCAGCCTCCCAAAGCTGGCACTACAGGAGCAGGCCACCATGTCCAGCTAATTTTTATATGTTTTGTAGAGACGGGGTTTCACCACGTTGACCAGGATGATCTCAATCTCCTGACCTCGTGATCTGCCCGCCTCGGCCTCCCAAAGTGCTGGGATTACAGGTGTGAGCCACCATGCCCTGCCCTCTTTCTTTTTGAGAGGAAGCCCCACTCTGTTGACTAGGATGGAGTGCAGGTGTGCAATCTCTGCTCACTGCAACCTCCGCTTCCTGGGCTCAAGCGATTCTCCTCCCTCAGCCTCCCAAGTAGCTGGGACTACATACAGTTGTTGCCCACGGCGCCCAGCTAATTTTTTTTTTTTTTTTTTTTTTTGTATTTTTAGTAGAGACGGGGGCTTCACCATGTTGGCCAGGTTGGTCTCGAACTCACTGAGCTCAAGTGATCCTCCTGCCTCGGCCTCCTAAAGTGCTGGGATTACAGGCGTGAACTGGCCATCTTCTTTGCTTGCTGTCTCCATGGGTTTCGGTCGGGGCACGGGATGGTGGGCTCCATGTCAGTTGAAATTTCCAAAATCACGGCATGGAAAAATCCAAACGCTAATTTTCAGGGATTCTCCACGGCTGCCATTAGGGGGCCCGGCCAAACCCGGAGCGCCACAGTAGAACTGCGTCTGATCCGTACAGCGGCATCCCTGGGTGTGAGGACTGTGAGGACGGAGTTTTCTCTCCTCAGGACCCACCCAGGAGGGGCCATGGCTTCGAGACACCTGAGGAGACCTGGGGCCACGTCCGCGATGAGGACATCTCTGGGACACCTGGGGCTGCATCTCCGGGACACCTGGGGCTGACCCTGGTACGGGGAAAGGAGGAGGAACACAGAGATGCCCTCGTGAGGTCGGGGACCAGCAGGCACCGCAGTCTAAGGCCAATGAAACAGGCGCCCCTAGATGAGTGCTCGGTGTTTGTTTTGTTTTGTTTTCTTTTGAGAAGGAGTTTCGCTCTTGCTCCCCAGGCTGGAGTGCGATGTCGCGATCTCGACTCACTGCAACCTCTGCCTCCCGGGTTCAAGCGATTCTCCTGCCTCAGCCTCCCGAGTAGCTGGGGTTACAGTCATGCGCCATCACGCCCGGCTAATTTTGTAGTTTTAGTAGAGACGGTGTTTCTCCATGTTGATCAGGCTGGTCTCGAACTCCTGATCTCAGGTGATCCACCCACCTCGGCCTCCCAAAGTGCTGGAATTACAGGCGTGACCCACTGGGCCCGGCCAGTGCTTTGTGTTTTAAGGCTCTTTTGTTAACGCAGTGGAAACAACACAGGAAATGGAAAAGCAGGCACATTATCATTCTCAGGCCACTGCATTTAGCCTGGGCGACAGAGCGAGACCTTGTCTCAAAAAACAAAAACAAATGAAAACAAAAACAAACCATTTTGTGTGTCTAATGGAAGTCACCTCGTCAACAACAGTCTTTTGTTGAGAAAGTCTGTTTAATTGGCAGTGTATTTGTAATGGTACATAAAATGACGTCTGCTTTATAAGCATTCTCATTCCTATATTAGATGAAATGTATTAACTATATCAAGCTTTGATATTATACCATAAAATTACTTGAAGAAAGTCACTACTCTTTTTTTTCCTTTACCTTGACCATTTTAAATAAAATCATATTTCATTAAGGTTAGTTAATACTGAGCTGTAAATATGTATGGTCCTGGGGTCTTTTCTTTCTTTTTTCCTTTTTTTTTTTTTTTTTTTTGAAACGGAGTCTCGCTCAGTCTCCCAGGCTGGAGTGCAGTGGCGCAATCTCGGCTCACCGCAACCTCCACCTCCTGGGTTTGAGCAATTCTCTGCCTCAGCCTCCTAAGTAGCTGGGATTATAGTCACTTACCACCATGCCTGGCTAATTTTTTTTTTTTTTATATTTTTAGTAGAGACGGGGTTTCACCATCTTGGCCAGGCTGGTATTGAACTCCTGACCTTGTGGTCCACCCACCTCGGCCTCCCAAAGTGCTGGGATTACAGACATGCGCCACTGCTCCTGGCCTCTTTTCTTTTTTTGACATGGAGTCTCACTTTGTTGCCCAGGCTGGAGTGCAGTGGCGTGATCTCGGCTCACTGCAACCTCTGCCTCCCGGATTCAAGTGATTCTCCTACTTCAGCCTCCCGAGTACCTGGGATTACAGGCCTGAACAACCATGCCCAGCTAATTATTTTTGTATTTTTCATAGAGATGATAGGGTTTTGCCATGTTGCCCAGACTGGTCTCAAACTTCTGGGCTCAAGCAGTCTGCTTGCCTCAGCCTCTCAAAGTGCTGGGATTACAGGCATGAGCCACCATGCCAGGCCTGTCTCATTCCAATAAGGAATTATTAGCTTTTTCTGAGCACCACTGTGTGCAGGTGTCTTGCTCAGGTGAACTCACAGCAGTCTGCTAGGTATGGCTAGCACCCTGTGCAGAGGGGAGGGCCAGGCTTAGGTGACTGAGTGACTCACCTACAAATTACACAGCCTCCAGTGGCTTCACTCTCAGGTTCCAGCCCAGAACCAGCTCTCCAGGGCCCACTCAGGGAAAGTTTATGAGTTGAATGAAGAGGTGTCCAGGCCACACAGGAGAGGCATCCCAATTGTGGGTTCGTTTATGTGATCATGAGGTAGCCCAGGTCACACATGGAGCCTCATGAGCCACACAGCCCCTGTTATAAATACACTAGCCCGGGGCTCCCCAGAGCCCAGCTCCAGGAAGTGGATTCACACTAGTATTTTTATACTTGGTTAGAGCTGAGGATGCCTGTACCTCGCTTCCGTCCACACCCCTCCCACTCTCTGGATGCTAAAGATACATTCTGGGGCCTGCCTCGCCCCCACAGACCAGGATCCAGCTCTGCTGAGGCTCCCCACAAAACCCCAGAAGCTCTGCAGGCATGCAGGGTGGGAGGGCTGCCTATCTGAGCCAGAAGGGGCTTTTGCCTTTGGGGGCATCAGGCTACAGGTACTTCTTTCTGCTCAGGTTGCAGGAAGCATGAGAGCACCCAGGAGAGTTGCTCCCTGTAGCTCAGGACCCAGGGAGCTAACAGTCTCCATTTCATCCTGCCTTCAAAACTTCAGCGCTCCCAGCCCCAAAACACTCTTGATGCAGGAAAGGTGAGCCCAGAAATTGGGGTTTAGCACAGGAGGGCTTTTGGCTTCACCCAGGAAAGAATTCAAGGGCGAGTCGGTGGTATTAGAGAGCAACTTTTATTTAAGCAGCTGTGCACAGTGGCAGCAGAGGTACTGCTCCTTATGGAGCAGGGATGCCCCATAGGCAGTCAGCCCAGAGTAGCAGCTCAGAGGCAGTTCTGCACACATATTTATACCCACTTGTAACTATATACAAATTAAGGAGGAGGTTATTTAGAAATTTCTAGAAAAGGGGTGGTAACTTTCAGGTCATTGCCATGGAAAGGGGCAGTAATTTCCAGCTGTTACCATGAGAACGGCAAACTCACTTGGCACCAGTGGGTGTGTCTTATGGAGGGGTGCTTTTGCCTGTTTCAGCTAGTCTGTAATCTGGTCCAGAGTTCAAGCCCTGCCTCAGGAGTCAGGTCCCACCTCCTATCTCAGTCTGGTCACAGCCCTAACTAGGCAGATGATCCCAATGTCAGCCCAAAGCCCAGCAGTCAGGCCCTCCTGTGATCTGCCTGGGGCACCCAGGAAGGGGATGGGGCATGCTGGGATGGGCCATGATGTGTTGGGCCAGAAGTCAGGCCCTCTAGGTTGAAGTCCTAACCCCAGTAGCTGTGAATGTGACCTTATATGGAAACAGTGTCTTTGCAGATGATCAAGTTAAGATTAAATCGTTAGGGCCAGCCTTAATTCACTATTATTGTGATTTTAAAAAGGGGAAATTTGGACACAGAAATGCACACAAGGAAAAATCCCTGTAAAGACTGGAACTTTGGCCAGGCACGGTGGCTCATGCCTGTAATCCCAACACTTTGGGAGGCAGAGACAGACGGATCACTTGATATCAGGAGTTTGAGACCAGCCTGGCCAACATAGCGAAACACCGTCTCTACTAAAAATACAAAAACTAGCCAGGCGTGGTAGCAGGTGCCTGTAATCACAGCTACTCCAAAGGCTGAGGCAGAAGAATTGCTTGAACCTGGGAGGAGGAGGTTGCAGTGAGCCGAGATTGTGCCATTGCACTCCAGCCTGGGCAACAAGAGCAAAACTCCGTCACAAAAACAAAACAAAAGAAAGATTACAGCTTTGGTGTCACAAGCCAAGAAACTAACAGAAGCTGAAGAGAGGCCTGAAACTAATCCTTCCCTAGTGCCTTCAGAGGGAGCATGGCCCTGCTGAGAGAGTATAAATGGGACTCGGCCCACCCCCACTAACGTATTGTTCCATACGTGCCCGCTGACCACTAGACCTTGCAGCACCACCCTCCAGGTGCCATACTCGCTGGCCAGACCTTGCCAACTGTCTGAAATAAACTAAGATAAGCAGCATCCCGCCATAAGTCTTACTGACGGGAGTTGACTCCATCACCTGCTTGTGCACAAGGCCAGGAGAATGACCCTGGTCTTATGATAATACTAAAGTCCTCACCCAGGGAGGGGCTTATCTGCCATTTTCTGATCATGCAACGTATGTGTTAGCATGCGTCTGAGCACCCTTCGCTCCACCCCATATGTGCAATGACACTCATGTAGCTCATAAATTATGTATGTCACCCTCCTTAAGACACCACAATGCATTCCCCTTGGGGAGTCAGCCAAGAATTCTTCCTCCTGCACCGTCTCTCTTCTGCCCAAACTTTCGGGGCATAAGACTTAATAAAGTCTTGTCTGGGAAGCTTCCTTGGCCTAATATCAACTTCTGTTTCATGGGAGCCCAAGAACATGTGGTTGGGAACACTGCCAACATCTTTATTTCCAACTTCTGGACTTCAGAATTGTGAGACAACAAATCTCTGTGGTTCTAAGCTAACCATTTTGTGGCACTTTGTTACGACAGCCCTAGGAAACAAACGCAGGCACGTTCTGCTCCAACTGCCACTCTCTCCAGACCACAGCTCCTCCACAAGCCCACCCCATGAGAGGCTGAGGACAGAAGCAGGACCCTTCACAGGCCACCATCACTGCTGGATGGTCACCCCCAGCACTGACTGTCTGGAAGCTCCAGGCTCAGCTCTCAGTTTCCTGGAGCAAGGGGGAGGATGAGGACAAGGAGGAACGAGGGCACTGGCCTCCCAGGAATTGTCCCTGAGCCTCCATCCTGCTGTCCTGAAGCTGCCCCTGAACCTCCAACTTGCTGTCCCCAGAACTGTCATTGAGCCTACACCATGCTATCTCTAGAGCCCGGAAAGCCCAGGGCTGGACAAACCCCACCCCTCACTCCTCCTCTGGCCCCTTCTCCCAGCCATCAACACTTTGGAACAGCCATCAAGCCCCTTTTAATCTCTAGAAAGGTGCCTCAGTAAGGCACAGAGAGGTCACACCAGGTGGTCATGGTGCCTTACCTGTGTCCACTGGGCCCAGGCTGGCCCTTTAAGGGTATGAGGGCAGAACAGCTGAGAGACCACACCCCACTTCTCAGAGAGGTCAGGGATAAAGAAAAGGGACAATGGAAGGAAGAACTTGTGGCCAGGATGCTGAGGGTAGAGGCTGCTCCCCACAGGCACTGAGCAGAGGGGTTGAGGGGGGAGCCTCCAGCCTCCATCCAGACAGGACCTCTGACCGCTGCTAGGGGCCCCTTCTCAGGAGGTTCAGTCTCAGACAAGGGCTCCAGAAACTTCAGTCCATTTTCCCAAAATGGACATGATGCATCTGGCGAGTCAGGGACCTAGAATGTCCAGGACCGAGCCTTGCTGAGGACAGAAGGGAGCAACATGCCCTGGAGGTCCTCATGCAGCCCAGGCCTCTGGCAGTGACCAGCCAGCACCCAGGCAACTCCTTGCTGGGTCTCCAGGCCCTGATGGTCACAAGAAAGGCCACAGGCCAGGGCTGGGATGGGCCCAGAGCTCTGTGTGTTTCCTGGGAGGGCTGAGAGGTGCCATCCCCCATAGCAGCCCAAGGCACAGTAGTTGTTGTTGTTGCTGCTGCTGCTGCTGCTGCTGCTCCTGCTGCCCTCTGAGTCTGGGGGAGCCGGCCTAGTCAGGGACGTGGGGGCCCAGTCCTCCTGTGGCAGATAGGCAAGCGTCTGTACCCTCCACTCCGTACACCCTGCTGGCAGCACATCCTCTGAGCTCAGGTTCCCCGGGAGCCTGGTCCCAGGGCCCTCCTGTTCCTCCTCCAGGGCCACAGATTTCCAAGGACGCGCTGGGCCACAAGTGAGCAGTGCAGTGGCCTCCTGGACGCAGGGCTCCAAGGCTCCCTGTGGGGTGCCAGCACAGTCCTGGCTCAACAGCACACCGGCCCCGTGGGCCCCCATCCAAGTCTGGAACAGAGCACGGGAGGAGGGAAGGGCTCAGGTAGCATGTTCAGAACTCATCCTGGGAGCAGCTGCCTCCTTTCTGGCAAGCCCAGCATCCCTCCTCCTCCAGGAAGCCCTCCTGAGGTCCACACCCAGAGGCCAAGCAGCGCCTGTGTCTTGGACATTCTGTCTTTCCTCCATGTGCCAGCCCAGCCTCATCACGGGACCCTGAGTCCCTTCAGGCTCCTCAGCACTCCCCCAGCACAGGGCCTGGTGCCCACGGCAGCCTGAACCGAGGTACAGATGGTGATATCTGCCCAGGACAGAGCCAGCTCCTGACAGCATGTGCCTCAGGGCCTTTCAGCAGCTGCAGAGACTGGGCATTCCCAACACACACACACACACACACAAACATACACAAACACACACACACACAGAGACACACACACACACAAACACACACAGATACACACAGACACACACACACGAGACACACACACACAAACACACACAGACATAAACACACACAGACACACACACATAAACACACACACACACAGACATACACACACAAACACACACACACAGACACACACACCACACGAACACACACAGACACATAAACACACACAGACACATACACACACAGACACACAGACACACACAGACATACACACATAAACACAAACACACACACACAAACACACACACAAACATACACAGACACATAAACACACACACAGACACACACACACAAACACACACAGACACACACACAAACACACACAGACACAAACACACACAGATACAGACACACACACAGAGACACACACACACAAACACACACAGACTTAAACACACACAGACACACACACATAAACACACACACACAGACATACACACACAAACACACACACAGACACACACACGAACACACACAGACACATAAACACACACACACACACACACAGACACACACACGAATCGCTGTCAGGACTGGTGACTTTCAAAGCACTCGGCTATGGCCAGCAGACCTGGATCCTTCTGTGGGGCCACAGGAGGCCCCCGCCTCCAAAAGGAAGCTGTTCCCTTGGTGGGACCAGGAGCCTCCATCCCATGCATCACACACACAACACCCTCCATCACTGCAGTGCTCCCTGGAGACCAACCTATGGCACCAGATCCTCACCCGCAGGTCTAAATAACCCGTGGCAGGTGTCCTAGTTCTCTAGGGAACAGCTGGTGCCCGCAACAGGATGACAGTCCAGGGGACAGTCACAATCTGACCTGCTCAGCCTTGTCGTCAGCTGCCCAGGCTCCTGACAGTCACATCTACCACCTTGGGGAAAGAGGGAGACTCTGCCAAGAGCCAGATGCCCGGTTCATGGTTCAAATTATATTTTTGGACAAAAATCTTGAAAACTACGCTCCTCATTGAGAGAGAAAAGGATTTTTCTGCATAGTAAGCTGGAGCCACAGTGTGAAGGGGACAGGGAGGGAAGATTCTGGAGAAGAGTGGTCAGCTTGGCCCAGACCCCAGGGAGGGGCCCTCACTGCCTCTTGTCCTTTGCCCAAAGTGAGGAGTCTGAGGGGAAAAACCAGAGACCACTCACTGGAGCTCTCCCTCTCCCCCTCCTCCCACCCAGGGGGCATGAACCAACAGCCCAGCAGGGAGGGGAGGGGCTGATGCAACCCCCAAGTTGCTCACTGGTGCCTGGGCTGTAGGAGCCCAACATGGGTGGAAGGGGGGGAAGTGCAGAGCCCACTCCTCAGCTGTGGTGCCATCATGTGATCCGGGGAGACCAGGGGACCAGGCAGAGCAGGAGCCCAGAGGCAGTGAGAGCCCCAAGGGCAGCACACACACCACAGACCCTTCCCCATGGCCACAGGACAGACACCTTCGCAGAAGGAGGAGGTGAGGCACATGGTGGGTGCAGAAAGCTGCAAACCAGAGGGGACAGAGATAAGTTATGAGAAATTTACATTTTTTCAATCAACAATGGAACTAGAGACCTGAGAACAAAAAGAAATCAGCAATGGAAAATAAAGCTAATTTTTCCCCATTTGAGATACGCGTATAAATTGAAATTCACTGAATATACAAAAAAGGCTCCAAGCACTGACAAGCCTCCCATACTGGCCGCCAACCCTCAGTGAAAGCCAACATCTTGGGCAGGCCAGAGCTCTGGGCAACCCCTGCCCCCCATGTCCTTCTGTGGTCTCTGCACACACCTGGAAGTTCCCATTGTGTACACTGTAGAGGGGCTGGAAGAACATCGCTGGAGAGGGCACGTTCTGGTAGAAGATTCTCTTCACCCTGAGGCCAAGAGAGGCCAGTCAGAGGCCTATGGCGACCCAGGTGGCCTGAGGTCACTGCAGAGGCTGAGCTTCCTTCCATCAGCAGGAGGTCCGCCCACCTCGTCCCTGCCACTGCCTCTCTCCCATCTCATCACATTCCAACCCACTCTCAGGGCAGGACCCAACTGGGCCTCCTTGCCTAACGGCCGCATAGAACTGATTTATACTGAGGCGCGCGTCCTTTACAGCGTGAGCTGCGATGGCGGGTTCAGAACGGGGAGTTACTAGCTGGGTCCTCAGATCACAGAGGGAGCCAGCACTCCAGGAACCCTGTCTTTGCCATCAGCAGAAGGTCTGTGGCTCCCACCCCACCCAGTGTCTCCCTGAGCACCAGACTTGCTGCCAAGGATCCACTGACCCTCCCACAAGGATGTCACCTGGGGCTCCAACCCAACAGGTCCAAATAGACTTCACCAACCTCCCTGCAAGGCTGTCCCCCATTTCCCCACCTCAGGGGTCACCACTCATATCTCATCCACCCACATGTCCCTTCTATTTCCCCTCATGAGACCCTGCAATTCTCTCCACTTTTCTCTATCTCCACTTCTTTCACTGGCTCATGCCAAATCGTCTCCCTGTGGGCACCTCACTGGCCCCCATTGGCCTCCAGCAGGTCCCCCATGTCCCCTTGTCCCAGCAATCTATTCCTCAAAACATAAACTAGGTTGTGTCACACAGTTTTACACTTTCCTTTGCTCCAAGGAGAAGCGAAGCACCCTCCCACTTAGCCCCACCCAACACCCCTCTCCCCACACCCTCTTCCTCACATCTGCGGCCTGACATGGCCCCTGCACCCTGTCTTGTAACCTGACATGTGGTGCATGAGGCGTGACGGTTTATTTAAGGAGGGCCCTTGTCCATCTTGTTCTGAGAACAGGGTCCTGAGCACACCAGATGCCCCAACTGTCCTTTCGTAGAACATGTGAACAAATGAACAAACCAAGCTCCTCCAGAGGCAGGAGACTAGGACCTCCGGCTCTTGATCTCGGTGACTCTGGGTCTGGTCGGGACCAAGCTGCCCTTATCTTCAGCCTCTGCCTCAGACCCCCCTTCCCTGCTCTCCCCTGGCAACTTGAGAACCCTCTTCTGGACCAGGGTGGAGACTCGAAAAGCCCACCCCGTCCAGGACCAGGCAGTGGAGAGGGGAGGGGAGGAACCAGACAAGGGCGGCCCTTGATGGCCCACCCACCACACACTCACACATGCACACAGTCACACATCTGCACACATACACTAACATGCACACTCTTGCCCGCTCACACATGTACACACACGCACACATCAGCCACCTACCTGGGCGACAGCTTGAACAGGAGGTAGGTCGGGCCAGTCAGCAGGAGAAAGATGGACACAGCAACAAGGGTGTTGCCTGGCCACCCCCAGGGTGGGATCAGAGGGCCTGTGGACAGGAAGGGCCCAGGGCTGTGAGCAGCCTCAGTGCCAGGAGGCTCCCCCCAAACCCACCTGGCAAAGGTGCGCCCTTTAGTGCCCTGGGCCAAAGTGGAAGGTTTGTGATGGGCCTTGGAGGTTTGTGTCACCTGCTGAAGGACCTTGTGATGGGCCTTGGAGGTTTGTGTCACCTGCTGAAGGACCTTGTGTGAACCACACTCCTGGGCCTCACTCTTCCCATCTGCCACAAGGTGGGTCATAAAGTCCCTGGGCCATCTCAGCACTGCAGTGCGCAAGGGTCAGTCCAGCCCCCATTAAGGACACTGAGGTCATGTCCAGCCTCCAGGCAGGAGCCCAGCCCTGGTGTGCAGCCCTGCCACCCTCACTCCTAACAGCAGCCACTAACTACAGGTTCCCAGGAAGCCCCAGAGTTGGCAGGTGTTTCTGTCCTCCCTACAGACCTCAGACCTTCAGAGGAAGGGGGTCAACTGAGGCATGGCTGCCTCGGGGAGGGGCTTACAGGAGGGTGAAAGGGTGCAGGGCTGAGGTGAACAGGGGAGAAGACGCCCAGCCCAGACTCCGCTGGAAGTGCAGCAGCCACAGCAGTGCCCACCTTGTCTCTGGGGAGCCTGGAAGCACACAGGCTGGCTCCACTCACTCCACTGGCCTGTATAACGCTCCTCCTCTACCACATCATCCTCCAGTGTGGCCATCTGGACACGCAGCCTGGCCTCATGGATAAAGCCAGGGTCCAGCTCAAAGGCTTCAAGTATAAGCCAGGTCACCCCGACAATGTGATCCCTGTGCTGGGCCTGCTGTGGGGGTGGGGACAGTTAGCAGGTGGTGAAGGTGGGGCTGGGTCCCTCAGCCCTCGAGAATACACACATGCATTATATGCTCATATAACACACTCTTGAACACACTTGTGTTAACACACAGACACACTCACCACATTCACGTGCACACACACACACAGAAGGCACACTCACACTCACAGACACAGCTGCGTTTGCCCACAAATACACATATGCACACACAGGCAAACATGTCTACAGGAACACTTTCACACTCATCACACTTGCATGCACACTCATAAACAAAAGTGTGTGCACAGAAGCAACTCACCACACTCACATACACACTCATACACATAGGCATGCCCATGTGCACACTCACACAAATGCAAGGCACAGGCACACACATATGTACACTTACATATAAACACACAAACATGGGCACACAAACATGAGTGTGCACAGTTACATATGTGTACACATAAACACATACATGCACACTCACCACACTTATGTGCACACACAGAGACACAGGCGCACTCACCCTACTCCCATACACACACATAAAGCATACACATCTGCATGCCAGCATGTGTGTGTGCACACACACCCCGCTCTAGTTCCTCCCTTCTCATCACTACAAGTTGACATCTCCCTATGTAGAGTGGGGAGTCTACCCTGGACTGCTGTTCCCAGGAGAGAGGCCCCCAGGGAAAGCCAGCCAAAGTGTTACCTCCCAGGCCTCTTCCTGCTTCTTGAAGGCCAGCTCATAGCTGAGAAGTGTGGTCATTGGCTCCAAGGCAGGACTGATGCTCCAGGTCAGGATGCAGTGGCCAGAACTGATGTTGCTCTGCAAGTCAGAGGGCGGGTCCAGCTTAACTGGAACAGAGTGAATCCATGTGAGGCTGAAGCCCCATGGGTCTGGGTGTGTCAGTCAGAACACACAAGACTGGGGTCTGAAAGACTCCCAAGGGGAATGGTCAAGGCCCTCTCAGACCAGGCACCTCACTGGGAGACTGGTCCACAAAAGCCCCAGGCGGGACAGGACAGCAATGACTTCCTCTGGCCTCTGCACCTAGACTAGGTGGTTTCTAAATCTTGCTTTCCCTTTCCTTCACAGTCTGCTGCTGGAAGCTTTTCCCAGCATCTTATTGGAGTCCTTCCTGGTATGACTGAAGTGCATTTCACATGACTCAAGTGCCAGCCCCTGCCCCAACTAGCAGCCGTGCATGTTTATTTCCTGCCAAAACCCTGCCCCTGCAGTAACCATATGGGCCCTCCCCTCCCAAGGGCCAAGCCTGCCCCCAGCCCTGGATCTCACTCGGCTGGGACTGAGAACACTCACTGGGCCACTCACAGGCTGCAAGGCCCTGCTCCAAACCCCCAAGCAGCCAGGATGTTCTTGCCAAGCGGCCCCGCCCCAGACCTATAGCTGCTGCTCACCGTGTCTCCGGGGCAGGTACTCCGGGTCCACCAGGCTGACCTGCTCCCTCCCAGACATGCAGTGGTGGAAAGTGATGGTGAAATTGTCAGATGGCACGAGCACTGCCTCAGGTGGCAGCACGACGGTGCACTCACTGCCCCGCAAGATGCACTTATGTGTGCCGCCAGGAGCCTGGTTGCTGGAAAGGGCATTTGTCAGCACCACGGGGCTGCTACACTGTCCTGGCATAGCTGCTTCAATCCTGGGGAACTCACCCTCATCCCTGTCCAGGTGGGCATGGCCCTCCATGCTCACCTGGTGAAGAGGAGCCAGGGGCTGGAGCCCTGTCCCAGCTCTGGGGCAGACCAGTGGCAATCGATCCTGAGAATGTTGTTGGTGAGGCAGGTGAAGGTTCTAGACCTTGGCCCTGGAGACAGTGACCATCAGGAGCCCACGGTAAGTACTTCAGGCCAGAGCTGAGCTCGGGGGTTGGGGAGGATCTGACAGCTGACACCCTAGCAGGGCAGTCACCAGTAAATGATCCCAGAATCTGTCCAGGGAAGCACTGGGAGGCCTGGGAAGTGATGGGCTCTGACCTGTGGTACACGGGCAAGTCAGATCTGGAGAGGCGTCAAGAGAGTGAAGGAAGGGAGACTACAGTCGGTCCAGGGAATGAAGGTAGGGAGGTAAAAGTAGGGAGACTAGAGACTGAGGTCCAGGCTGACCCCTAGAGGACATGCCCCAGCACAGTTTGGGCCAAACCTTTCCCTAGAGGCTTGACATCGGACAACCCAGTCCCCCAAACATGCCCTAGTTCTCCACCCACCTCATACAGACATTAGTGCCCAGCCCTCACCTTGTCCTTCCCCTGTGACAGAGACTCCCAAGCAGACACAGGTGCAGATGCAGATGCAGGCCAGGAGCCAGGTGCCCATGTCTCGCCTCAGGGCCTCACTCTCCAAGGTCCAGCCTGCAAGGGACTGGGCTGAGGGCCCTGTGCAAATCATCCCTCTCTGGAGGGGTGCTCCCCATGAATTGCTCCCCAGCAGAGTGCTCCATGGGTCCCCACCTGCACTCACACAGTGTCCTGTGTCCTAACACTCACACAGTGTCCAGCGTCCTGGACCACTGTCCAGGCTTTACTGATAAGGAACTGAGCTCAGAAAGGCCATTTGACTCAGCCAAAGACTCATGGCTGCAGGGTGTAAGGAACACCCTCAAACTTAGATCCTGGCCTCTGACTCAGCTAGGTCTCCACATCTGCCGAGAAGACTCCTCTCTGGGACAGTCATCCTCTGCCAGCCCATCCCCCATTCCCGGGCCCAGGCCCCATCCTGCAGGGGAGTCAGGGTTGGGGGAACTGGTCACTACCAACAACCACCATAGGTACATTTTCTACTTTAATTCTCACAACAGCTCTGTAAGGGAGAAGCACTGTCCCCGTTCACAGGCAAGGAACTGAGTCCCAAGGAGGGGAAATGACTTGCCCAGGGTCACACAGACAAATTCTAAGCAAATTTTTTTTTTTGAGACAGTCTCCCTCTGTCACCCAGGCTAGAGTGCAGTGGTGTGATCTTGGCTCACTGCAACCTCCGCCTCCTGGGTTCAAGTGATTATCCTGCCTCAGCCTCCCGAGTAGCTGGGATTACAGGCATCTCCCGCCATGCCCAGCTAATTTTTTTTTTTTTGTATTTTTAGTAGAGACGGGGTTTCACCATGTTGGCCAGGCTAGTCTTGACCTCCTGACCTCAAGGGATCCACCTGCCTTGGCCTCCCAAAGTGTTGGGATTACAGGCGTGAGCACCAGACCCAGCCTCTATGCATTCTCTCTCCCTTTTGTCCTCTTAAATAAAGACCCATCCAACTGTTCTGCCCCAGAAAGGTGGACGAGGGTGGCAGCAGGGTATCCATGCAACAGATGGCACTTTCTGAACTCTGTTGCACCCCTGTTCCAAGGCACCTGCAAAGAAGAGCAACACCAGAAGGGCAAAGCCCCCGGATGCTGGAGCGTGAGGCCTGAGCCCCAGGATCCCTAGGGGAGCCAGAGGTTGGCTAGAGATGAGGGGCTGGGTGTCAGGAAGTGCTTGGGTGTGGGAAGGCCGCTGACGCCCTATCACCCCATTTGCAACTCCAGATGGTACACCGATAGCCCCTAGGCAGGAAGCAGGGCCAGCCTGGTTATACAAGACTGATTACTGATAGGAGGAGGAAAAAACCAGACACGCACACAGACTTACAGCCTTAAAGGACCGCACAAACCAATGGGCAGCAGGCACTACTCTAACCCCACTCTGCCCCACTCCCGGCAGCGTATACAGGTACCCATAGGACAGTCCCCTGTTAAGACTGATGATCAGGAAGCCTCACCCTTTCCTAGAATGGAGCGTGCAGCCTGGAACCACCAGCCACAGCATGAAACACCGTGGCAAGTTCTCTGCAGCAGTGTCTGTCCGTTCTTGCAGCAGTTACTGGAAAGGTGGGAATGGGGAAGGCAGTCAGCCTGCTCTTGGGATATGTGAGGGCAGGGTTGGAGTCACCACCAGGACCTGGGGAAGCACAGGCACAACGGCCACAGCTGAGAGCTGACCCAGGCCCCAGAATGGACAACTGCTGCCCCAGCAGTGGAGAAACACCCACATCTATGTAGAATCAGGCCAGGCCAGCCACAGGCTAACCCAGGAGCAGACGGCTTGAGAGCAGGGAGTGGGATGGCTCCAAGCTCAGCAGGCCTCGTTTCTAGACAGGGAAGGGGGATGGTAGGGCAGGATCCACATGTGACACCTGAGAGCTACAAAGTAGGACCGGAGAGTTGGGTACAGCGACAAGGGGGTATGGCCATCTGAGGGGAAGTTCTCTGCTTTTCCTCTGCACTGAAAACTTACATCTGTACCTGGTAAGCTGAGCAGGGCAGGGTCACCACCCTCCTACAGATGAAGAAACTGAGGCTCAGAGACCTGGGACCTGCCCAATACCTGGCTCCTGACACCTCTCTTCTTGGCCCATTCCCACCAGCTTCCACATAAGCCTGTGAACTTCCCGAGGGCAGTGCCTGCGAGGCACCACTCAGCACATGCCCCAGCAGAAGGCACCACAGTGCTTTATAAATGGGGTGGAGCTGCAGGCAGAGCTGCCTTCCCCCATCCTTGACCACAGGGCCAGGCAGTCAGGGCAGATGCATACACCCTTACTCACAGGCTCCCTGCTCCTGAATGTCACCAGGGAAGCCTCACCACAGCTCAGACAACACCTGGTAACAGGCCGGTTGTGAGAGCAGGAGGGGAAACCAGTGTCTGCCACCTGGGACAGAGCTGCCCCTGACACCCCCAGTCCCGCTGGGGAGCCTGGCTGACATCACTGCCCAGCACAGCCTATCCCGCCTTGGATCTGTGGACATAGCCTTCAGCCCATGATCACTTTGGTCTGTTCTCAGAGCCCCACCCATTCCATGGCCTCAGTGTCAAAGTCTGGCCCAGATGCCTACTAGGCCTCATAGCCTGCCTGCCCTGCTTCCCTGGGCCACTGTGAAGCTGTGGGCTGCCCTGCCCTCACCTTTCCTGAACACTCACCTAATACAGAGCAGGCCACCATCATGGAGGCAGTCCAGGCAGCCCTGAGCATCTCTGTGCCTCCAAGCACACTCTCCAAGTTGCCCTCACACCAGTTACTGCATCCACTTACTGTTACACAGAGACTATTATGCATATATATATGTGTGTATATATATATATATTTTTTTTTTTTAGACGGAGTCTCGCTCTGTCGCTCAGGCTGGAACACAGTGGCGTGATCTCGGCTCACTGCAACCTCTGCCTCCCGAGTTCAAGTGATCCTCCTGCTTCAGCCTCCCAAGTAGCTGGGATTACAAGCATTTACAAGCATGAGTCACCACGCCTGGCTAATTTTTGTATTTTTAGTAGACACAGGGTTTCACCATGTTTGTCAGGCTGGTCTCGTACTCCTGGCCTCAAGTGATTCACCTGCTTTGGCCTCCCAAAGTGCTGGGATGTCAGGCATGAGCCAACATGCCTGGCCATATTTTGTCTTTTTTAATGGGGGCGGGGAAGGGTCTGGTTCTTCTGGACCATTCAGGAGGCTGGCAGCCTCAGAAGTTACTATTGAAGTGGACACCTGTCCAGCAAGGTCTTCTGTCTGCTGGGGGAAGAGGAAGAAATGCAGACCTTGGTACCCCAGAAGCAGCTGGAGCCTGGGGACATGGAGCCTGTGCCAGAAAATGGTGCTGGAAATGGGAGCAGGGGCCAGCTCCCTCTCTGGACCACATGAGGACTTCCTTCAGCACAGTGGGAATCCCCAATGCTGTTGGGCACAGAGTATGTAAGGTGCTGACAGGGGTAGGGATGGGCAGGAGGCAGGAGGGATGGGGTCTGAAAGGCCAGCTGGAGGCAAGTACAGAGACAACAGACACCTCATAGAGAAGGTGCAGGGAAGGCAGGGTGGGAGAGAGATGGCACCAAGAAGCATTTCCCACACACTTTCAGAGAAGAGGATGAGGGGCAGTGCTGCATCCGTGAGGTAAATGCCTGTGGGAACGCTGGGCCACAGCTCAGGAAGAAGTCAGGGCTGGACTTGGCACTGCAGAGGTGTTGGGTGGACAAGGGCACATACCCAGGGCAGAGGGGAGTAGGCAAGGGTGGGTGGGAGAAGTACAGAGAGGCGTGGAGGAGACCCCTGCTGCTCTGCTTCCCACTGTCCCCTCTGCCATCTTCCCTCCCCATCACAGGCCTGGTCCTTCATGAGGCCTTTCCCCAGTCCCCTAGTAGGCCTCCTTAGCTGGACGGAACCCCTGAGCCTGAGCACAGGCAACTCTCCTTCTGCACAGCCCTGAACTGACAGGGCCCAAGGGTTGAGCAGTGGCCATGGGCCAGGGCTGGAGTGAGGATATTGGCACAGTCCCCTGGGAGTCTGGAGGTGAGACGGGAAAATGATGTCCGTGCTCTTCCTGCTGTCTTGGTGAAGAGGTACCCACGTCGCCTGCTCTGCCCAAAACACCCCTCCCACAGCCTTGCTGCCCCACTGCAGTTGAAGGTCATCACTGTGCGTTGTCCCTACATGAGGCTCCTGGAGGCAAGACCCTGTTTGATCATGTTGCATCCCCTGCACCCAACTCAACCGTTTGATAAATGTTTTCCAACCCCCGCCCCACCTGCAGAGGCTGCCCTTGCTTCTGGACGGTGTTCATGTTGTGGGTACCCAGGAGCGGGGCTCTGGGATGCTACTTGAAGACACGCTGAGAGGATACCCACTCTTGATACTGTCTCAAACTCTGTCTCAAAAAAAAATTAATAATAATTAAAACGCCTGCCCTGCCTGTCAGCTGTAGCGTGACAGCTCTGGGAAGAGGGTGAGCCCAGAACAGCATAAATCACAGGAAGAGAAAATGGGGGCAGGGAGGGGAGAGGAGGATCCAAGCAGGGCCCACATCCTCCAGCTCATCACAAGAACAGGCTATCCAGACCCCAGGAAACTGAGAGGGTGATGTTCTTTCCAAAACAAACCCTCTCCTCCCCTTCCTCTGCTTGGCTGGGTTGACCCTCCCTCTGGAATCCCACCCTCACCTGCTGCCCCACACACAGCTCCAGTGGGGCATACCCATCCTCCTGGCTCCTCTTCTGCCCTAAAACACCCAAATGCCTCGGGGTTGGTAGAAGCTTTCCCAGCCCTGGGCCTAGACCTCAGCTCCACCCCATGGCCATCACAACTGAGGCCCAAGTATGCCCATTCTCACCCCACAAAGGCACCCCCACAAAGGTCAGTTCAATCACTGAGGAAGCAGAGTTCCTTCCATAATTAGAAATTCTGCCTGACAAACTCAGTGCCACACTGGCCACAGCAGAACCCATGACCCCTACAGGACTGGAAATTAGTTTGTAATCCTTGAGGTCAGGGCTGCAAATTTTGCCATCTCTAAGAGATACACAAGGCCAGGACACCAGAGGAGGTAAAGCTAGGGTGGCGCTCTCAAATGCCACAGTGGCTCCCTGGGCCCCGAGTTGGAGGGCCACATGTCCCTCTCTGCCTTCTGAATTTCATGCTGACTTGAGAGGTTGGGAAGCCCAAAGCACAGACTCACCTTCCCAGATGCATCTGCCCAGTCCCATCACAAGTCTGAGGCATCCCCAACCTGGAGGTGATTTGTCACCCAACTATCTCTGGGTGCACAGCAAAGACCCTCAGCCTGATTCAGGAGATAACTGCAGCAGTTGGTGACGTGAGCTTTGCACGACAGGTTCACACAGGCCGCCCACATCTGAAACCACAAGCGCATTACAGAGCTGCTCTCCCGAGCAGAGCTGAGAAGTGTCTGTCACCACTAATCTTCTAAGTCAGGGAACTGTGAGACATGACAACCTTACAGTCCCCATGACATTGAGAACTGCCAGACATGGACTTCAGTGATTTGTCTACTGACTGGCAAGTGAGTGTCCACTGTGTTCTTCCCAAGAAACACCACTGAGATTCATTAAACTGACCCCAGGAGGCAAGAACCTGTGCAGGTGCAGAGCAGTGCCCTTGTCCCCTTCTACACTTTGCCAAAACCAGAGGTGCAGGTTCTCCTTCCACCAGCTAAAGCAACCTGTGAGCATCAGGGGTGGGGAGAGTATTAAATATAAAATTAATGCAGACTCAGTTGAAGAAAAACAATACAGAAGAAAAATTCTTTAACAGGGTCCCCTTTCACCTCCCCCAAGAAGTAGCCACTGTGAGTAGTTAGGCACAAGTCCATGCAGACACTTTTGCTTTTTGGGGATTTTGTTTGTTTGTTTGTTTTCTTTTCTTTTTTGAGATGGAGTCTTGCTCTGTCGCCAGGCTGGAGTGCAGTGGCGTGATCTCGGCTCACTGCAGCCTCCACCTCCTGGTTTCAAGCGATTCCCCTGCCTCAGCCTCCTGAGTAGCTGGGACTACAGGCGTGTGCCATCACACCCGGCTAATTTTTGTATTTTAGTAGAGATGGGGTTTCACCATGTTGGCCAGGATGGTCTCGATCTCCTGACCTTGTGATCCTCCTGCCTAGGCCTCCCAAAGTGCTGGGATTACAGGCGAGAGCCACCTCGCACCCGGTCTTTTTTTTTTTTTTTTTTGACCGAGTCTTACTCTGTCACCCAGGCTGGAGTGCAGTGGTGCGATCTAGGCTCACTGCAACCTCGGCCTCCCGGGTTCAGATGATTCTCCTGCCTCAGCTCCTGAGTAGCTGGGATTACAGCCACCTGCCACCAAGCCCAGCTAATTTCTTTGTATTTTTAGTAGAGATGGGGTTTCACCGTGTTGACTGGGCTGGTCTTGAACTCCTAACCTCAAGTGATCCGCCCACCTAAGCCTCCCTAAGTGCTGGGATTACAGGTGTGAGCCACCACGCCCAGCCAGACACTTCTTAAGCTGAAACAAATACCTATTTCTTAAAGACTCCTGCTGTGCTGCCACTTTGCAGCCTTCTTGTTCCCCTATGGTGTTGCACCATCTTTCTAGGTCAGCATATAAAACCTACCTCATACCTTTAATGGTAGTATGCACCATGGTTTAATAATCCCTGCAATGTCTAGGCCCAGTGCCTCACACCTGTAATCCAAGAACTTTGGGAAGCAGAGACCGGAGGATCTCTTGAGGATCACAGGAGGTCAAGATTAGTCTGGGCAACAGAGTGACACCCTGCCTCTAAAAGAAAAACAATAATAATCATAATTTCTGCAATGAACATTTGGATTGTTGCCTGTATATGCTATTTTATTTATTTTTATTTTCATTTCTTTAGACACAGAGTCTTGCTCTGTCGCCCAGGCTGGGCTGGAGTGCAGTGACATGATCATAGCTCGCTGCAGCCTCAGACTCCTGGGTTCAAGCATATATGCTATTTTAAGTGAATTTCGTGAATAATTCTGGGCATGGATCTTCAAACAACAGAGTGAGTCCTACTGTAGGATAAATTGCTAGGGGTAGAATTGTGGGGTCTTAGGGTTAGCATTTTAAAATATTGATAGATGCTGAGATATGGCCCTACATAAAAAGTGTTGCACAGACTTTTGCTCTCACCAACAATGTAAGAATGCCTGTAACCTTCACCAACAGTAAACATTATCAGTCTTTTTCATCTTTGCCAATCTGATAGGCTAAGATATTTCAATGTGGTTCTAATTTGTACTTCCTTGAGTATTAGTCAAGATAAGCATCTTTTCATGTATTTATTACTTGTGTGTTCTTTGGGGTTGAATTTTAATCAGCTTGGCTCCAGTCTTACCTGCTACAAGCATATACTGTTCTACTCACTGGAGCCATCCCTGCACTAGTGTCCTTACCAAGACAGCTTCTTTCTGTCAGTGTGCCTTCTATCTTGCTGAAGCCAGAATTTACTAACTCAAGACCAGCAGACCACACTACCCATATCATAACCTCAGAAGCAGAGACCACAAGGGCTGGATAGGGAGAAAGGAAATTCTCAAAAGAAAAACCAGAGAAGAGAGCCCCAAATTCTACATCTAAATTCTACCCAAATCTCTGGATGACCCTTGAACTATACATCTGCCAGCTAACTCCAAGGAGCCCAGCTAAGGTTAAATAACCTGAACAGAAGTTTCAGCTGTTCACCTCAGGACACAGAGTTTTCTGCCTGCTAAAATAACAAACAAACAAAAACAAAATTAAAAAAAATTTTTAAACACCCTCCAGAGAAATATAACAGAACACACAGTCTCAACAATGTATACCATTCACAATTTCTAAGATAAAAACAAATTTATCAAACACATGAAGAAAGAGTACTATGTCACCCATGCTTAAGAGAAAAGATAATCAATGAAGATTGACTTCCAGGAATAAGTTGTTGGAAATAGCAAAGGTTTTAAAGCAGATACTCTTACTATGCTCAAATATATAAAGGAAAATATGCTCCCAATGAATACATAGGAAATCTCAGAGGAGAAATAGAAACTATACAAAAGAACCAAGGCCAGGTGTGGTTCTATACAAAAGAATCAAGGCCGAGGCAGATGGATCCCTTGAGGTCAGGAGTTTGAGACCAGCCTGACCAACATGGTGAAACCCTGTCTCTACTAAAAATACACAGATTAGCTGGGCATGGTGGTGCACATTTGTAATCCCAGCTACCTGGGAGGCTGAGGCAGGAGAATCACTTGAACCCGGGAGGCAGAGGTTGCAGCGAGCCAAGATCATGCCACTGCACTCCAACCTGCTGACACAGAAAGACTCTGTCTCAAAAAAAAAAAAAAAAAAAAGAAAGAAAGAAAGAAAAAAGAAAGAAAAGAAAATATATAAGCAAAAAGTGCATCTTAAATAAAAGGAATAGGCCAGGCATGATGGCTCATGCCTGTAATAACACCACTTTGGGAGGCTGAGGTGGGTGGATTGTTTGAGCCCAGGAGTTCAAGACCACCCTGGGCAACATGGTGAAATCCCGTTTCTACAAAAAAAAAAATACAAAAATTAGCTGGGCATCGTGGTATGCACCTGTAGTCCCAGTAGGAGGCTGAGGTAGGAGGATTACCTGAGCCCGGGGAGATTGAGGCCGCAGTAAGCCATGATCAGGCTACTGCACTCCAACCTGGGCAACAGAGTGAGACCCTGTCTCAAATATGGAATAAATTATAACAATGCATACAAGAAGAAGGAACATTAACCTCTCTGAGCCTCAGTTTCCTTATCTGCAAGATGGATACAGAGAGGACTTGTTATATGTTAAACTACATAAATTGTCACAGCCCTATGAGGTAGAACAGAGGTCAGCAAATGACACGGGCCAAATCCAGCCTAATTTTTAAAACCTGTGAGCTAAGAATGGTTTATACATTTGTATGGATCCAGCATGCTTACACTGGTTTATACTTTTTTTTTTTTTGAGACAGGCTGGAATGCAGTGATGCAATCATAGCTCACTGCAGCCTCAAACACCTGGGCTCAAGCGATCCTCCTGCCTCAGCCTCCTGAATAGCTGGGACTACAGGTGTCCACCACCACACCTGGCTAATTTTTTGCTTTTATTTTAGAGAATGGGTCTTACTGTGTTGCCCAGGCTGGTCTTGAACTCCTAGCCTCAAGTGATCCTCCTGCCTTGGCCTCCCAAAGTGCTGGAATTACAGGCATGAGCCACCATGCTTGGCCATCTTAACCATTTTTAAGTGTACAGTTCAGTGATATTAACATATTAAGTACTATTATATTGTTGTGCAACCATCACCACCACCCATCTCCACAATCCTTTTCATCTTGCAAAACTGGAACTTTGTACCCTTAACCAACAACTCTCCATTCCCTCCTCCCCTCAACTTGACAACCACCTGTTAACCACCATTCTACTTTCTGTCTATGCTAGGTACCTCATATAAGTGGACTTATATAGTATTAATTTTTTTTCCAAAGTTTTTTTTTTTTTTTTTTTTTGAGACAGAGTCTCTCTCTGTCGCCCAAGCTGGAGTACAGTGGCACGATCATGGCTTACTGCAACCTCCACCTCCCAGGTCCAAGTGATTCTTGTGCCTCAGCCTCCCGAGTGGCTGGGATTACAGGCGTTCGCCACCACACCTGGCTAATTTTTGTGTTTTTAGTAGAAACAGGGTTTCATCATGTTGGCCAGGCTGGTCTTGAACTCCTGGACTCAAGAGACCTGCCCGCCTCAGTCCCCCAAAGTGCTGGGATTCCAGGTGTGAGCCACCGCACTCGGCCTATACAGTATTAATCTTTCTGTGATTGGATTATTTATATATGGCCACTCCTGATCTCTTCTGGTTACTATCTGCATGACATGTCTTTCCCTATCCTTTTACTTTCATCCTATTTGTGTCTTTAGATCTAAAGTGAGACTCTTGTAGACAGTGTATACTTGGATCATTTTTAAATGTTATTTCTGTATTTATTTTTTGAGACAGGTCTTGCTCTGTTGCTCAGGCTGGAATGCAGTGGTGCAATCACAGCTCACTGACATCCTGGGCTCAAGTGATCCTCCCACCTCAACCTTCTAAGTAGCTGGGACCATAAGTGGGCACCACCACACCTGGCTATTTTTTCTTTTTGTATGTTTTGTAGGGACAGGGTTTTGCCACATTGCCCAGGCTTGGATCATTTCTTTAAGTGGTACATTGACAAATTATAATTGTATATGTTTATGGAGTACAATGTTATATTAGAATTTAGGAATATAAGGTGAAGTGCTTAAATCAAAGTAGTTAACATATCCATCACCTCATATACTTTTTCTTTGTTGTGAGAACATTTACTCTTAGCAATTTTGAAATGTGCAATAAATTACATTTATGGCTGGGCAGGAAGCTCACGCCTGTAATCCCAACACTTTGGGAGACCAAGGTGGGAGGACTACTTGAGGTGAGAAGTTCAAGGCCAGCCTGGTCAACACAGCAAAACCCCATCTCTTACAAAGTTAAAAATTAAAAAACAGTCAGGTGCGGTGCCTATAGTCCTAGTTAGTCAAGAGGCTGAGGTGGGAGGATCACTTGAGCTCATGAGTTCAACGTTACAGTAAGCTGTAATTGTGTCATTGTACTCCATCCTAAGCAAAATAATGAGACCTTGTTGCAAAAAAGGCAAAAAAAAAAAAGCAACCAAAACCCTACATTCACCATGCGACCATGCTGTGCAATAAATTTCAAGTAAAACACTTTATTCCTCCCATCTGAAACTATACTCTTTGACCAATATCTTCCCCATTCCACCACCCACCTGGATCATGTTTTTTTAATCCATTCTGCCAATCTCTATCTTTCGATTGGAGAGTTTATCCACTTACATTCAAAATAATTACTGATAAGGAGAGACTCACTTATGTGATTTTGCCATGTGTTTTCTATATGCCCTATGGCTTTTTTTTGTGGTCCCTTATATCCTGCATTACTGTCTTCTTTTGTGTTTAGTTGATTTTTTTTTACAGTGAAACATCTAAATTCTCTTCTCATTTCATTTTGTGGATATTCTATAGCTAAGCTATTTTCTTTGTGGCTACCATGGGATTACATTTAACCTCCTAATATTAAGACACTCCAATTTGAATTTCTATCACTTAACTTCAATAACATACAAAAACCAGGCCAGGAACAGTGGCTCATGCCTGTGAGAACTTTGGGAGCCTGAGGCAAGATGATCACTTGAGCCCAGGAGTTTTTCGACCAGCCTGGGCAATATGGTGAAACCCCGTCTCTACTAAAAAATACAAATATTATCCAGGTGTGGTGGCATTCACCTCTAATCCCAGCTACTCAGGAGGCTGAGGCATGAGAATCTTTTAAACCAGGGAGGTAGAGTTTGCAGTGAGCCAAGATTGCGCCATGGCACTCCAGTCTGGGTGACGGAGTGAGACTCCATCACAAAAAAAAAAAAAAAAAAACAATCAGCCAGGCATGATGATGCACGCCCGTAGTCCCAGCTATTCGGGAGGCTGAGGTGGGAGTATCAGCTAAGCCCGAGAGGTTCAGGTTGCGATGAGCCGTTATTGCATCACTGTACTCCAGCCTGGGTGACGGAGTGAGACCCTGTCTCCGAAAAAAAAAAAAAAAAAAACAACTATGCCCCTGTACAGTTCCATCCCCACTCCTTTTCAGTTACTGATGTTACAAAATTACATATTTATACATTGTATGTCCAGAAATATAAACTAATAATTTTAAATTCATTAATCTCTTACATTATGTAGAAGACAAAATGTGAAGTTACAAATCACTTACAGTAATACTAGCTTTTACACTAATACTCATTATCATGTATTAGGCTCTTAAATCAAGTAAAATAACAAAAAATAGAATTACAACCCAAAGTTAATAGTAGCTTTTATAACTGCTCTTGTATTTACCTTTACTAAGATCTTTATTTCTGGCCAGGTGAGGTGGTTCACGCCTGTAATCCCAGCACTTCGGGAGGCCGAGGTGGGAGGATCACCTGAGGTCAGGAGTTCAAGACCAGCCTGGCCAACATGGCGAAACACCGTCTCCACTAAAAATCAAAAAATTAGCTGGGTGCAGTGGCGCTACTAGAGAGGCTGAGACAGGAGAATTGCTTGAACCCGGGAGGTGGAAGTTGTGGTAAGCCGAAATCGCACCATTGCACTCCAGTCTGGGCAACAGAGCAAGACTCTGTCTCAAAAAAAAATTTATTTCCTCTTATGGCTTCAAATTACTGCCTAGTGTCCCTTCATTTCAACCTGAAGGACTCCTTTTGGCATTTTTTGCAGGGCAGACCTAGTCGTAATGAAATCTCTCAGCTTTTGTTTCTGTGGGCATGTCTTAATTTCTCCCTCACCTTTTAAGTACAGGAGTCTTGGTTGACAGCTATTTTCTTCCACTGCTTTAAATATATGAGCCCACTACCTTCTGTTCCCCAAAATTTATGATTAGAAATCTGCTGATAGCCAGGTGCAGTGGCTCACACCTGTAATCCCAGAAATTTGGGAGGCCAAGGCAGGTGGATCATGTGAGGTCAGGAGTTCGAGACCAGCATGGCCAACAAGGTGAAACCCGTCTCTACTAAAAATACAAAAAAAAAAAATTAGCCTGGCGTGGTGGTGTGCACCTATAATCTCAGCTACTCAGGAGGCTGGGGCAGGAGAATTGCTTAAACCCAGGAGGTTGAGGTTGCAGTGAGCCCAGATCGCACCACTGCACGCCAGCCTGGGTGACAGAGCTAGACTCAATATCAAAACAAACAAACAAAACCTAAAACTCCATCTCTACAAAATAAAAAAATGAAAAAATAATAATTAGCCATTTGTGGTGGCAAGTCCACTTTCACTGAACACTCTGTAACCCATGCCTTGGAAACAATAATCTCAACTCTTCACATTCCACTGGTTGTGGACACAATTTTGGATTCAACATCAGAGGCACCATATCCCAAGTTACGGGTGAGTTCTCCTTCCCATTAGGTTTGAGTTGACCACTCAAACAAGGGCACACCTGGCCTGGTCATCCAGGCAAGGGCAAGTCATTCCTACTCGCCCTTGGGTTGCAGTCTTAAAAAGTGACCCCATTTTAACCCACAAACTCCCAAAAAGAAGTGTATACTTTTTTTTTGCATTCAGAGGTCCCACATGTTGAGGTCTTTTTGGCTTTATCCCCAAATCCCCAAATAAAAATTATCATACATGCTTCCAAGGAACTTCCTCTCCCCCTGATTCTGATGTCTTAGACGATCCTTCCTTTTGCATACCACACTCTCCTCAGCCTGCTCCTGCTTCACCTACAACCTCTCCATCTGCTCCATCCCCTAATCAACCCTTCCCATAACCAGATACTTTATCCCCCTCACATACTCACTCGGGAGTCACATATGCAACTCTAAGATTCCTCCAAAAATCCCAAAAATGTTTTGCCTGTCCACAAGATGGCAAATAGAGATTTGGGAACAATTTGAGTTCATGTCCCTTTTCCAATGTCTGATCTTTCACAAATTCAACCCACATTGGATTCATTTTGCCAGGATCCCTCTAAGTTCACTCAAGAACTCCTTTGATTTAACCTGACAAGACATATTCGTGCCATTCCCACAAAGAAAAATCACACATATGGTCTTTAGCTCAAGCGTAGACAAATAAAGTTCATGCTCATAATCCTAATGATAAAAGGGTTGAGGCAGAAGCTGTCCTCAACAGAGAACCCAATTGGCAATAACAAACGTTATCTCATCTGCCGATGAGATTATATAATAACGTGCTTGATGGAAGGAATGAAAAAGGCTGTGATAAAACCTGTTAATTTTTCTAAGTTACAAGAAATCACTCAGGAACCATCTGAGAACTCCACCCTTTTCCAAGCTGGACTGGTGGAGGCAATGCATAAATATACAAATTCACACCCTGAAAGCCCTAAGGGCCAATCCATTCTGGCTGTACAGCTTATACGTCAGGCTTCCCCAGACATCAGACAAAAACTCCAAAAATTAGAGCAAGGCACTCACATTCCCTTCCCTACTTTACTAAATACAGCCTTTAAGGTTTTCAATGACTGGGAGGCAACCTCAAAAATAAAAAAAGGCTCAATTGGAGGAGGAAAAATGCCATTGCCAAGCGAATTACATGGCAATGGCATTGATACATTATTTTTCGTTAGCTAATAAACCCAAGACTCATCCCTATAATACTAACAGAATGGGGGCCTATCATCGCTGCAGGAATCCAGGACACTAGAGTAGAGAATATCCCAAACCTCCAAATTACAAGCTACCCCCAGGACCCTGTCCTCATTGCAAACAAGAGGATCATTAGAAGAGTAAGTGTCCCTCTCTCTCTCAGGAGAGGGCCACCTCTTCCTTCTAGGCTGTTACAGCCACAACCTCACCAACCTATCTGACAGGGGTGTCATGCAGGACAAGGATGAGGGCAAGGGCAAGGACAAGCACCTCTAACTCTATTCCTGGATTATGATCAAGCCTCTGAAAGTCATCCTCTAGATGATTGATGGGACATTGAGGCCTTCCAGGCTCCTATCTTTTCCATCTGTATGGATGAGCCTCAGGCAAATCTGATTGAGACTGAACCAGAGGTAACGTTCATTATAGATATGGGGGCCAGTTATTCAGCTTTAAATGTTTATTAAGGCCCAATGTGCTAGTCCTTCATTTTCCTCACGGGTATTGCATTAGTCCATTTTCACACTGCTATAAAGAACTACCTGAGGCTGGGTAATTTATAAAGAAAAGAGGTTTAATTGATGCACAGTTCCACACGGCTGGGGAGGCCTCAGGAAACTTACAATCATGATGGAAGGTGAAGGGGAAACCAGGCACATCTTACATGGTGGCAGGAGAAAGAGCAAATCAGGAAGTGCCACACTTTTAAACTATTAGATCTCAGGAGAACTCACTATCACAAGAACAACATGGAGGAAATCTGCCCCCATGATCCAATCACCTCCCACCAGATCCCTCCCTGACACATGGGGATTACAATTTGACATGAGATTTGGGTGGGGACAGAGGCAAATAATATCATTCTTCCCTGGCCTCTTCCAAATTTCATGTCCTTCTCACATTTCAAATCTAATCATGCCTTCCCAATAGTCCCCTAAAGTCTTAATTCATTTCAGCATTAACTCAAAAATCCACAGTACAAAGTCTCATCTGAGACAAAGTAAGTCCCTTTTACCTATGAGCCTCTAAAATAAAAAACAAGTTTGTTACTTCAAGATACAATGGGAGTACAGGCATTGGGTATATGTTCCCATTCCAAATGGGAGAAATTGGCCAAAACAACGGGGCTACAGGCCCCATGTAAGTCTGAAACCCAGCAGGGCAATGATTAAATCTTAAAGCTTCACAATGATCTCTTGTGACTCCATGTCTCACATCCAGGCCACACTGATGCAAGGGATGGGCTCCCAAGGCCTTGGGCAGCTCTGCCTCTGAGGTTCTGCAAGGTACAGCCCCCACAGCTGCTTTCATGGGCTGGTGTTGACTGCTTGCAGCTTTTCCAGGTGCATGGTGCAAGCCATCAGTAGATCTACCATTCTGAGGTCTGGATAATGGTGGCCCTCTTTTCACAGCTCCACCAGGCAGTGCACCACTGGGGACTCTGTGTGGGGATTCCAATCCCACATTTCCCCTCTGCACTGCTCTAGTAGAGGTTCTCACACTGCTCTAGTAGAGGTTCTCCATGAGGGCTCTGCCTGTTGGGAGAAGCTGAGGGTTGGGAGAGAAGCTGAGGCAGGGCTTGCATGTCTGACATAATGTAACAGAGTCTTGGAACATTTCCAGGGTCCAAGGTCTAAAACCCCTCGTGGCCTTTGGAACACCAAGCTCTGTGGTAAAGGGTAGAAGGCTACCCTGATGCACCATAATCTAAGCCCAGGGCATAAAACCCCTCGTGGCTTGGATAGAATCCAGGGCTCAGGGCACAAAACCCCCCAGGGGCCTCTGGAATGTGCCTAGACTTGCTGGCTCCTTGCTCCTTGCTCTCCCAGGATTGATTGTATCTTGAGTTAAAAGAACCTGCTCTCCATTATCTCAAGTAGCAGAGCATATGCTAAACCATCACAGCTGTAAATCTTGTGCTTAATGCAATGCGCCCTTTCAACCCCACATTCTCACCACCTGTTTCTTTGATCACCAATAAATAGTCTGGGCTTCCAGAGCTCGGGGCCTTCACAGCCTCCATACTTAGCGATGGCCCCCTGAACTCACTTTCTTTCTCAAACTGTCTTTTCTCATTCCTTTGACTCCACCAGACTTCATCGCTCCCATGACCTGGTGTTGGGTCCGATCACCCCAACATTCCTGGCTGCCCAACGTGAGGCAACAAAGATCCCGGTGAAGGAACACTAGAGCGTGTGAAAGCGGAGGATGCATTGTCAAAGGACACCCGAGGATAACTGAAAGAAGCTCGGTGGGAAAGCTTAGCACTCGGAAGAACCAGGTTAACAATGATGGGACAAAGTGAAAGCAAACATTCTGCTTACTTGAATTTCTTAAGGCACTTATTACGAAGAGGGTGAGGCATGGGGTAAGACCAGGGGAATCTGAGGCTTGTTTATTCAGAGGGCCCCATTTAGAGAAACAGAAGACAAAGTGAGGACTTAGAAGGAGCCTGGGCAAGTAAAGTCATCTTGAAGCTTCAGTTTCATGGTTAACCTTCCTCTGCTAGAGAAAAACAGATTTAATGAGCGCAGAGGCATGATATGGGCTGAATGTAAAGAAATTTGGACTCAAGGCCCCAAGGAATATTTGTTTGAGTTGTGGAACATGCTTGATTTTGGTATGTTAGCAATTTTATCAGCATCATTCATTGCAAGATTCAGGGCATTCTGGCATGCTTCCAAAGCCCAGAGCATCACTGATGCAAGTGATACTTTGAAGGACTTGACAAAAGTAACATTGGGAGATAATGTGAAATACTACAGTTTGGCCAGGAGGGAGTGGGACCCCTCGGATCCTCGTATGGTGTCTGAAGGTCTTTGTGCAGTTGCTGTGGTTTTGAGTTTCTCTGGGATAGCTTGTATTTTGCCAGCAAATGAAAGCTTTGGACCTCTGCAGACGTCGCTTGGAGGAGCAGTCAAAGACATCTTCAGGTTCATGCTCATATTCATTATGGTGTTTGTGGCCTTTATGATTGGAATGTTCAACCTCTACTCCTACTACATTGATGTAAAACAAAATGAAGCCTTCACAACAGTTGAAGAGAGTTTTAAGACACTGTTCTGGGCTACATTTGTGCTTTCTGCAGTGAAATCAGTGGTCATCAACTATAGCCACAAATTCATTGAAAACATTGGTTATGTTCTTTATGGAGTCTATGATGTTACAATGGTCATTGTTTTGCTAAATATGTTAATTGCAATGATCAACAGTTCACTCCAGGAAATTGAGGATGACGCTGATGTGGAGTGGAAATTTGCAAGGGCCAAACTCTGGTTTTCCTGCTTTGGGGAGGGGGAGAGCACTTCCTGTTCCTTTCAATCTGGTGCCGGGTCCAGAGTCCCTGTTTTATCTCTTGCTGAAGCTTAAAGGGTGGATTTCTGAGCTCTATCCAGGGTCATAAAAAAGGTTTCCAGGAAGAGATAGAGCTAAGTAAGTAGAGCTAAGTAAGTAGAGCTAAGTAAGTACAGCTAAGTAGGGAAAGACAGGAACTTGCAGGAACTAACAGGTACCATAGGGACAGACAGGGACAGATAGAGATAGATGAAGGCTAGCAATATAAGGTCAGTGCCCTAAAGAGGTACTGATCAGTGCCCTAAAGAGGTACAAAAGTAAAGACTAGTAATATAAGGTCAGTGCCCTAAAGAGGTACTGGTCTGTGCCCTAAAGAGGTACAAAAGCAAAGACTAGCAATATAAGGTCAGTGCCCTAAAGAGGTACTGGTCAGTGCCTTAAAGAGGTACAAAAGTAGAGAGTAGTGAAGACTAGCAGAGATTTGCAGGGACAGACAGGAACATTCTGAATTATGGAAATTAGCTATGGCTCAAAGTCCAATCAAAATCTGAGAGGGCAAATATAAAAGGAATAGAGAGGAGGAGGCAAGGAAGGATAAAAATGCTCTTTCTTTTCTCTCCGACAGGACCTTTTGGATTCAAGGTTGTGCTAGCAATAGGAAATGTTACTCTTGATATAAATACACGTTTTATTACATGCTCTGAATGTTGCTTGTTTACCTGCATTAATTCAACCTTTGATAAAAATCAAATTATCTTGATAATTAAAGCCAGGGAAGGAGTTTGGTTCCCTGTGTCACTAAATAGACCATGGGAGACATCACCCTCTATTTATATTGTAACTGAGATCCTTAAAAACTCTTATCCCATTCCAAAAGATTTACAGTTGAAGGCCATTGGAGGCTCTACATTTGTGGATTTTGTTCTGGTGGTTGTGTGCTTGTGCTGTCTCCTTTTAGTCTGCAGATGTGGAAGCTGCCTCTGAAGAGGAAGCCACCTCTGAAGAGAAAGCTGCCACCAAGAACAAGCAATGAGAGCTGTGGCGGTTTTACAAAAAAGAAAAGGGGGGCATGTTGGGAGAAGCTGAGTGTTGGGAGAAACAGAGGCAGGGCTTGCAAGTCTGAAATGATGTAAAAGAGTCTTGGAACATGTCCAAGGTCCAGGGTCTAAAACCCCTCATGGCCTTTGGAACACCAAGCTCTGTGCTAAAAGGTGGAAGGCTACCCTGATGCACCATAATCTAAGCCCAGGGCATAAAACCCCTCATGGCTTGGATAGAATCCAGGGCTCAGAGCACAAAACCCCTCATGGCTTGGATAGAATCCAGGGCTCAGAGCATAAAACCCCTCATGGTCTCTGAAATGTGTCTAGACTTGCTGGCTCCTTGCTCCTTGCTCTCCCAGGATTGATTGTATCTTGAGTTAAAAGAACCTGCTCTCCATTATCTCAAGTAGCAGAGCATATTCTAAACCATTACAGCTGTAAATCTTGTGCTTAATGCAATGCGCCCTTTCAACCCCACATTCTCACCACCTGTTTCTTTGATCACCAATAAATAGTCTGGGCTTCCAGAGCTCAGGGCCTTCACAGCCTCCATACTCACATTGGCCCCCTGGACCCAGTTTCTCTCTCTAACTGTCTTTTCTCATTCCTTTGACTCCACCAGACTTCGTCACCCCCATGACCTGGTGTTGGGTCTGATCACCCCAACATCTGCCCCTGCAGCAGATTTATGCCTGGACGTCCAGGTGTTTCCATATATCCTCTGAAATCTAGGTGGAGGCTTCCAAGCCTTAACTCTTGCCTTCTGCATACCTGCATGCCCAATACCATGTGGAAGCCACCAAGACTTGGGGCTTTCACCTCTGAAGCAATGGCCTAAGCTGTACCTTGGTCCGTTTTAGCCACAGCTGAAGCTGGAGCAGCTGGGATGCAGGGTACCATGCCTCAAAGCTGCACAGACCAGCAGGGCCCTAGGCCCAACCCATGGAACCATTTTTTCTTCCTCGGCCTCTGGGCCTGTGATGGGATGGGCTGCCACAAATATCTCTGAAATGTCCTGAAGACTTTTTTCCCATTGTGTTGGCTATTGGCATTTGGCTCCTTGTTACTTATGCAAATTTCCACAGCCAGCTTGAATTTCTCCCCAGAAAATGGCTTTTTATTTATTTATTTATTTTTAGATGGAGTCGTGCTCTGTCACCCAGGCTGGAGTGCAGTGGCACAATCTCAGCTCACTGCAACCTCTGCCTCCCAGGTTCAAGCAGTTCTCCTGCCTTAGCTTCCCGAGTAGCTGGGATTACAGGCGTGTACCACATGCCCAGCTAATTTTTGTATTTTTAGTAGAAACAGGGTTTCACAATGTTGGTCAGGCTGGTCTTGAACTCCTGACCTCAAATGATCCACCTGCCTCGGCCTCCCAAAGTGCTGGGATTACAGGTGTGAGCCACCATGCCTGGCTGGCTTTTTCTTTTGTACCACATGCTCAGGCTGCAAATTTTCCAAACTTTTATGCTCTGCTTCCCTTTTAAACATAAGTTCCCATTTCAGACCATCTCTTTGTGAATGCATATGACTGTATGCCATTGGTAGCAGCCAGGCAACATCTTGAATGCTTTGCTGCTTAGAAATTTCTTCCACCAGATACCCTAAATCATGTCTCTCAAGTTGAAAGCTCCATGGATCCCTTAGAGCAGGGGCATAATGCTGCCAGTCTTCTTGCTAAAGCATAGCAAGAATGACCTTTGCTCCAGTTCTCAATAAGTTTGTCATCTCCATCTGAGACCACGTCAGCCTGAACTTCACTGTCCATATCACTATCAGCATTTTGGTCAAAACCATTCAACAAGTCTCTAAAGTTCCAAACATTCCCACATCTTACTGTACTCTTCTCAGCCCTCTAAACTGTTCCAACCTCTGCCTGTTACCCAGTCCCAAAGTCACTTCCACATTTTCTGGTATCTTTATAGCAGTGCCCCACTTTCCTGGTACCAAATTTCTGTATTAGTTCATTTTCATGCTGCTATAAGGAACTACCTGAGGCTGGGTAATTTATAAAGAAAAGAGGCTTAATTGGCTCACAGTTGTGCATGGCTGGGGAAATCTCAGGAAACTTACAATTATGGCAGAAGGCATCTTACATGGTGGCAGGAGAGAGACAGAGTGAACAGGGAAGTGCCACACTTTTAAGCCATCAGATCTCATGAGAACTTATTATCATGAGAAAAACATGGGGGAAATCCACCCCCATGATCCAATCACCTCACTAGGTCCCTCCCCTGACATGTGGGGATTACAATTGGACATGAGATTTGGGTGGGGACACAGAGACTAAACTATATCAGGTATTGATGGAAAACCCCAACGAGGCTGTTTCACACCACCAGTCTCTTGTAAAAGGGAAGGTTATGTCTTTAGCCACTCCTTTTTAGTCATGCCAAGCTCTCCTGTTCCATTATTAGGTCATGACTTACTCACAAAATTACAAGACAATTTATAGCTAAGGCCCCACTTTCTAACTGTATGAACTCACACTTCACTAAAAGAGCTGCTACAGTCTATAGAACCTCACATTCTAAAACAAGTGCCGTTTGAGGTCTGGAATACTTCTATTTCTGGCCATTCAATATCAGCTGCTCCCATCATCATTCAGCTTAAAAATCCCAGTAAGTTCCCAAGAACCGCCAATACCCCTTGAAACCAGAAGCCCAAAAAGTGTTAAAGCCCCTAATAACAAAATGTTTAACCCATGGATTATTGTGCCCTTGCAACTTGCATTGCAGCACTCCCATTTTTGCTGCAAAAAAACCAGATGGCTCCTACCAGCTAGTACAGGACCTTAGAATTATTAATGAAGCTGTTATTCCTATTCATCCTATTGTCACAAACCCTTAGTCTCTTTTGGACAAATTTCCTCCACTGCAGCTTGGTTTACTGTACTTGATCTTAAGGATGCCTTTTTCTGCATTCCGTACACAAGATAGCCAATTTTTGTTTGCTTTTGAATAGCAAGACCTAGATACTCAAATAACTTAATAGTTAACTTGCACTATTCTGTCCTAGGAATTCAGAGATAGCCTCCACTGTTTTGGACAGGACTTAGCTAAAGACCTGTCCACCCTGCAGCTTCTCCCAGATAGCAATCTACTCCAGTATGTGGGTGACCTGCTAATCTGTAGTCCTAACAAGGCTGTTTTAGAGCAAAATACAGTACGAGTACTGAATAAAATTGCTGATTGTGGATATGAAGTATCTCCTTCTAAGGAACAAATATGCACATAAAGGGTTCAATTTGGGGGTATTTTAACCCCTGGTACAGAGAGCCTCTCTAGCACTTGTAAAGATCTTATTTTACACATGACAACTCCAGTAAATAAATAACAGCTTGAGTCCTTTTTGGGTAGGGCCAAGTTTTGCAGAATATGGATTCTTTCTTTCAGATTAATTGTAAAACCTTTATATGAAGCCCTTAGGGGTTCTTATAACCCTAACCCTAACCCTAACTCTAATACCTAACCAAATCCCAACCCTAAACCCTGTAAACCCAGAAAATCTGAGACAGGTCTCAGTTAATTTAGAAATTTTATTTTGCCAAGGTAGAGGATGCAGGCCCCTGACACAGCCTCAGAAAGTCCTGATGACATGTGCTGAAGGTGGTCAGGGCACAGCTTGGTTTTATACATTTTAGGGAGACAAGAGACATCATTCAATATATGTAGGAAGTACAGTGGTTCCGTCTGGAAAGGCAGGGACAACTTGAAGCAGGGAGGGGCTTCTAGGTCACAGGTAGGTGAGAGAAAAATGGTTGCATTCTGTTGAGTTTCTGATAAGCCTTTCCAAAGGAGACAATCAGAATATTCATCTACCTCAGTTAGCAGAGGGATGACTTTGAAAAGAATGGGAGGCAGGTTTGTCCTGAGCAGTTCCGAGCTTGACTTATCCCTTAGCTTAGTAATTTTGGGGCCCAAGATATTTTCCTTTCACAACCCTGACCCCTAACTTTAACCCTAACCCTAACCCTAACCATAATCTCTAATTCTAACCCTCACCCTAAGCCTAATCTTTGCTCTGACATTCTAACTCCTTAACCCTAATCCCCAACGTCTATCCTACACTTAACCTTAGCCCATAATCCTTCAAAAATTCTGGGTTTTTTTTTTTTTTTTGGTATAACCTCTAACCCTCTAACTGCTAACCACTAATACCCTAAATAGTACACCAAGCCATACCTTTTTCTAACCCCAATCGAGTACTGACTCAAACATATGATATCACCAGGACAAAAAAACTAAATGTTAATAAAACTCATAATGATAGACTTAATAATGTTTAACCAAATCATAGTAAGTGGAATTTGGTACATAGCGAAAACATTATACACCACAATGAAGAGGTCTTTTTTTTTTTTTTTTTTTTTTTTTCAGAAAATCAAAGGTTTTTCAACATACTAAAGCCATTCCTTTTCCGTATACTATATAATTAAAATGATGGGAAAAACACGTTTATCTCAACTGTTACAGAAAGTACTTAAAGATAATCAACGTATTTAATGATAAAAACCACCAATAAGCTGAAGATTCGAATTTTCTTCACATGATAAAACACCTTTATGCAAAACCCATAACAATCACCACCTGAATTGTTGGCACCCAAAGCTTTAAGATCAGGAACACAGCACTGATGCTCACTTTCATCATTGTGTTCAACACTGTACTAGAAGTTCCATCCAGAACAATTAGAAAAAAAAAAAAAAAATATATATATATACAAAGTCATTCATATGTGAAAGAAAAAAGTAAAACTACCTACTCACAGATCCCATGATCTCATACACAGAAAATCATAAGGAACCAACAAGAAATTGTTAAAACTAGTAAAGAAATTAAGCAAAGTTACAGGACAAAATATTAATACACAAAAATATATTTCTGTATACTAGCAATAAACGATATGAAAATGAAATTAAGACAACAATTTCATTTCTGAAAACTAACAGGCTGGAATACCTCCAACTGCCCTGGAACACACAGGGCAGGCAGCTTGGGGTGGGGGACGGCCTTGGAATAGGGGCTGTGGTGCTACATGGGGACTTGGCTGCAGTGGCTGCAGGGCTGACAAGAAACAACTGAAGTTCCTAGAGAATCAAAGTAGAATTCCTTAAGAACATAATGGATGAAGAGGAGAAAACGTACATTGGCTGTGAAAGCCCTGATGCCAAGATGTCAAATGAATATCTTCTGAATCATAAATATGTTGTAAAAAGAGAACACGCCCAAACATCAGGAAGAAGGAAACCCATGTTGAGTGGCCCAGGTCATTTTGCTGAGAATGAAACCAATTAGGTCAATTTGAGAGAGATCTCTTCACAAGTGCTGCCAAAAGCAGGCACGTATTTTACCTAAAAGTTTCGCTATACCTACAGCTCCACAGAGATTCTTAAATTCCCATTTCACCTGAAATGACACTAGAACTGCTGAGGCTGTGAACTTCCTAGATTGTTAATAAAATAAATTGTAATAAACTGTTAGTTCTTTCAGTGTTTAAGACCTGTACTTGAGTTACTATTTTGTTTCATATATAGCATGTTCCTTGTATGCAATGGAGCTACAAAATTCATTGCAAAGAAGATTGTCTTCTGTTTTTTGCATGGCAGAGTTGAAATCTGTTTGCAACATCAACAAATTAAGGACATTTTCACAAACTGAGAGATAAACAAATATGTCAATTCATAGGTGGTTTTGCCTTATCCTTTGGATATGACTTTTAAAATCAGAGCAATGATGACATAATGCTGCTGAAAATTAGTCATAAATGAACGTGTTCTACAAGTAAATAATGGGGATAAGTGTTTTTATGTATTTAGTATTTTCTTTAGAAAACTATTTCGATCTTATAGCTGTCCATAGCATTACTAGAGTTATGCAAATAATTGCATTATAAACATATTCATAACTTAGCCAAAAAATTGATTTGTATAACATTCCAGAAATAAGTGTTGAGGCTGGGTGTGGTGGCTCATGCCTGTAATCCCAGCACTTTGGGAGGCCAAGGCAGGTGGATTTCTTGAGCCCAGGAGTTTGAGACCAGCCCGGACAACATAGCAAATCCTCGTTTCTACAAAAAATACAAAAAAATTAGCCGGGTATGGTGGCTGAGGCTAAGACAGGAGGATTGATTGAGCCCAGGAATTAGAGGCTGCAGTCAGCCGTGATGGCACCACTGCACTCAAGCCTGAGCAACAGAGTGAGACCCTGTCTTAAAAAAATTAAAAGAGGGGGGGGAAAGAAGAGTTGGAAATTTCTTATGTCCTTTGGATAAGCTTTCAGTTATTTTTTAAATGTGTCCTGTCATTTTTATTGCTACAATTTAAGAAGTTTATTTAAAAGCAATTCTGGAGGTTATTAGGTACAACTTGAAGAGGTAACTAACTGGTAGCCAGATGGTCAGCGAGTCACTATTACACTTTAGAGTTTTTATGCATTATGCCTCTTTTGGGCAATTCAAAGTACTATATTTTCATTGACTATAAAGCATCCTTTGGAATTTTCAAAACAGAAAGCAAAAAAAAAAGGTTGGGTGTGGTGGCTTATATCTTTAACCCCAGTACTTTGGGAGGCCAAGGTGGGAGGATTACTGGAGCCAAGGAGTTTGAAGCTGCAGTGAGCTATGATCACCCTACCACACCCTACCTGGGCAACAGAATAAGGCCCTGTCTCAAAAAAACAAAAAAAAATCAACAGTAATAATGTTTTAAGAATAAATTTAACAAATATTCAAGACTTAGACATGGAAAATTACAAAATATTGCTGAAATAAATTCAAGAAACCCTAAGTAAATGTAAAGACACTCCATGTTTATGGATTAGAAGACAAATATTAATAATTCATCTGCTTAAATATCTAAGCTTACTTTACTAATTGTCCATTGTATAGAGAAATATATTTGCAAATATTTCTGTAGGTTGTCAAGATATACACTAGCACTTTTGTCAGTTAACTGTACCTTTTGATTACATAAACATAAGTGTTTAAGCCTGAAATCCCTTGCAACTGCTAATTACTGGTGCATGCAGCCCCCAGTCACGTACTCCCTGCTTGCTCAATTGATCATGACCCTCTCACATGTACCCCGTTAGAGTTGTGAGCCCTTAAAAGGGACAGGAATTGCTCACTTGGGGAGCTCGGCTCTTGAGACAGAAGTCTTGCTGATGCTCCTGGCCGAATAAACTGTTTCCTTCTTTAACTCGATGTCTGAGGGGTTTTGTCTGCGGCTTGTCCTGCTACATTTCTTGGTTCCCTGACTGGGAAGTGAGGTGATTAATGGATGGTCAAGGCAGCCCCTTAGGTGGCTTAGGCCTGCCCTGTGGAGCATCCCTGCCGGGGACTCCAGCCAGCTTGAGCAACACAGATCCTGAGAGCGCTCCCGGGTAGGCAATTGCCCTGGTGGAATGCCTCGCCAGAGCAGCATGTGGCAGGCCCCCATGGAGGATCAATGCAGTGGCTGAACACTGGGAAGGAACTGGCACTTGGAGTCTAGACATCTGAAACTTGGTAACACTAGTCTTTGGAACTTGCCTACCCCATTTTAGTGGAAATGTGGCCTGATCACCCACAGCGTGCCCCCGCCAGCACTTTGGTTTTTTTGTTTTTGACTTGACTTGGATTGCTTGATACTTTGGTTTTGGTTTTGACCTGGCTTGGATTTCTTGATACTCTGATTTTGGTTTTGATTCTGGTTTGGTGTAAACTGTAAAAGTGTGTGTGTGCCCTTTTTACCTGTTCTTTGTTTTGTGGTGTGCGTGTAGTGTGAGCGTGGTGTTTTGTCTTGAGAAAACATGGATCAGGCACAAAGTAAGCCCACCCCACTAGGAACTATGTTGAAAAATTTCAAAAAGGGATTTAAAGGAGACTATGGAGTCAACATGACACCAGGAAAATTTAGAGGTGGGTTGGCCATCAGAAGGAAGCCTGGACAGGTCCCTTGTCTTGAAGGTATGGCAGAGGGTAACCTGTAAGTCAGGGCACTCAGATAAGTTCCCATATATAGATTCTTGCTTACAGCTAGTTTTGGACCCCCGACAGTGGTTAAGAGGACAGGCAGCAGCAGTACTAGTAGCAAACGGGCAGTTAGTTAAGGAAGGTTCACGCTCCACCTGCTGAGGGAAGTCAGCACCAGAAGTCCTGTCCGACCCAACACTAGAAGAATCATGGCAGGAATTGGTACCAGCAGTACCCCCTCCTTATCGAGAGGAAGGGCTCCCCACCCCTGAGCCCACAGCACCTACACCTCCACCAGATAACCACACCCCTAGACCACCCAGAGTAGACAAAAGAGGAAATGAAGCCGCGGGAGAAACTCCTCCCATGGCAGCTCGCTTACAGCCCAAGACTGGAATCCAAATGCCCCTGAGAGAGCAGCGATATACTGGGATAGATGAGGAGGGACACATGGTGGAAAGGCGTGCCTTTGTGTATCAACCTTTCACCCCTGCTGACCTCCTCAATTGGAAAAATAATACTCCATCTTATACCGAAAAGCCTCAAGCTTTAATTGACTTGCTCCAAACTATTATACAGACTCATAATCCTACTTGGGCTGATTGCCACCAGCTGCTCATGTACCTCTTTAATACAGATTAAAGGCGAAGGGTACTCCAGGCGGCAACTAAGTGGCTAGAGGAGCACATCCCAGCCGATTACCAAAACCCCCAAGAATATATAAGAATTCAGCTGCCAGGAACAGACCCCTAATGGGACCCGAATGAGGGACCAGACATGGAGAGGCTAAGACGGTACCATGAGGCATTAATAGAAGGTCTAAAGAAAGGGGCTCAAAAGGCTACAAATGTAAATAAGGTCTCTAAGGTCAACCGAGGAAAAGAGGAAAGTGCAGTGCAATTCTATGAAAGACTGTGTGAGGCTTACCATATGTACATTCGTTTTGATCCAGATAACCCTGAAAATCAGCGCATGATTAACATGGCCTTAGTCAAAGCACAGAAGATATCAGGAGAAAATTGCAGAAACAGGCTGGGTTTGTGGATATGAATACCTCACAGTTACTGGAAATAACCAATCAAGTGTTTGTGAATAGAGATGCAACAAGCCACAGAGAAAGCTGTAAGGAAGGCGAACGCCAGGCCAGGCAAAACGCCGACTTACTGGCCACGGCCATTAGGGGAATTCCCCTGAAAGGAGAGGGAAAGGGGGGTTCCAGGAAGAATACCCAGTCTAATGGCACACTCTTGCAACGTAACCAGTGCGCCTATTGTAAGGAAATAGGACATTGGAAAGATAATTGTTCCCAACTGAAGGAAAAGCAAGGTGATTCACAACAAAAGACCTCAGATAAAGATGAGGGAGCTTTGTTCAATCTGGCTGAAGGGCTACTGGATGGAAGGGGACCGGGCTCAAGCGCCCCCAAAGAGCCCATGGTCAGGATTACAACTGGGGGCAAGGACATTAAATTTTTGGTTGATACTGGTGCTGAACATTCAGTAGTGACCACCCCAGTCACCCCCTTATCCAAGAAAATCATTGATATAATCGGAGCAACAGGAGTTTCCACTAAGCACACTTTCTGTCTACCACAGACCTGCTCGGTGCGGGGACCTGAGATAGTTCACCAGTTCTTTTACATGCCTGACTGTCCCGTGCCCTTGCTGGGAAAAGGCTTGCTTAGCAAGCTGACAGCCAACATCTCCTTTACAAACAGGGCTCTTTACAGCTAAAGTTACCAGGAACAGGAGTTATCATGGCCCTTATGGTCCCCCAGGAAGAAGAATGGAGACTTTTTCTAACTGAGCCAGGCCAAGAGATAAAACCAGCTCTAGCTAAGCGATGGCCCCAAGTATGGGCAGAGGATAATCCTCCGGGACTGGTGGTCAACCAAGCCCCTGTACACATAGAAGTTAAGCCTGGGGCCCAACCAATTAGACAAAAGCAGTATCCAGTTCCCAGAGAAGCTCTCAAAGGAATCCAGGTTCATCTCAGGCGCTTGAAAGCGTTTGGAATTATAGTTCCTTGCCAGTCTCCATGGGAACACCCCCTCCTCCCTGGTCCCTAAGCCAAGGGACCAAGGACTATCGATCGTACAGGACTTGCGCTTGGTCAACCAAGCTACAGTGACTCTGCACCCAACAGTTCCTAACCCTTACACATTGTTAGGGCTGCTGCCGGCTGAGGACAGCTGGTTTACCTGTCTGGACTTAAAAGATGCCATCTTTAGCATCAAAATAGCTCCTGAGAGCCAGAAGCTGTTTGCCTTTCAGTGGGAAGATCCGGAGTCAGGTGTCACTACTCAGTACACTTGGACCTGGCTTCCCCAAGGGTTCAAGATCTCCCCTACTATCTTTGGGGAGGCCCTGGCTTAAGACCTGCAAAAGTTTCCTGCTAAAGACCTAGGCTGTGTCTTGCTCCTGTATGTGGACTACCTTCTGCTGGGACACTCCATGGCAGTTGGGTGTGCAAAAGGGACGGATGCCCTGCTTCAGCACCTGGAGGACTGTGGGTATAAGGTGTCCAAGAAGAAAGCTCAGATCTGCAGACAGCAGGTAAGCTACCTGGGATTTACTGTTCAGAAAGGGGAGTGCAGCCTGGGGTCAGAAAGAAAGCAGGTCATCTGCAGCCTACTGGAACCTAAAACCAGAAGGCAAGTAAGGGAATTCCTAGGAGCTGTGGGGTTTTGCAGATTATGGATTCCAAACTTTGCAGTACTAGCCAAACCTTTCTACAGGGTTACAAATGGGGGCGACCGGGAGCCTTTTGAATGGGGGCCTCTACAACAGCAAGCCTTTTGTAAGTTAAAGGAAAAACTTATGTCGGCCCCAGTCCTAGGACTACCAGATTTGACAAAGCCCTTTACACTCTATGTGTCAGAAAGAGAAAAAATGGCAGTTGGAGTTTTAACCCAGACTGTGGGGCCCCAGCCAAGGCCAGTGGCCTATCTCTCAAAACAACTAGATGAGGTTTCCAAAGTCTGGCCACCATGTCTAAGGGCCCTGGCAGCAACAGCCCTGTGAGCACAAGAAGCAGATAAACTAACCCTTGGGCAAAACCTGAATATAAAGGCCCTCCATGCTGTGGTAACTTTGATGAATAGCAAAGGACATCATTGGCTAACAAATGCTAGATTAACCAAGTACCAAAGCTTGCTATGTGAAAATCCCCGCATAACCATTGAAGTCCGTAACACCCTAAATCCCGCCACCCTGCTCCCAGTATCAGAGAGCCCGGTCAAGCATAACTGTGTAGAAGTGTTGGACTCAGTTTATCCTAGCAGACCTGACCTTCGGGACCAGCCATGGGCATCAGCAGACTGGGAGTTATACATGGACGGGAGCAACTTCACAATCCACATGGAGAAAGATGTGCAGGATATGCGGTGGTAACTTTGGATGCTGTCCATTGAAGCCAAACCATTGCCACAGGCACTTCAGCCCAGAAGGCTGAGCTCATTGCTTTAACTCGGGCTCTAGAACTCAGTGAAGGTAAGACTGTAAACATCTACACTGACTCTTGATATGCCTTTCTAATCCTTCAAGTGCATGGAGCATTATATAAGTAAAAGGGCCTGTTAAACTCTAGGGGAAAGGACATAAAATATCAACAAGAAGTTCTACAATTATTAGAGGCAGTGTGGAAACCTCAGAAGGTGGCAGTCATGCACTGCAGGGGACACCAGCGAGCTTCCACCTCAGTGGCCTTAGGAAACTCTCGAGCTGACTCAGAAGCTTGAAAAGCAGCATCTACCCCTTACTGGGCATCGGTAGCAACCCCCTTACTCCCTCAAACACCTGACCTGGTACCTACCTATTCTAAGGAAGAAAGACTTCTTCCACTCAGAAAGGGGGCAAGTAAAAAAAAGGAGGATGGATCAGACTGCCAGATGGGAGGGTAGCTGTGCCTCAGTTGCTGGGAGCCACAATCGTATTGGCCATGCATGAAACCACTCATCTAGCACAAGAGTCACTTGAAAAATTGTTAGGGCAGTACTTCTACGTCTCACACTTGCCAGCCCTTGCCAAAGCAGTAGCACAATGGTGCGTTACTTGCCCACAGCACATTGATAGGCAAGGCCCCACTGTTCCGCCCGGCATACAAGCTTATGGAGTGGCTCCTTTTGAGGATCTTCAGGTGGAGTTCACAGAAATGCCAAAATGTGGAGGTAACAAGTATTTGCTGGTTCTTGTGTGTACTTACTCTGGGTGGGTGGAGGCTTATCCAACACGAACTGAAAAGGCCTACGAGGTAACCCGTGTGCTTCTCTGAGATCTTATTCCTAGGTTTGGACTGCCCTTATGAATCGGCTCAGATAATGGGCCAGCATTTGTGGCTGACTTGGTACAGAAGACAGCAAAGGCATTAGGAATCACTTGGAAGCTACATGCCGCCTACTGACCTCAAAGTTCCGGAAAGGTGGAGCGAATGAATTATACTATCAAAAATAGGGAAAGTATGTCAGGAAACAGGATTAAAGTGCATACAGGCCCTTCCTATGGTATTGTTTAAAATTAGATGCACTCCTTCTAAGAAAACAGGATACTCCCCTTATGATATACTGTATCATAGGCCTCCTCCTATATTATGGGAGCTTCCAGGCACTCCCTGAGAGTTAGGTGGAATTGAATTACAGCGACAGCTACAGGCTTTAGGAAAAATTACACAAACAATCTCAACTTGGGTAAATGAGAGGTGTCCCATCAGCTTATTCGCCCCAATTCATACTTTCTCCCCAGGTGGTCTTGTGTGGATAAAGGACTGGAACGTAGCCCCTTTGCGGCCACGGTGGAAAGGACCTCAGACCATCTTCCTGACCACCTCCATGGCTGTAAAGGTAGAAGGAATCCCAGCCTGGATCCACCACAGCCGTGTGAAACCTGCAGCCACTGAAACCTGGGAGGCAAAACCGAGCCCAGACAAACCCTGCAAAGTGACTCTGAGGAGGACAACAAGCCCTGTTCCAGTCACACCCGGAAGCTGACTGGTCTACGTGGCTGAAGCATGAGGAAGATCATCATGGGACTCATTTTCCTTATAATTTGGACTTGTATAGTAAAAATTTCCACTGATTTTCTCCACATGGAGACTGCTCTCAGTGTATACATGAGGTTACCGAGGTAGGGCAGCAAGTTAAAACAATCTTTCTGTTCTATAGTTACTATGAATGCCTAGGAACTTTAAAAGGAACATGTTTATATAATGACACTCAGTACAAGGTATGTAGCCCAGAAAACGACTGACCAGATGTGTGTTATGACCCCTCTGAGCTTCCCATGTGGACAGTTTTTGAAATAAGATTAAGGACTGAAGACTGGTGGGGACTCATAAATGATACTAGTAAAGTATTAGCCAGAACAGAAGAAAAAGGGGTGCCCAAACACATAATCTTGAAATTTGATGCCTGTGCTGTCATTAATAGCAATAAGTTAGGAAGGGGATGCGGCTTTTTTAGTTAGGAAAAAGGTGATATTACTGAAAATAAGTACATTTGTCATGAATTAAGACTGTGTAGAAATGAATGTGGATGCTCGTCTTGTGTCATTTGGGCCACTTAGATAAAAAATGAAAAGGATCCAGTCCACCTTCAGAAAGGAAAAAATGGCCCTTCCTGTACTAAGGGACATTGTAACCCCTTAGAGCTAGTAATAACCAACCCCCTTGATCCTCACTGGAAAAAAGGGGAGCGTGTGACCTTAGAAATCGATGGGGCCAGACTGGATCCTTGAGTAAATATCTTAGTTCGAGGAGAAGTTTACAGACGCTCTCCTGAGCCAGTGTTTCCAACTTTCTATGATGAATTAAATGTGCCAGTACCAGAAATTCCAGGAAAAACAAGAAATTTGTTTTTGCAATTAGCCGAGCATGTAGCCCAGTCTCTCAATGTCACTTCATGTTATGTATGTGGAGGAACTGTAATGGGAGATCAATGGCCATGAGAAGCCCGAGAATTAGTAGCTACAGACGAGTTCCTGATGAATTCCTGGCTGAAAAGAATCACCCTGATAATTTCTGCGTCCTAAAAGCCTCAATTATTGGACAATATTGCATAGCTAGAGAAAGAAAAGAATTCACTCACCCCGTAGGGCTACTTAGTTGTCTAGGACAGAAACTGTATAATGGTACCACAAAAACAGTCACTTGGTGCAGTTCAAATCACACAGAAAGGAATCCATTTAGTAAATTCCCAAAGTTGCAAAATGGGTGGACTCACCTGGAGTCCCACCGGGAGTGGACAGCCCCCACTGGATTATACTGGATATGGGAGCATAGAGTTACGCCAAATTACCCGACCAGTGGGCAGGTAGTTGTGTTATTGGCACTATTAGACCATCTTTCTTCCCACTGCCCACAAAAACAGGTGAACTCCTGGGCTTCCCTGTGTATGCTTCCTGCAAAAAGAGAAGCATAGCTATAAGAAATTGGAAAGATGATGAATGGCCCCCTGAGAGAATCATACAATATTATGGGCCTGCTACTTAGGCACAAGACAGCTCATGGGGATACTGGACCCCCATTTACATGATCAACTGAATCACACGGTTACAAGCTGTCTTAGAAATAATCACTAATAAAACAGGCAGAGCCTTGACTATACTGGCCCAGCAAGAAACTCAGATGAGAAATGCTATCTATCAAAATAGATTGGCTCTCGACTACTTGCTAGCAGCTGAAGGAGGGGTGTGTGGGAAATTTAACCTTACTAATTGCTGTCTACACATAGATGATCAAGGGCAAGTAGTGGAAGACATAGTTAGAGATATGACAAAACTGGCACATGTGCCCGTGCAAGTGTGGCATGGATTTGATCCTGCAGCCATGTTTGGAAAATGGTTCCCAGCGCTAGAAGGATTTAAACCTCTTATAATAAGAGTTATAATAGTAATAGGAACCTGCTTACTGCTCCCTTGTTTGCTACCTGTACTTCTTCAAATGATACAAAGCTTCATTGCTACCTTAGTTCACCAAAATGCTTCAGCACAAGTGTACTATATGAATCACTATTGATCTGTCTTGCAAGAAGACATGGGTAAGGAGAATAAAAGTGAGAACTCCCACTGTTGAGTGAGATTCTCAAAGTGGGGGGGGAATAAGGGAGGAGACCACCCCTCATATTGTCTTATGCCCAATTTCTGTATCAAAAGAAAGAAGAAGTAAAAACTAAAAGGCAGAAATAAAATCCACAAGCAGACAGCCCGGCACCACACCCTGGACCTGGTAGTTAAAGATCGACCCCTAACCTAATTGGTTATGTTATCTATAGATTACAGACATTGTATAGAAAAGCATTGTGAAAATCCCTGTCCTGTTTTGTTCTGATCTAATTACCAGTGCATGCAGCCCCCAGTCACCTATCCCTGCTTGCTCAATTGATCACGACCCTCTCATGTGCACCCCCTTAGAGTTGTGAGCCCTTAAAAGGGACAGGAATTGCTCACTTGGGGAGCTCAGCTCTTGAGGCAAGAGTCTTGCCAATGCTCCCGACCAAATAAACCACTTCCTTCTTTAAGTCGGTGTCTGAGGGGTTTTGTCTGTGGCTTGTCATACTACAACAGAATTAGCCGGACAAAGTCTTAGAAAATTTGATAAGGTTGGGGGCGCTGGGTGCATGGGTTAAGAGAACATGCATAAAATTCCTGAGACACCCACAAGCCTGCTATGTCCCTGTAATTGAAAGCAAATTGGACTGCAGGTAATTGGGGCTGACTGAATGGGAGAGGGGAGCAGGCAGGAGCACTCATGGGCCAGTAGACCATGAAAAGCCATATGGACCTTGTTCTAAGGCCAGTGGAAACCCATTAGGAACATTAAATCAGGAGAGTGACAGGATGAGATTTATGTGTGTATTTTGCCATTATCAAGTTGAGATCACCTGTGGTGGGTGGGTGGCTCTGTGTTCCTCCTGGTGGGCTGTACTGAGGAGTGCAGTGTTTGCAACTGCTCAGGAGGAAACAGGGGGCAGAAGTGAGAGAGGAGAAAGGAAAAAACCCGGTCAGGCAGCAGTTAGGGTGGGTGCTCAGATGAATCCTTTCAAACAAAAGAACAGCCTGCAGGCACAGATAAGGAACATGCACAAGGGGACTTGCCTAAGACATGGCTACAGCACACCAGATAAGAAAAGCTACACAGGTGACTTGCCCAGACATGCCCACAATGGAAAATTCTGTCCCCTGACACATGCACAGTAAGGGGGAACAAAGCAATTAGGTAGTGAACTCAAGATAAGAGCCCGCATGTGCACTAGAAAGATGGGGTGGCGCCACCAGAAATTCATGCCTTATGCAAATGAGATACCAAGACCTCATCTGTTTCTTATAAAAGCCTTTGCATTCAACTGTAAAAACAGCAACCCTCTTCTGGGTCCCCTCTCCGTAGTGGAGAGCTTTCATCTTTGGCTTATTAAACTTTCACTCCAACCTCACCCTTTGTGTCTGCACTCCTTAACTTTCTTGGTCATGAGACAAAGAACTCCAGGTACTACCTCAGGCAAAGAGAAACTTCTATGTTGTGGTGCATTGGCAAAACTATGACAGAGGCAGCTTGGATTCATCTCTATTATTTAAATCTGCCAAGGTTGTGAAACTGAGAGATAGTCACAGGAACAGTTCCAGGAAAAGAAAACTGGATCCAAAGGGAAAGAGACATTTTTCTCACAGTCAGCACAGGCAGTAAAGTGAACTGGGTCAGCTGATTGGATTGTCAGGTAGAAACCATATTGATTTCCTGATTTGGAGGTTATGTGGTGGTTACCTGGGAGAGTGTCCCTGCTTTGAGTAAAATACAGTAGAGTATTTTGTGTGAAGTTGCAAATCTGGTACTGGAGTGACCACTGGGGAATCTGAGAGAAAGGATAAAAGGTATTTTGTACTGCCATTGCATGTTTCCTATAAGTATGAATTTACTGGAAAGTAAATTACTTTATAAAACAACCATATCAATACCATACCAGGAAAGTAGAGATGACATCAAACTTCATTATAGAGGCTCCATTTCAGCCAAAGCTGTGAAACCAATAATTCTCAAAAGAGTGTGAATTTCATTAGTGGCCACTGTGTGGACATGATTCCATCAGTAGTAGGGGCCACTGAGTGGATACTAACTACTAGAGGCCATTGTGTGAATATATATTGTAGCCACTATGTCTTGGATGTTGAGAATGATCTCAGGGTGCAATGGCAACAGTGGGATTTTGGGGTTATATTTTTCTACATGAACCCTTCCTGTGCAGAATCCTCTGAATCAGAATCTCCGCTACACTCCGAGTTGTGGACAGAAGCTTTTAATTCACCACTGAACAGTATCAAGTTTAGATCTCCATCCTGGAGCCTTGAGGAAAATGAAGTTCTTGTCTCCCTGCTCCCACCATCTGAGGGGAGATGGTCAGAAGAGGCGGGTTCACATGCCATCTGGTGGCTGTCAGGACTCAGCACAGGACGCTCTTGCTCACAGTTTATCGGTGGACGTGTGCCCCCTCTTGGCTCTCTTGAAAAATCAATACAATTCAGCATTCATTTACTCAGTGCGATTATTTTGGAAATTCACTATCCCGTGTATTTTTCAAAAATAGTGATGGAACAATTATTTAGAAACCATATGGAATGAAAATAATGTACATGCAAACTAAAATTATGCAAAAATTCACTCACAATCATCCATAGGCTGAAATTTGAAATGCAAAACTATAAACATTCTAGAAGAAAGCCTGTGCAACCTTGGATTTGGTGCTGAGGTTTAACACATAATACCAAAAGCCACATCACAAAAGAAAAAATACTGATAACACAGACTTTATAAAACTAAATTTTCAACTCTGAGAAAGAGCCTATTCAGAGAACAAAGACAAGACACAGACTGGGAGAAAGTATTTACAAAATACATATCTGGTAAAAACAATTGTATTAAAAATATAAAAAGATGTTGGGTGGGGTGGCTCATGCCTGCAATCCCAGTTACTTGGGAGGCTGAGGCAAGAGGATGGCTTGAAGCTAGTAGTTTGAGACCAGTCCGAGCAATATAACAAGACACTGTCTCTAAAAATAATGATAACACAAAAAGAACTCTTAAAAAGAAGCAATAAGATAACTAAAAACCCAATTAAAATGAGTAAATAGCTAAATGGACACCTGACCAAATAAAATATAAAGATAGCAAATAATCATACAAAAGGGTGCTCAACATATCATTAGGAAATTGTAAATTAAAACAACAATGAGATAGCTGCACACCCTTTAGAACTGCTGAACTCTAAAAGAGCCCTGATAAACCACTTGCTGGAGGCTGAAGAACAATAGGAGCTGTCATTCATTGGCTGGTAGAACGCATAATGGTACAGTCACTTCAGAAGACACTTTCGCGTTTTTTTTTCCAAAGCTGAACAACTCTCACCTTATAATCTGACAATTGCACTCCTAAATTGCCTGTATTTAGACAACTGCTTTGAAAAGTTATGTTCAAACATATACCAGCATGTAATTATGTACAGCAGTTCTATTCATAATGGTCAAAATGTAATCAGAATTTCCTTCAATAGCTGAATGCATGATCAAATTGGGGTGCATCTATGCAATGGAGTACCATTCATAAATAGAAAGGAATAAACTATCTACGCATGCGAAGACATGGGTAAATCTTGCATGTATACTGCTAAGTGAAGGAAGCCAGTCTGAAGAGGCTACCCACCATTTCACCCCATTTTATATCATATTTTGGGAAAGGCAAAATTACAGAGATAAACGAATCAGTGGTTACATAGGGTGGGTATTTGAAGGTACTTCAATGGTGGATACCTGACACTATGCATTTTATAAAACTGATATAGTTTTACAGCCCAAAGAATAAATCACAAGCTATACAAATTAAATCAAACATTTAGGGTGCAGTAGTATCCAAGGATAAAATATAGAATGGGATCAGGAATCTAACTGTATTACAAATTTATGGAAAAACTCACTGCAGGTGATGGGCAGAAAGTGCTAACCTAAGTCACTTTGGAAATGAGTAGAATCTATAGTCTAAAAGCAGAATATACTGAATATAAATAGTGGTCTCTATTTTATAAAGTTCTCTCCCCCAGGGGTAATAGTCAATTTTGAAACCAGTATATCTGTAAAAAGAAAAAAAAACCTGTTTTTCATCTATACTCTCAATACTTCACTTCTGACACCAAATATATGAGGGATTTTCCCATATCAACCAATTCTCCAACTTTCTGGACACCAGCTGGGTGTTATATAGTTCAATTATGACATGAACTAACTGGAGTTATTACATACCTAATAGTTTAAGGGCTCAGTAACACCAGACTGCCCCCCCCACTTCAGATGCCAATCACAACTAGTAAATCCCCAGTTTACTCATACTTCTGTATGACTTAGCTGCAAATTGAACAGTCCCACACCTCCTCCTCAGGATTGATAATTTGCTATGATGGCTCATAGAACTCAGGGAAACATTTACTTATGTTTACTGGTTAATATGATCTCAATGTTGGTGTCCCCCCAAAATTCATATGTTGAAACCTAACCTCCAAGAGGATGGTTTAAACAGGTAATTCATTGTCAAGTGTTGTGGGAAGTCAGAGACCCCAAACAGAGGGACTGGCTGGAGCTGTGGCAGAGGAACATAAATTGTGAAGATTTCATGGACATTTATCAGTTCCCAAATAATGCTTTTATAATTTCTTATGCCTGTCTTTACTTTAATCTCTTAATCCTGTTATCTTCATAAGCTGAGGATGTATGTCACCTCAGGACCACTGTGATAATTGTGTTGACTGTATAAATTGATTGTAAAACATGTGTGTTTTAATGATATGAAATCAGTGCACCTTGAAAAAGAACAGAATAACAGCGATTTTTAGGGAACAAGGGAAGACAACCATAAGGTCTGACTGCCTGCAGGGTCAGGCAAAAAGAGCCATATTTTTCTTCTTGCAGAGAGCCTATAAATGGACGCGTCAAGTAGGAGAGATACCACTAAATTCTTTTCCTAGCAAGGAATATTAATATCAATACCCTGGGAAAGGAATGCATTCCTGGGGGGAGGTCTATAAATGGCCGCTCTGGGAATGTATGTCTTATGCAGTTGAGATAAGGACTGAGATACACCCTGGTTTCCTGCAGTACCCTCAGGCTTACTAGGGTGGGGAGAAACTTCACCCTGGTAAATTTGTGGTCAGACCGGTTCTCTGCTCTTGAACCCTGTTTTCTGTTATTTAAGATGTTTATCAAGACAATATGTGCACTGCTGAACATAGACCCTTATTAGTAGTTCTGCTTTTGCCCTTTGTCCTGTTCCCTCAGAAGCATGTGATCTTTGTTAGACCCTTACTAGCAGCACTGCTTTTTGCCTTTTGAAGCATGTGATCTTTGTACCTACTCCCTGTTCTTACACTCCCTCCCTTTCTGAAACCCTTAATAAAAACTTGCTGGTCTGAGACTTAGGTGGACATCATGGTCCTACTGATATGTGATGTCACCCCCGGCAGCCCAGCTGTAAAATTCCTCTCTTTGTACTGTCTGTCTTTATTTCTCAGCCGGCCGACACTTATGAAAGACAGAAAGAACCTACACTGAAATACTGGGGACAGATTTCCCCAATAATCAAGGCTCTGCCCTCATGAATGGCACAAGTGCCCTTATAAAAGAGTCTGTAGGGAGCCTGTTTCTCTATTCTGCCATGTGAGGACATGGCTAGAAGGTACTATCTCTGAGAGACGAGCCCTCACCAGACATGGAATCTTCCAGTGCCTTGATCTTGGACTTTCCAGGCTCCAGAATTATATGCAACAAATTTATGTTGTTTAAAAGTTACCCAGTCTATGGTATTTTTTTATAGCAACCTGAAAGGACTAAGACCCCAGTTCATTATAAAGGACATGGTAAAGAAAACACATGAACAGCCAGATAAGGGGGTACACAAAGCAAAGTTTGGAAGTGCGGAAGCTCTGTCCTCATGGAGTTGGGGTTTGCCATGCTCCCTGCACATGGATGTATTTAACAATTTAGAAACTCTTTAAACCCTATCTTTTAGGATTTTTTAAGAGACAAAGTCTCGCTCTATCCCAAGCCTGGAGTGCAGGGGTACAATTATAGCTTACTGCAACCTTGAACTCCCGCCCTCAAGCAATCCTTCTGCCTTAGTTTCCCAAGTAGCTAGGACTACGTGCACACACTACCACACCCAACTCTCTTATTTTCTGTAGAGATGGAGTCTCACTGTGTTGCCTAGGCAGGCCTCAAATTCCTGGCCTGAAGTGATCCTCCCACCTCTTTCAGGGATTTTTATGGAGGCTTTATCACATAGGCATGATTGATTATTAACTCAATCTCCAGCCCCCTTTCCCCTCAGAGGATAGGATATGAAGCTGAAAGTTACAAGCTTCTAATCATGGCTTGGTATTTCTGGTGACCACGCCCCATCCTGAAGCCATCCAGGAGCAGAGCAAAAGACATTCCTATTACCTGAGAGATTTTTAAGGCATTTGGAAACTCTGTGTCAGAAACCAGGGTCAAAGACCAAATATGAGAACAAAAAATGCTCCTAGCACCCCTATCACTCAAGAAATTGTAAGGGTTTTGGGAGCTCTGTACCAGGAAATAGAGACAGAGACCAAACATATATTTATTATTAAATCACAACTTATAATTTGAATCAACAACAATAAATTCGGTGTTTATACTGGAACAAGGGATTAAATAAATGGCAGATGGTAGAAGCTAATTCCTTGCTGTCAGAGTGAGAATTTACAGACAAGAAAGGCAGGGGAGGCTAGAATAATTCTTGTGATAATGGATCAGAGTCCATTGATTGGAGATATCAGTATAAACTCACATGTAGCTTAATATATACACAGATGGATCCACATAGAAATCTTTATAATTAGGCATGTATATGTAGGTTAGAACACACACATATATATTTCCTTGCATTGTCAGCTGTGAGGGACAAGATGCAATGAGCATATTTAGCTGCCAGATATAAGTTTTTAAAACCATTCTCTAATAAGGGAAATCAGTGCTCTTGGAAGAAATAGCTAAACTAGGGCTGAGACAGTAAATATATGAGCCAGGATACTCTTGAAGTGTCAGAAAGAAATTGTTAAAACAAAACAAAACAAAACATGCAGTTATGTCAAAGGAAAACAGGAGCCAATAGAAAGATCTCCCAATGGCCACAGGTAGGAAATCAAAGCAACAAAATACTGTACAATTGGATAATAACCAAAAGATTGAAGTAACTGTCTGGTTGTCCATACTGGTCTAAATAAATGATTAAATAAATATGCAAATTGGCCAAATAGAAATATCTTATACAGAAGAATTCCAAATACCTAATGTAGATACTCAGCCATCAAGGAAGTAGAGCTAACTCCCTACTCCTTAAGTGTGGGCTCTGCATGCTTATTTCCTCCAAAAGAATACATACAGTATGGACATGGGGAAAAAGTAACTTCACAGTGAGAAACCTAAAAACACTACCTCAGCCAGGTGATCAAAATTAACATTAATGGTGATAATGCATCTTGAGAGCATGAAGAGACTAGAATAGCACTACACATCTGATCTGCTTCCCCCAAACCCGTAACCCCAGTATAATTATGAGAAAAATACCAAGTAAACCACAATGAGATATTTTCTACACAATACCTGACCAGTCTTTCTTACACTGTCAAGGCTATCAGAAGGAAAGTCTGAGAAACAATCATAGGCAAGAAGAGCCTGACATGACAACTAAATGTCCTGTAGGATCTGAGATGGGATCCCAGAATAGAAAAAGATAGAACTGAGGGAAACCAAATAAAACGTGGGCTTATTTAGTAATAACATATTAATATCTGGTCATTAATGGTAACAAATGATGTAAGATGTTAAGAAGACATCTGATACATACTAATATGTTAATAAGAGGGAAAACTAGGTTGCAGCTACAGGGGAAATCTGCATTCTTCTTTCTAATTTCTGTGTGAATCTAAAACTAATTTAAAATAATAACTTTATTCAAAACGTAATTTTTTTCAAACATCTGCTTATTTATTTGTACTAATAATTAAGACTATACTTTCAGGGATTATTTCTATAGTTTGTTAATTATTTGTACTAATAGTAGTAATTGACACTAACTAGTCCTACATTTAAAAAATAAGAACATTCATGATGCTGTGAAGTATATAATGCAGACTAATAAATAATTCCAAATAAGTGCCTCTTTTGCATGTTTTATGTTAAAATAACATACTCGTGTAAACTTATTAATCATATTTTTTACTTGTGGTGTGGTTCTGTCCTGGGTTCACTCTCTAGAAATCTGGTCACCTTAGACCAGGGAAAAAATCACATTTTAGAGACTATTTCAATTCATTGCTGAACATTTTCAAAAGTACAACTTTAAAAAATAAAAAAGGGCCAGGCACGGTGGCTCACACCTGTAATCCCAGCACTTTGGGATGCCAAGGCAGGTGGATCACGAGGTCAGGAGTTTGAGACCAGCCTGGCCAACATGGTGAAACCTGGTCTCTACTAAAAATACAAAAATTAGCTGGGTGTGGTGGCAGGCACCTGTAATCCCAGTTACTCAGGAGGCTGAGGCAGAATTGCTTGAACCCAAGAGGCGGAGGTTGCAGTCAGCCGAGATCGCGCCACTGCACTCGAGCCTGGGTGACAGAGCAAGACTCCATCTCAGAAAAAAAAAAAAGGTCCAAATGACAAATTGATTTATTGTGACTGGATCACTTATTGTAATGAATCTTTGTCTTTGTTTCCAAGCATTCCTTTTAACAGTAATACAACAGAAACAAATATTTGTCACTGCAAAAAATATTCAGAGAAAGGAAGAATATGAACAGATTTTGTGACCACGATCATTCGGTGTCTCCTTGTGATGCTTTCTAAAACAGAAGAGTTTAAAGGGATATTCAAAGTCAATTTTAGAGAAATTGATGAAATTAGATAAACAAAAGTGGCAGGACATTCTATGAGTGATTTTAGATATTGCTATGTCTTGAGGAAAAATGTAATATACCTTTTAGAGGATCACAAAGGATTATTGGAAGCCCAGACTCTGGAATGTTTCCAAATTCAGTTGAAATTATGTCAATATAGGTAATAATGAAGGTAATGATAAAATGGGATCTGTGCCTTATTTGTGTAATAAAATCCACAGAGTATTTAATGCTCCTAGGAAAACATGTTAGACTTGAAATACAGTTAATAATATCAAAAGCAAAATACACTTCTGTAAACCAAAAATAAAATTCTAAGGCTCCCAACCTTCTAAATGGACTTCCTCCTCAGCCAAGGCTCTCTAAAATTTAATCTGAGAGACTGTTTCAGGCCAAGACGGGAAGTGAGGGTCAGACATGCCTCATTATACCTCTTTGGAATTAACATCAACACAGACTTTAAGTATGATAAGAAACATTTTAAAACGTATTCTCTGTGAAGCCTACTGCCTGAAGACTTCCTCTGCAAATAAGAACTTGGGTCTCTAAAATCCTTTATCTTAACCCAGACATTCCTTTCTATTGATCCCAGGTCTCTAGATAAATTCAACCAATGGTCAACCAGAAAAATTTTAAATCTACCTGTAAGCTGGAAGCCCCCCATTTCGAGTTGTCCCAGCTTTATAGATCAAGCCAATGTATTTCTTAAATGTATGTGATTGAAGTGCCATGTCTCCCTAAAATGTATAATAACAAGGCGTACCCTGACCACCTTGGTACATGTTCTCAGGACCTCCTAAGGGCTGTGTCCTAACCATAGTCACTCATATTTGGCTCAGAATAAATCTCTTCAAATGTTTTACAGAGTTTGACTGTTTTCATTGACACTTCCTTACATTTGATTGTACAACAGAAGTAGCTCATCAGGAACAAATGTACCATATTGAAGTATGTTCATATTGTTGACCTAAAGGAAGAAGCTGAGGCACAAAATAGAATTTTACAGTTTACTTGAGCTAAGATGAGGACAGCTGCCCAGAAGACTCAGACCTAAATATCTGTAGATATGAGCTCCATTCAACTTCTGTTACAAGCAGGTTTTTTAATTTGGCAGCCAGCACCAGGGCACCAGGGAGAGAGAATCTCCTGATGATCCACAGCTGTTAACATTGAAGTGTTAATTGAATGCAAATGACAGGGAGAAGAAACTTCCTGGGCATGTGCTTAAGAGACAAAATGGTGAAGTATGACCTTCTGGGGACACTCCACCAGAAAAGAGAGGAAAGCCTCAGATGGGCACGCGTACAAGCTTCCTAAAAAGACGGCAAGTGCTCAGTTCCCAAGGGTAAGGAGGGCACTGTGCATGCGGGCAGCCCACCCTAAGGGAAAAATCATGGGAAAGAGGTGAGCCTATAAAGTCCTAGGATCAAAGTTAAATGCTGTCTTTGACCTTCAGATGCCTACTTGGGTCTCTTTCAAAGCGAATTTTCCTTCCTTTCCTGTTCTATAAGCCTTTTTAAAATAAACTTACACTCTTCTTCTAAAACTCGCCTTGGTCTCTTCTTCCACTTTATGTCCCTCAGTCGAATTCTTTCTCCTAAGGAGGCAAGAACTGAAGTTGCTGCAGACACATATGGATTCACTGTTAGTAACTCAGGGTAACTTGGATACCTGCCACTGGTAACAATAATGGAATAAAGTTTTCTTGACTTTACTGAAACGATGTGTTGATGAGAGGAGGTGCCAGCTGGGCTTCCTGGGTCTAGCAGGGGCTCAGAAAGCTATGAAACTCATTTTCTGCAACAGGACTTACTTTGGTCCTGGATGAATAATATTGAAGATATATGCTTAAAATATTCCTAACATCAGAATTTGTGCATGTGTTTTCTTCCCCAAGAAAGCTATAAACAGCGAAACTTTTGCTGTAAGCTTCCCTGTGTCCTCGCTCCCTCTCTCCCTTCCCCCTCCCCTGAAACTGAAAGGAATGTTAAAAGCCCGTTTTTCTGTGACCAGCAAACCTTATCTATGCTCCCAATTCCGATTCCTTGTAAACACAGTTTGTAAAATCCTGTGAGATCCTGTCTCCTTTGCCATGCCGCTGCAAGGTCATAAAGTAGATAACCTTAAGTTACAATTCCGGTTTCCTCAGATCTGATACATGTTAATTGTCTTTGTTTCTCGCTCTGGTAACATCTTCCCGCCGCACGTATTTCCCGCCTTAAAGGGTTTAAAGGGGTGATCAAAAAATCTAACACTGGCTACCGGCCCAGGACCCTTCACGCTGTGGAAGCTTTGTACTGCCACTCTGCTCAATAAAGCCTACAGCTTTTTTCTCTCAGTCTGATCCGTGTCTCTCTCTCACCGCGGCTGCCGCCACATCAATTCTTTGGTGTGGCTAAGGCAAGAACCTTTGGCGTTACATTGAGACCAGAAACCCAAAATGATGGTGACTGAGAGTACTACTAATGCCCTATGTTTTGGTCACCTAGGTGAGAACCTGACCAAAAGGGGAGAGTTATTAACTGGGCTCCTGCACTAGGCCACAACAGACCAGGCCAAACCAGGATGGAATAACTGACGCCAAATGCCACACAACCAAACTGAAGTGTTAAGGAAGCAGATAAATCCCAAAACAGACCAGTGTTTCCTGAAAAAGAAAGGATTCCCGTCTACCTGAGTCAGCATAAGGAAATCCCCTCTGCTTTAACCCTTACCCAAAAAGGGACCTGATATTAACTGAACCCAAAATATCTGAGACAGGTCTCAGTGAATTTAGAAAGTTTATTTTGTCAAGATTAAGGACACACCCGTGACACAGCCTCAGGGGGTCCCGATGACATTTACCCAAGTTGGTAAGGGTACAGCTTGCTTTATACATTTTAGGGAGACATAATACATCAATCAACACATGTAAGATTTACACTGGTTTGATCTGGAAAGGTGGAACAACTCGGGGTGGGGGCTTCCAGGTCATAGATAGATTTAAAAATTTTCTGATTGGGAATTAGTTGAAAGAGTTATTATCAGTAGAAAGGAATGTCTGGGTGGATAAGGGGTTATGGAGACCTAGGTTTTATTATGCAGATGAAGCCTCCAAGTAGCAGGCTTCAGAGAAAAAAAGATTATAAACGTTTCTTATCAGACCTAAGGTCTGTGTTGATGTTAATGCTGGAGGGGTGTAATGAGGCATGTCCAACCCCCTCTTCCACAATGGTCTGAACTAGATTTTCAGGTTAACTCTGCAATCCCCTTGGCTGAGAGGAGTCCATTCAGGTGGTTGGGGGCCTTAGAATCTTATTTTTGGTTTACATAACCAATCAGCTGTTATTTTCCATTGTTCTGTTTCCTTGTTTCCATCTTACAAAACTCACTGTTCTGCTATTGCCCAGTGGGAACTGAGACCAAATAAGAACTTCTGAATTCCATACTGAGACCAAATAAGCCCATTTATAATGATGACAGAGAGTGGAGTCATGGTGACAATGCCCAAAAGTTTTGGTCAATTTCTCAAAATTAAAAGGCTGACCAAAAGGAGGGAGTTGTTAAACTAAATTTGGGCTTTAGAAGCCTCCCAACGAGTCCTTGTAAAGAACTACAACCTAAGTTAGTATATAAACAAACTGAAAATCTGACTTAGAAATCTGTCTTTATAACAAATAGCTGAGGCTAAACCAATCACAGCTGCCAAGTGTCAGCCAATGGCAGGCGGCCAACTGTTCAAACTAGGTTCCATAAAGGCAAATCCAGGCTGTAACCAATGGAGCTGTCTCTGTATTTCACTTGTTTTCTGTATGTCACTTTCTTTTCTGTGGTTATAAACATAACCTGCAGATGTCATGTGGCAGAGCATTCTGGACCATTTTTGGTCCGGACTGCTGCCTGATTCTAGAATCTCAAACAAAAGCCAATTAAGATCTGCAAACCTAGATGTGCTGTAATTTTGTCTTTTAACAGTTGGGTCCTGAAAATGATGGCCTATTAAGCTGAAGTTAATTAAAAATCACTTAAGGTCATCATTGGTGTCACGCGCGTCAGCGTGAAGAGACCACCAAACAGGCTTTGTGTGAGCACCAAGGCTGTTTATTTCACCTGGGTGCAGGTGGGCTGAGTCCGAAAAGAGAGTCCAGCTACAGCCTTGCAGAGAGCCAGCACCCATGCCGGCACCCTGAGCTGCCTGCTGTGCAGTGGCCAGACCCTACAATCGCTCAGACACCCCTCACCACTCCACGCCTGACTCGCCCTTGGCAGGCATGGGCTCCAGGCCAGTAGCATGAGCTGAGTGCAGCCTACCAGGCCAAGTGGGTAGAACGAGTCCAGCGGGCCAGGGTAAAACTGCAGCAAAGGCTCCACTAGCCACAAAGGTTTCCGGCCAGAAAAGTAACACCCCAAGGATCCCTAACAACATGAGGAAAGTAAAACATATGGCAGCGTTCCCTCCTCTGCACTCAGGGCATGGACAGGAACCTTATTCCTCACCTTCAGGTGTCCTGAAGCCAGGGTGCTTCCCCAGGTCCCTCCTGAGCAGAAGGAGGCTTGGGTCCTCCCTGGGCACGACCCCCAGGTGTTCCTTAGCCACAGAGGGTCTCCCAGGTGGGTCCTGAGGAGAAGGAGATTTGGGTCCTCCCTGGGCATGGCCCCCAGCTGTCCTGTAGCCACAGCAGCACCTCCTGGGTGAAACCTGAGAACAAAGCTTGGTCCTCACTGTGGAGGTGCCGGATGTCTACGCAGAGAACATGGGGGCCTCATGAGGGTCCAAAAAGGTGGGTTTGCATGCCCCTACAGGCCGTTGGGGGCAGTACAGGATGCTCAGGCGCTCACGATTTAGTGGTGCCCATAGGCTGCGGTCTGCGGTCCCCGTGAATCTCTGAAAATCCATTGTTCTGATAATTCCATGCCATGATTTTGGAAATTAAAACTGAAAGAGAGCCTACCATCCCTTGCCTTGACCAAAATGGATAGAGATAAAAAGCAAAGTAGATGGTCAACGGACAAAAGTCAATTGATGTCCTACGTATCAGCAATTATGTATGGATAAAACTGGAATTTGAAAGCTGGAATACAGTATTTAAAAAAATCAATATCATTTACAACAGCAGGCCTCAAAATTAAAGTTCTTAAGTATAAATTTTTTAAAAAGGTACACATATGCATTCATAAAAACTAGAAACACAGTTAAAAGAAACAAAACGTAAATAAATGCAGAGATATTCCTTATTCACCATTGGTAGACTAGACATAGTTAAGATAAAAATTCCTTCAAAGTTGATCTATATATTCAGTGCAATCTCAATTAAATTCCCAGCAAACTGTTTCTAAACCTATAATAGACAACACTGAATAAACACAAACTTAAGAAACTCACACATCTGTACCCTAACACTTATTATAAAGCTAAACTAATGAGGAAAATGTGATAACGACCCTGACCCCAACACTGATCCAAAACCTAACCCTAACCCCTAAACTTAACCCTATGCTGACACTGACCCTGATCCAACCCTGACCCTGACCCCAACCCCTACCCAACCCAGATCCAGACACCAACCCCAACCCATATTTATAACCCAGACCCTGACCCTGACCCAATCTCTGACCCCTAACTTTGATCCTGACCTTTAACCTGACCTAGACTTCTGACTCTAACCCTAACTCAATTTTCCCCAGTTCAACTTGAGTGCCTAAATCTGAAACCATAATCAAAACTCAATATTATCCCAAAGTGAAACTCAACATCAATTTCACCCTAACCCTAGTGGTAACACCCACCGTAAGTCCTAAACCAGAATTGAGCCTGTATCCTGAAATTGTAACTGAACCCAGGTTCAGCTGCTTGCTACTTGAAAGACAAAACTCAAGAGACAGGAGGTGAGAGGAAAAGCAGGTTTATTAAGAAAGCCAGCAAACCTAGAAAATGACATGCTAGCATCCTAAAGTATCATCTTAAGTCACTATAAATTTTAGGTTCTTTTAATGTTAAAGGCAAGAGGTAGAGGAAGGAGTTGGGATCTAGAAGTGACCAACAACTTCAGACATCTGGGCGCCAGTGAGGGCCCGAGGAGGTTGGGAAATTCTTTGTCCTTGGTCAGGTCACAATGCTCCTATAAGTCTTTTAACAAAACACAGTTAGTTGTTTACATGCTTTTTTCTTTAATCTCAGAGTTAGTTTTAAAAGCTACGTGATTGCTGTTTTTCCATATTATCTCAGTGCTCTAAAATTATCCTAGCCTATGTGCAGGAATGGGTAAATGTCCCTTAAACAAAAATAGAATTAGTTATGTTAGTTTTTTTGCTGTTTCACTGTTACAAAACCATCCCCACACTTGAACCCAAATCCAGAAATCTTGACACTTAATCCAAATGTAAACTAGGATCCAACTGAAACCTATTAACCCTATCCTGAGCCTAAGCCCAAGTCCCAACCACAATCCTAAACTCTTTATGTGACCTGTTTGTCAATCATAACCGTGACCTCAATACAAAACCACAAATCCTATCCACATCTGAACCCTAGTCCTAAACACTAAACCCTAACCCAAATTGAGGCCAAAGTCCTATACCCTAAAATCCAGCCCAAGTCAAGAGTCTAATCCCAAACCCCAACCAGATTCCAATCAGACACTGACATCAAACCTGATCCCATCCATAACATCAATACCAACCTGAAGTTGAACCAGAAGGTGAACTATGAACATGAACCAAAACCCTAATTCAACCCCCTAAACTCTAAAGTCAAGCTTCATTCAGAGCCTATGCACAGGCCAGGACATCATAAACTGCAATCCAAATCTGAATCAAACCCCAACTCCAATTCCAACCCTAACCCTTACCATAAACCTCGATCCCAAACTTGAACCCAAATCCAAACTCTGAATTCCAAACAGATCATGACCTGAACCCTGACCCCTACACCAATCCAAAATCCTTAACCAGAATTGAACACAAACTCAAACTTTAAACCGAATGTAACCTGACCCAAAACCTAAACTCTAAACCCAAGCTGAAACCTGAAGCCAAACATTGAAGCTGAATAAAACCTTAGTCCAAACTTCTAAACTTTAAAACCAAGCTTAAATCAGGAGCCCAACCCAGGCATAAACCTGAACCATACCAAGCCCCAAAGTCAAAGCCAAACCCAAACCTAACTCCAATTACAACCATTACTGTACCTCTAATTTTAACCATAAACACTAATCCCAAACTCTAACCCAAACCTAAACCCTTAACCATGAAACTGACATCTGGGCCTGCGGTTCTGCCCTCTGGGGGCATGGCTCATTCTTTTGTTCCCAGCTGCACCCACTGCTCCTCCATCTAAGGATGAGACTGCTCACCCTGGGCCTGAAGCTCAGGCCTCTGCCTATGCTCATGTGGCTCAGCCTTTTGTTTCCACAGCTTCACCATTTGGGGCCAGGCTGTTTCCTCTAACTCCAGGGCGATGCCACCCTTTAAGCTCAGGACCCCGCCCCCTGCACTCTGGGGTCTGCTCTCCTCTGGGTTAAATCTGCCTTCTACCATTGTGATCTTGGCTCTGGTCTTTGAAACACAACACTAAAACTGAACCAGCACACGAACCCCCCTATACATTGAAACTGAGCACAAGTGAGAGTCCAAGTTCAAGCCCAACCACAAACCCCAATCAAACCCAAAGCTGAACCCCACCAAAATCCCAGAACACTATACTTACATGTGGGCAAACCAGAACATGTACTTGAACCCCTAAACCCTAAAACTTAGCCCTAGAACCCCAATTCTAACATTGACCTGACAAACAAGCCAAACCCCAAGCCCATCCTAATACTAACCCTAATACTAAATCCCAACTAAAAGCCAAACACTGAACACAAGTCAGAACCTGAACCTGAACATTTGAACCTGAACCTAAAACCAAGCCCAAGTCAGAGCCCAAGCCTAAACAAGACAGAACACCAGTCCATATCAAGGCCAATGCTGTTCCCAACTTTGACTCCATGCCACCCTAATCCAACTGTAATCAGGCCCCTTGAGATTTCAGCATCCCAGCATTTTAGTGACTGAAATAATGAAAATTCTGATCAGACCACTGCTTAAACATGTTAACTACTCATTTTTGGCCCATTATTCCTTGTTTCCACAATATAATTATAAACTACTGACATATTCTTTCTTTGTCAAGCAGGAGGAGATAACTTCAGGGCCACGAAAAAAAAAAAATGGCAAAAGGAATGAATGTTTTGAAGGACATTGGGACCAGGTTTTGATGCCCAGAAGTCTGGTTGTTCCAGGTGTTATCTGAGATTGAAGAAACACAGACGTTGCCCTTCAGTTCTCTGAAATACTCCCTTATTCCCTAGCTGCATAAAAACTCCTTGCTGCATCTTTTTGTTAAGGCAGATTTGACAGATCTTGCTCTCCCGCCTTCTTGCTTTGGCAAAATCTAATAAACCTTTCTCTATCTCTAAGAACTGGTGTCTCGGTGTTTGGCTTCAGCTGTGCATTGGGTACACGAGTTTGAATCTGGGGTTCCACGACCCAATCGCAATAATCCAAAGCAGCCCCAACTCAATCCTAGCCCAAGTTCTAGTCAAAACCAGCACCCCAACCCTACCCTAACCCTAACCCAACCCCAAGCCAAGCCCTAGCTTCAGCCCTGGTACAAACCTGAGCATGAACCTAGACACTACACCAAAAGCAACTCTGACCACAACACCAACCCTAAACTTTAAAATCGTACTTGACTACTACTCAGACCTCACATCTAAACCCTAAAGACAAATCCAAAGGAGAACACAAACATGAACCCTAAACTGTAAAGCCAACTCAAACCCAAAGGTGAACTCTCAACCAGAATATGAACCTGAACTTCAACCCTAAAATTAACCTTAACCCTAAGACATGAACCAGGACCCAAACTGTAAACATGAACAAGAACTCATACCCTTAAATGCCCAAACCAAGCCTGAATCAGAGCTTGATCTGAATCCTGATCAATACTCCTGATGAAATTCCAACCCCGAACTTTGACCTCAACCCCAACCCTAATCCAAACATAATCAGAAACAAAAAACTCTAGTCACAACCTGAACCCTATCCCCAATTCAGGCTAAGCCTTAGCCCCAGTACATTCAAAGAACAGGCCAAGTCCAAGTGCCAGCTCCAGCCCATGCCAAGCCCCAGCCTGAGAACTGAGTCCAAGCTGAGTCCAAACCCTTACCCCAACCCCCAAATCGACCCTGACTTGAACTCTGTCCCCAACCGTTCCTAACCCCAACCACATACCCAACCCTAAATTCTTAAAACCAAAAACTCCAACCTCAACCTCCAATCTAAACCCATATACACAAACCTGAACTAGAACCTAACTCAAATTTCTAAAGCCTGAACCCAAGCTGGAATCCCTAAACCCCAAAACAAAGCCAAGTCAGGACTCAAGCCTGAGCACCATAAAAAACCCAATTCAAATCCTGCCCCCAACCCCAAACCCAACCCTGACATCCCACACCCACACTTGACATCAATCCCAGTCCCAGCACCAGTGAGAGCTTGAGCTGTCAAGCTAGAAATAGAGCCTGAGCTTGAGCCAAAGCCAAATCCCAAAACCCATTTTGAACCAAACACCAACCTGAATCCCAACCACAATGCTGACTTCAACCCAGAACCAAACCTGGGTTCCAAACCCTGTCCCCAACCACAACTACACCAAACTAAAGCCCTAAACCTGAAATATAACCTAAATCCAAACTCTGAAATTAAAGCATAATTTACTCAAACTCTAAACATTAAAGCCTGACTCAAACCTAAAGGCAAAACCTGAACCCCAATCAAAATCCTAATCCAAAGCCCTTAGCCATAATATTGAAATGGAGTCAAAGCCCAAGTCTGGGCATGAATGTGAACCGCAATCCAAACTCTGAATGTGAACCTAAAATTTAACTCCGAAATCCTGAACTAGAACCTAACTGGAACCTAACTACACCCCAGCCCAAGCCTGAATCCTAAAACCAAACCCAAACCTAAACCCTATGCCTGAGCTACACCTTGACCTCAACCTAGCCCCCAAAAGAAGGCCTAAGCATGAACCCAAACTCAAATTGATACTCTAACCCTAAACTCAAACTCCAAACATGACTAGAACACTGCACCTGACCACTAACCTGAATTCAAAACCCAAACTCTAAAACCAAGTCTGAGGCAAGGCCCAGGCTGAGGGATCATATCCTGACTTAATTCCAAACCCTGACCTGATCCTTTACCCAAATCCTGATCCCAACACTAACCTCAACTTCAACCTTTTCATGGTCCCAAACTCAAACCCAGCCTCAACACTGGCCCAAACCCCGTCCCCATCCATGGCACCAACTCCAGTGTGAGCAGAGCACTAGTTCAAACCTGAGCCCAAAACTCTAACCTGAACCACATTCCAAAACCAACCACAACCATAAATTAGAGCCAACATTGTCCTCAGCCCAGACCCCTAAATCCAAACTTGAACTCAAGTCAACCCCTGCATCCAAACAAGACCACACCCAAACCCGGACCTCTATTCCAATCATATACCTAATACCTGACCCATGCCCTGAGTTTGACCTGGAGCCAAATAGCAACTCTAACCTGAATTCGTACCCAAGCCTAAATCCCTGAACATAAAACCATTGCCAGAGTCTGAGCCCAAGCCCACGCCCAAACCATAAATCCAATCTAAACCTAAACTCAAAACACGACTTAAACCGTGAACTCAACCCTAACACTAACTGTAATCTTAAACCAAATTCCAATCAAATTTGCTCTTAAATTCTGACATTGAATGAGAGTGATACCTCAGGCTTAAAACTTAAAACTAAACCTGAGTGAGAGCTCAAGCCCAAATGTGAATCACTCCAGCACCGACTCCAAACCTAAATCATAATCCTGAACCCAAACCCCAAATTGTAAATCTGAATCCAGACCTGAACCTTGAACCCAAACTACTAAACTCCAAACCCAAGATAGAGCCTGAACCTGAACATGAAAACCCTAAATCCAAATCTGAACCTGAACTAGAATCCAAACCTAGCTAATCCCAATCCCATTACCATTTCCAGCCCCAGCCATAAACTTGCATAAAGCAGGTTCACTGTGCACTGCTTACCAACTTGTCTGGGTCTGGTGAGACAAGTTATATGATGAAGCAAATGTATTAATTACAAATAGGCAGTAAGAGAAAACAGAAGCCTAGGATTCACTGTGAGCCAGTCCCCCAAGGTTCAGGAAAGCTGCTCAGGGCAGATAGAGTCTTGTCTGTGCATGCCTCACTTGCACTGCAATTGAAGGATCCTGGAAAGCAGTTTGCTCTGGATTTTATACCCTGGGAGTACAGGAACTACTTGTCTAAAGCGTCGTATGACATCCTGTTCTGGGTGAGGGGCACTGGAACAAAGCCTGGGCTGTTCCAACTAGCCTTCCTTATCTCAGGGTGTTGCATTCCCAGACATTCTACAATTATTCTTGAAAATTACGAGTGAGAAAGAAGGGAGAACTGGGATGGTCCAAGGATATCTGGAGAACTATCCTGCACCTAGCTCCATCCTAAGCCCCTGTCCTAATCTCAATCTCAGCCAGAGCCCAAGCCCTAGTCCAAACTGAGCTCTAGTCAGAGCTCCAACATGAACTGGACTCAGAGCCCGAGCTTCAACACAGACCTCAAACTGAACCAAATCCCTACCTTAACTCCAGCCCAGAACCAAACTGCATTTCAATAATGTCCTTTAATCCAACCCCAAATCCTAACACAAATACAAATCCAAACTCTGAACCTGAACCAGAACCCAAGTCTGAATCCATACACCCTAAAATCAAAGTCAAGTCAGAGTACAAGCCTGAGCCCAAACCAAATTTCAAACTAAGCCCAAACCTCAGACTCAACATCCACACTAACCCTAACCCAAGCCTTATACCCTAAACCCTAACCATAAATATAAACCTTAATTCCAAACTCAAAATCTAACCCAGACTTGAACCCAAATCCCTAAGCCATAAAACTGATCCAGAGTCTTAACTTGAAATGGAACCCCTAAACTCTAAGCCTAAACTCAAACCTGAGCTAGAACCTTACCAAAACCCCTAAACCCGAACCCATGCCTGTAACCTGATCAATCCTAAACCTAACCAAACCCTGACTATGACCTCAATCCTAAATTTGAACTTGATTCCAATTCAAAACCTTCAATCTGGCTGGGTGCAGTGGCTCATGCCTATAATCCCAGCACTTTGGGAGGCCGAGGCAGGTGGATCACTTGAGGTAAGGAGTTCGAGGCCAGCCTGGCCAAGATGGTGAAACCCTGTCTCTACTAAAAATACAAAAATTAGCCAGGCGTGGTGGTGTGTGCTTGTAGTCCCAGCTACTTGGGAAGCTGAAACAGGAGAATTGCTTGAATCCAGGAGGCGGAGGTTGCAGTGAGCCAAGATTGTGCCACTGCACTCCAGCCTGGGTGACAGAGCAAGACTCTGTCTAAAAAAAAAACCGAAACAAAAAAAACCCCAAAACCTTTCAATCTGAGTATGAATCCAAACCTCAATAATAATCCCAACCCAATCCCTGATGTCAGCACTAATTCTAAAACAGAAGCTCAAGCTGAACTCAAACCCTAACCTGAACTCAATTTCTTAATCCCAAAGCTTACACCTGAACCTGAACCTTAGGAAATAAAACACCGCAATTGTTTTATAACACCAAGTTTTGGGGTTAGGGTTATTTTGCACTGGAGTTCAAATTCTGGGCAAGATGGAGAAAGCACACTCTATTGTGTCTCTCCCACAACTATAAATCCTAGATGGAATGTATGGAGCAGCTAATTTGAAGACTAAAAATGTATGTTAACAGGCAGATTGAAGATCAGAATCTGAAGTACCACCAAACCTGAAGTATTTCATTGCTTTTCCTTCTCAGACCATGTAGGCTCCAGAGGAAGCCCAAAACCTAACTCCTAGATTTTAAACTGGTAATCCTAATCCCCAACCTTAAACCCTAAAAACCCTGACACCTGATGAATTTACCCACTTATCATTATGAAACAATCTTCTCTATCCCTGGCAATATCCTTTGCTCTGACATCTACTGCAGTTTTCTCATTACTGTCTGCATGGTATATTTTCCCATGCTTTTACTTTTAACCTATATTAACATTTTAAGTGAGTTTCTTAAAGATAAGAGTTGACTCTAAAAATACACTTTGACATTTAACACTTTATCTTTTAATTGATGTGTTTCATTTGGAGAGTTTCTATTGCTTAGTCTTCAAGGTCAGTAATTTCTACTTCTGCTATGTCTACTAGGTCATTAATCCAATCCTGTGTATTTTACATCTCAGATATCCTAGTCTTAATTTCTAGAAATTAAATGTGCCTTTTTATTTCATGCCTCTGCTTACCTTTTAGAACACATGTAATACAACATTAATAGCTGTTTTTATATCTTTGCTAATTCTAACATGTCAGTTCTCCATTTATTTAAATTGATAAATTTTTTTATCTTATCGTTGGTCATATTTTCCTGCTTCTTTGTGTGACCGGTAATTTTGTATTTGCTGCCTTACACATTGAATTTTAATTTGCGTGCTGTGTTTGTGTTTCCATAAATATATTCTTGAGGTTTGTTCTGGGATGCAGTTACCTGGAAAACAATTTCATCATCTCAGGTCTTACTTTTAAAATGTATCAAGCTGGATGAGAGGTGTGTTTAGTCTACAGCAATGGTTCTCAATCAGGGACAATTTTGTCTTCCCAACTTTGTGAAATCATTTGGAAGGTTTTTGGTTGTCAGAACTGGGAAGACAGTGGCCCTGGCATCTAGTAGATTGATGGCCAGGGATGCTGGCAAAATACTATAATACAATGCACAGGACAGCCCCACATGACAAAAAATATCTGGCTCCAAATGCCAACAGTGCCAAGGTTGAGAAGCTCTGGACTAGGGTTATTTATTCTCCATTACTGAGGTAAGACCTTTCTGGGTACTCTATCAAATACTCTGTGATTCATGAAATTTTCCAGTTTGAATGCATATACAGGCACTACTTCTGGTACTGCGTGAGTGCAGGAAACTCTTCCGTCTAATCTTTTTTCGGGTGGTTCTTTCTCTGCCATTGAGTAGTTTCCTCAGATCTAGAGTCCTTTCTGTGCAGCTCTCTCCTCTCTAGTACTCTATCCTGCAAAGACATCTGTCTTGATCTTCCTGGAAATCTCAAGTCACATCTCAACCCAGGGAATCTGCCAGGCTCTGCCTGGGTTCCTCCTCATTGTATTATGACCTAGTTACTCTCTCCTCAGAATAAGCTGGTACAATTGTAGGATTCAACTCTTCGAAAGATCACTGTCCTTTGTTGCCTAGTGTCCAGTGTCTTGAAAACTGTTGCTTCATATATTTTGTCTTTCCGGGGGTGTTATTTCACGCAGGTAGGTAAATGCCCTGTATCTGTTACTCCATCTTGGCCAGCAGTGAAAGTCTGTAAGTTGCAGTCTTGAGTTCAATATTCTCTATGAGACTTCTTAAAGTTTTCTTTGTGCTTTTCTAAACTTGCAATGGGGATTTAAAAAGAAAAAACATGGTGTCAGCCCGTGCATGTTAGTTTTCTTATACAGAATATTGCCATGATTTTTTTTCTCTTTGGAAGAGATGTAAAAAGTCACAGCATTTTGGATTTAGATTGTTTGGGCTTAATAAATAGCACGAACCCAAAATAATTTTGTACAGTGTATTCTGACCAGAAGAATGCTTTAACTTACCAAAATTGTCTTGACAAAGCAGTAGAGCCAATACTATGAATGAGTCTAGGAGGAACTGGGCTATGCTAGACTGGCACCATTGCTTTTGCCAGAAGCTGAGAATTTCATAGAATCCCCTTACCCTAGATGGTTTTAGGGTTAGCCTTTCTCAGTGAGTTGCACTTATATGAGACTTGGAAAGCAGAACAAAAGTAGAGGCCAGTACCCTTCAAAGGATACAAAGATGCTTAGGTGCCTGGTGTGTCGCAGCTTTTCCTCAACCTTTTCCATTCCACATCCAACTCATTCTGTGGACTGTTAGTCATGCTAACCAACTGGGGCTGCAAGCCTACTACTTGGTACTTGGCATCAGATCTACTGAAGCTGTGGCTTCCATAAACCTTTCCACATGTCTCTCTTCACACACCAACTTTGGCAAGTGTATTAGTCTTCTCTCATACTACTGTACAGATACTACCCGAGACTGGGCAGTTAATAAAGGAAAGAGGTTTAATTGACTCACAGTTTCGCAAGGCTGGGGAGGCCTCAGGAAACTTACAATCATGGTGGAAGGGGAAGCAGCCACCTTCTTCACAAGGTATCAGGAGAGAGTGAGTGTGTGAAGGAGGAACTGTCGAACACTTATAAAACCATCAGATCTCATGAGAACTCCCTCACTATCATGAGAACAACATGGAGGAAACTGCCCCCATGGTCCAATCACCTCCCACCAGGTCCCTCCCTTGACATGTGGGGATTATAGGGATTAAAATTCAAGGCGAGATTTGGGTGGGGACACAGCAAAACCATATCAGCAAGCAGACATACAGGGCTTCTTAGGTTTTCCAGCAAGCTCCGACCTGTCTGCCTATGTCACTGCCTCAAGTGAAAGCACTAGGACTGTTCTTCTGATCTTCTGGTACCTGCCTTCCAGACCTTCACTTCCCAGTTTGTCACACATTTTTGTAACCTTGAATCCTATATTAAACTCTTTGTTTCCCTAACACTTGTCTTGCCTCTGCTGTCTTCACTGGATTCACGCTGATATACATGGCAACCACAACCACTACTTCCACCCTGTTTATTATACTTGAGAAGATGGCATTGCAAGACATAGACTTGCTTCTAATGTAGAACACTTTGGTAGGGTCTACGGTGCTGCTGTTGTTGTTACATTCATTTCCATCAAGATACCCTGGGAAGCAACCCAGTATCTTTGTCTATCTTGAGGCCAGAAAAGATAGATACCAAGAGTCAAGCAAGAAGAAACCATTATCTAAAGGCACCTACATTCACTATTAAGGAAACTTTTGGATTGTAACACTGTTTTTTTTTTTGCCAAGGGTTTGAAGTAAAGAGAAATAGCTGGTGTCACTTCTTTCTTTATTCATAACCAAATAAATAACCATCTTTTATTTTTCTCTAAGTGTCTGTTAGAGAATGCACATTTCAGTTGAAATCTGGATAAAACCTAGGGAGAACTTAAATAGGCTGTTTTTAAGTTATTGCAGCCTGTACAAAAATATATTCTATACCTGACTTTAGCCACCTTACGTTCAGAGGTCCCAAGTGACTGATTATTTTGTTGTGACCTATCTATTTGTATATTTGATTTGTGCCTGTTTTTCTTTTATTTCTGTTTAGGTACCCTGTTTGCTATAATGAATTATTCCCTCCCACCATTATGCCTTCCGCTTGAGTCTCTTTCAGAACCAGTCATTTAACTTTAGATAGAAAGATTTTTCAGAATTGTGCTAAACTGGATGAAAATCCCTGGGGTTCTTTTTCAGTTCTGTCTAAATCATGCACTCAGGACGATAGTTGTGAAGGCTGTGTGATCATCTCAGAATCTTTCATTGGTTTCAGCATGGGCTATATATTTTTTAAGTTCATTTGTGTCTTTTGAAGAAATTCTACACACCTGAGACTATGCTACAGATCTTTACTGGAAGTCTCCAGGTAACACTTCTTAATATATTTTCCGCATAAGTAAAATACTTTTGTTCTGTAAACAATGGCAAATGTCATCAGAAGAAATTAGGTTCCAGAAAGAACTTCTAAAACAAGCAAATCATTGTATTACTCTTAAATTTTATTAACATCTTCAGTTTGTGCGTCATTTAAAATGAGACATGTGCTTTAAAAAGCATTCTTATACATAAATAGACCAAGGAACAGTTAGGTAATTGATCCCTAAAACATGCACATCAATTTTATTCAGGTGTGTATAAGAAAGGGAAATAAGCTTTAAACCTTTTTCTTTGGATTAAAAACATTTGGAAATTATTCAGGAATGCCAAATGTTTTTCTGGAACAGATGTATTTTCCAATAGGAAATACTGATGCAATTAAGAGGCATTAGTGTTGATAAAGAAGACTGGAAAAACGTTTGTGCTATGCTAGATAAACAAGAAAAGAGTTCAAGTGGGCCTAAGATCTATGTCAAATAAATGAATCAGGTAGCATGAATTGAAAGGTTTGGATAGAAGAACAGGTACCATGAGCCAGATTATGGGACACATATATGTTCAAGGCACATGACTAGGCTAAACAGGTGGCTAGATTCTACAGACTAATTTGTTCATTCATTGAGAAAGTGTAAAATGTAATATAATTTCAATTTAATGGCACTTATTGATAAATAAATGCAATTGGATCTAGGGTAGAAAATGTCTTCCTTTCAGATACACACCAGAAATGCATACTAGATAACAGATGCCAGTAGCGATATGATTACAGTCCAATTTTCTTACACTGCAGTTAAATGGTTGTTAAACTGTTTTGTATTAATTCTATATGTCATACTGTCTATTCTCTTTCAAGTTTCACAAAAGAATTCATCAAAACTAGGCAGATTTAAGAATTTATTTAACCACAAAGAATGCTCAAAACTATTATTCAACAGGAATCAAGCCCAAACCCTGGAGTTGACTGCTGACCGTATTCGGTTTGGGCTTTTCCCAGAATGGAAACACTTTTCCCACACTACCTCCCTTTGCACAGCTAAAATGCTAGCATATCCACTGTGGTTCCCTTCTTTTTCTTTGGCAAGTCAGAGGAATTTACCTCCCCACCCCCTCTACTACATATTCTATTAGCGACACGATTGCCCTAAATATTCACAGAAGAAAAAGGAACACATTTAAAAAACTGCAACTTTCAACAATATTTAAACCTTCATCTTCTCAAATCAACTGCAATGGGAAAACAGAAGATATCAAGCTATCCACTGTATTGTGAATGATCAGCACACTGAACTTTATTCCTGAAAGTCAATATTAGGAGGACAAGGATAATTCTGTGTGCTTCTAATGGGCTAGCAAAATGTTCCCCATCTAACTGAAATAAGAATGTTTCATACTTTACTTGTCTGAGCTCTTAGAAGGAAGCAGCACCAACATCATTACAATTCCCCAAATAACAACTATTATCCATTTATATTGTTTTGAAGCACCTAAAACTTCTCAATAACAAAAGACATTAAGATGAGATGTTAGCAATACTGTCTCTTGAATACTTTTGTGTGCACATACAAAGTTTCTCCATAGTTTTAGTAGATAGCTCATAAGACTAGCGGCGACAGCTTTGAGCAATTAAAAACAAAAATGTTTCTCTAAATAGATGACACTAGTTAACAAACCAAAGAAATAAACAAAAGCCTTTTTAAGGCTACTGCTGCAATGAATGGTTCAATCTGAAGTTCACAGGAATAAACTGGTAGATAAGACAAAGATAAACCTGGAGGCATGGAACAAGATTTTAAAAAGTGAGAAGAGGGTTGAAGAGACTGGCAGATACCATCTGTCAGTATGTGAAAGGCTTGAGTCACATGGATTGCTTTTAACTCCTTGTTCTCTCATATCCTTGGTTAATGGTAACTTCTTCTTTCCTATTTCTTCACACAGCTTGGCCATGTAAATCCACCACAGAGAGGTGAAACAATGATATAGATGAACACCTGGAGGGACGAGGAGAGCAATTTTATTTTCTTGAATCAATCATATTATTCTAAATAATATATATAGGAAAGTAGAGCCTTATTAAGAAATACTTCTGATTCCATTAGAGTAGCAGTTATGTAGTAATGGAACACACTAAACAAGTATTTTCCAAGACAGAAGTGTAGTTAACATTGTCGTTTTTGGTATAACTCACACCCACTTGAACTCTAGCGTTTCCTTCAGTGGGAGAGAAAGCAGTGGGGTTGTTGCTCTTCACTGGTAACTCGGCAGAATCAAGGCTAAATGAGCAACTCATACTGATGTGTCATTAACAAGTCATAAAAAAATCACAAATAACCATAATTCTCCTGAAGTATGGTTTCATTAATTATATTTTTAGGTTTTGCACATGAATTTTATTTTTGATTAATATAAGAATATATTTTAAAAGCCTGAGTAGAAGGCTTTCATCTATATCACTTATGAGCAAGAACACTGCTACGAACTGTTCAGTGGATAATGACACAATAATTACGATGACCAAAACAATGAAAAGCAGATGATGTAAGTAACACTGCAAAAATACTGGTGCTATTACAGATGTGTTTGCTTTTTAATTCTAGATTATAATTTTAAATTATATTATAAAAGTCACTACTTGTTCACATTATTATATCACAAAAAATAGATTTTAAACATTAGGTTCACTGCATTAGTCACTTTATTTTATTTATTTTTTATTTTTTATTTTTGTAGAGATAGGGTGTCACTATGTTGACCAGGCTGGCTTCAAACTCTTGGCCTCAAGCAATCCTCCTGCCTCAGCTTCCCAAAGTGCTGGGATTACAGGCATAAGCCCCTATGCCTGGCTTTATTTTGCTTTAAATTACAACTTTTTGAGATCTTTAAGTGACTGATTTCATTATTTGCAAGCTTGGAAAAGGATGCATTGATGAATTGCATGCCCTTTGCTCCAAAAGTGAGCAAAGCATTTTGCCTTGTAGGGAACTATAAATATTGCCAGGGTTGGGGGGCAGATTACAGCAAATTCTGTTTATTAATGAATAGGTTGAACTTCTGACATCATATTCACACATACACACACATACTCACACATACACATGCCACAAATGTAAAGTTTACCAACTTGATGTAAAGTTGACTATTTGTCACAGCTGTAATATAAGGATTTTTCAAGCTGAAGTACATCTCGTTAGGTGACAACACCTTTTCGCAAAGATTGATATTGCATTTAGAGCTGTGCTCTGCATGTAATAAGTAATCAGTAAATATATTCTGAATTTAACAATTCAGCTGCACAAATCAACCTAAACTCCCAGACCAAATAATAAGTAAGAAGCTAAGCTCAGGAGCCTAAAATGTGATATTAGAAAGAGAAACCTGAGCAAGGAACCATTCAAGGCCATGACAATTACTTCCAGTATAAAATCTACAGATCTATGACTGCTCTTCTCTTTTAGATAAATCCAGCTGTCTAAGGCAGAGGACCCTCAAGCTGTGGTAGAGGAGAAGCAGGGTCAGAGTTATCTGCTTGGAGGTAACTTTGGGCTTCTGGACATGACTGGAGGATGGGGAGGAAAGGCAACTTTATCTGACCATGAACAGGGTAAAGCACCCCCCACCTGTTAGCAATAGTTTTTAAAGTTGTGGTTTAGGACCTCTTTACACACTCAAAAATTACTGAGGACTCCAAAGAGTTCTTGTTTAAGGGGGATTATAATTATCAGCATTTGCCATATTAGAAATTAAAACTTTAAAAATACATAATTAATTTAAAAATAAAAACAATAAACCCATTACATATAAACCAGAAATGTCTTTATTTAAAATAACTACATTTCTGTGAGGTCAGTTTTATAGATCTCTTCCTATTGAGAATATATAATAATTCTCAATAGGAAGGAGGGGTTTAAGTAGAGATATTTCATAGTGACTTCATAGGAAAGCCACTGCCTGGTCATGTGTTTCACTATTAAAAGACATATGTAGCTCATTTCAGAGTGTTAATCATTGAGAAATAATTCTAGTACCTAATTTCTTAGAGATTGAAAAATAAAGCCATACACTAAAAGGACAAAAACTTACAATTGATACGATGATGATGATAATAGTGAGCTTGAGGTTCTTCATACACATGGCTCGAGCAAGATTTCTGCTGGTAGTTTTGAAGGTGACAGACTAGAAAAGAGGCGAGAATTGTTTAACCCCTGGCACTGACTACATGAATGATTTGCAGTAACAACCTGAGAACATTTTACTTCCATTAATTCCATTTAAGTCCAATGACCTCTCTTTACAAGTAGAGACTGGCCATTCATACTCAATAGTTGCCAAAAGCAAGACTCTGCCAGGCCTATCATAAGCAGTATGAGCCCAATGAAAACGCTTCCCTCTTTTTTCTTCTCCACTGCAGCAATGCACATGATGTTGAGCACCAGAAGTGGTTCTTCCCGCTAGTGGAAAAGAATTTTCCTCTCTATACTTCCAATAAGAAAGGCTCTTTTAAAGCCAGCTGACTGCAAGCACATTCGCCTATTCTGCCCCGTATAATTCCGGGGCTTTGAGCCATAAAAACCTGTTTGATTTCTGTAGGAAGATATGTATTTACTTTTGTGAGGGCCAAAACCCATAGAACTTCATTCCTTCTGCTATCCATTTTCTTTTGCATCATCAATTTCTCAGTATCTACTGAACAATTCCCACCAGGACACAAGGAGTTTAAAACAAAATGGCAAACAACCAACCAACAAAACTCCCTAATAATCCAGCAATCCACTCTGGTATGGTCCCACAGATGTATGCAAATTCACCAAAAGACATATAAAAAAATGTTTTGGACAGCACTACTTTTCATACCTTAAACTGGAAACCACCCAAATGCCCATCAACTGTGCAATGCATAAATTACAGGAGAGTCATAACATGGAATACAATACAGTAATGACAATTCACAATCTACTACTACATTTATACAATTTACCACAGATGAATCTCACAAACATCATTTTGAGCAATAGAAACTTGACATAAACAGAATACCTGCTATATTTTATTATTTATCTTGAGACAGGGTCTTGCTCTGTCGCCCAAGCTGGAGTGCAGTGGCACAATTACGACTCACTGCAGCTTTGACCTCCTGGGCTCAAACGATCCTCCCACCTCAGCCTCCTGAGTAGCTGGGACTATAGGTGTGTGCCACCACTCTCGGCCCCTGCTATGTTTTATTAATCTATGTGGAGAAATCAGGACAGTGGCCACCTTTGGAGAAGAGTAGTGACTAAAAGAAGGGAGAAGGGAGCTTCTGGGGTACTGTTCGTGCTCTAGTTCTTAATCTGGGTGTTGGTTCTACATGGTATGTTTACTTTGTGAAAACACAACAAGTTGTATGCTTACAGTTGATGCACTTTATGTATATTATACTTCACATATTGGTTTTAAAAAATCCACTCCCTTAACCATAGATTCATCTCCAACCACATACTCCACAAAGTCTCTGCAGTAGAACAACTGACAGGGGCACCAGTCTTTGGGTTTCACTTCATGAAGACTGCACAGGATGCCACCTGGAGGCACATACCAAAACTGATTACATCTAGAGCTAAATATATATGTTGAATAGAATATATGCATTGACTAGAACTTTTGAGAAGAAACAGCAGTTAAAGTGAGGAGACAAAAAAAGCAATGGGGACAAACAGTCCTTAATGGAACAAAGTTAATATGGGAAACAAGATAGAATAACAGTAATAAAAAAATTTCTAATAAGTATCCTCAGATACAAGACATAATTGAACTAATTTTAAACAAAGTCATCAGAGGACATAAAAAATTAGATAACATGACAACATTCCAAAAACTATATTTTAATAAAATGGCATAATTTTTTAAAAGCAGAACATAAATGAGCAAAAGCAGCTTCTGCAGTAACAATTCAAAAAATTTGTTCTGAAAACAGCAAAATGTCTAGGTTGTAAATCATGAAAGAAGATGTAAGATACACGGAAAACTGATCAAGCAAATCCAGGATCAATTTATACGATCAACAGATATTTAACATGTGCTTATTATGTGCCTGGTACTGATTTACACACCTATTAGCAGTCACAGGAGAGAATACAGCCAAAAGAGAAGGATCAATAATCAAGGGACTAATTGAAGAAAATATCCCCCAAATAAGACAGACTTGAATCTTCAGACTAAAAGGACCTACCCACCATGTGGCAAGAATATTGAAAAAAGGAAAATGTTACACTTTTAGTAACATTTCAGACCTCCAAGCTTTTGTTTCTACTCTAATTTTATTTTTTTCTGCCTTGAAGTATAATTGGCAAATAAAAATGGTATATATTCAAGGTATACAATGTGATATTCTGATAAATGTACACATTGTGAAATTATTACCACAATCAAGCTAAGTAAAATATCCATCACCTCACATAGTTACTTTTTTGGGTATGTGGTGAGAATGCTTAAGATCTATTCTTATAGCATATTTCAAATATTCAATACATTATTATTAACTATAGTTGCCATGCTGTATGTCCGGTATCCAGAACTTATTCATCTTACAACTGTAAGTTCATACACTTTGACCAACATCTCTCCAGGTCTCCCACCCACTGTCAACCACTGTTTTACTCTCTGCTTTTATGAACTGAACATTTTTTTTAGATTCCATATATAAGTGAAATCATACAGTATTTATCTATCTGTGTCTAGTATATTTCACTTAATATAATGTCTTCTAGTTTCATCCACATTTTAGAATTTTTTTTTCTATTCTGTGAAAAATGCCATTGGAATTTCAATAGGGATTGTGTTGAATCTGTGTATTGCTTCAGGCAGTATGAACATTTTAATAATATTGATTCTTCCAATCCATAAACATAAGGTATCTTTCCATTGATTTGTGTCTTCTTGAATTTCTTTCATCAATGTTTTATAATTTTCAGTGTGCACATTATTACATCCTTGGTTAAATTTATTCCTAACTATTGTACTCTTTTTGATGCTATCATAAATGGGATTTTTAAAAAATTTCCTTTGATTCCTGTTCCAAGATGGCCAAATAGGAACAGCTCCAGTCTACAGCCCCCAGCGTGAGCAACGCACAAGACGGATGATTTCTGCATTTCCAACTGAGATACCGGCTTCATCTCACTGGGGCTTGTTGGACAGTGGGTGCAGCCCACCGAGCGTGAGCCGAAGCAGGGCGAGACATCGCCTCACCCGGGAAGCACAAGGGGTCAGGGAATTCCCTTTCCTAGCCAAGGGAAGCTGTGACAGATGGCACCTGGAAAATCGGATCACTCCCACCCTAATACTGCGCTTTTCCAACGGTCTTAGCAAACAGCACACCAGGAGATTATATCCCGCGCCTGGCTCAGAGGGTCCCACACCCACGGAGCCTCACTCATTGCTAGCACAGCAGTCTGAGATTGAACTGCAAGGTGGCAGCGAGGCTGGAGGAGAGGCGCCCGCCATTGCTGAGGCTTGAGTAGGTAAACAAAGCTGCCGGGAAGCTCGAACTGGGTGGAGCCCACCACAGCTCAAGGAGGCCTGCCTGCCTCTGTAGACTCCACCTCTGGGGGCAGGGCATAGCTGAACAAAAGGCAGCAGAAACCTCTGCAAACTTAAATGTCCCTGTCTGACAGCTTTGAAGAGAGTAGTGGTTCTCCCAGGACAGAGTTTGAGATCTGAGAACAGACAGACTGCCTCCTCAAGTGGGTCCCTGACCCCCAAGCAGCCTAACTGGGAGGTACCCCCCAGTAGAGGCAGACTGACACCTCACACGGCGGGTACCCCTCTGAGACAAAACCTCCAGAGGAACGATCAGAGAGCAACATTTGGTGTTCAGCAATATTCACTGTTCTGCAGCCTCCGCTGCTGATACCCAGGCAAACAGGGTCTGGAGTGGCCCTCCGACAAACTCCAACAGACCTGCAGCTGAGGGTCCTGACTGTTAGAAGGAAAACTAACAAACAGAAAGGACATCCACACAAAAACCCCATCTGTATGTCACCATCATCAAAGACCAAAGGTAGATAAAACCACAAAGATAGGGAAAAAAACAGCAGAAAAACTGAAAATTCTAAAAATCAGAGCGCCTCTCCTCCTCCAAAGGAACGCAGCTCCTCACCAGCAACAGAACAAAGGTAGACAGAGAATGACTTTGACGAGTTGAGAAAAGAAGGCTTCAGATGATCAAACTTCTCTGAGCTAAAGGAGGAAGTTTGAACCCAGCACAAAGAAGCTAAAAACCTTGAAAAAAAGATTAGATGAATGGCTAACTAGAATAACCAATGTAGACAAGTCCTTAAATGACCTGATGGAGCTGAAAACCATGGCACGAGAACTAAGTGACGAATGCACAAACTTCAGTAGCCGATTCGAACAACTGGAAGAAAGGGTATCCGTGATTGAAGACCAAATGAATGAAATGAAGCGAGAAGAGAAGTTTAGAGAAAAAAGAATAAAAAGAAACGAAAAAAGCCTCCAAGAAATATGGGACTATGTGAAAAGACCAAATCTACGTCTGATTGGTGTACCTGAAAGTGATGGGGAGAATGGAACCAAGTTGGAAAACACTCTGCAGGATATTAGCCAGGAGAACTTCCCCAACCTAGCAAGGCAGGCCAACATTCAAATTCAGGAAATACAGAGAACGCCACAAAGATACTCCTCGAGAAGAGCAACTCCGAGACACATAATTGTCAGATCACCAAAGTTGAAATGAAGGAAAAAATGTTAAGGGCAGCCAGAGAGAAAGGTCGGGTTACCCACAAAGGGAAGCCCATCAGACTAACAGCTGATCTCTCGGCAGAAACTCTACAAGCCAGAAGAGAGTGGGGGCCAATATCCAAAATTCTTAAAGAAAAGAATTTTCAACCCAGAATTTCATATCCAGCCAAACTAAGCTTCATAGGTGAAGGAAAAATAAAATCCTTTACAGACAAGCAAATGCTGAGAGATTTTGTCACCACCAGGCCTGCCTTACAAGAGCTCCTGAAGGAAGCACTAAACATGGAAAGGAACAACACATACCAGCCACTGGAAAAACATGCCAAATTGTAAAGACCATCAAGGCTAGGAAGAAACTGCATCAACTAACGAGCAAAATAACCAGCTAGCATCATAATGACAGGATCAAATTCACACATAACAGTATCAACCTTAAATGTAAATGGGCTAAATGCTCCAATTAAAAGACACAGACTGGCAAATTAGATAAAGAGTAAAGACCCATCAGTGTGCTGTATTCAGGAAATCCATCTCATGTGCAGAGACACACATAGGCTCAAAATAAAGGGATGCAGGAAGATCTACCAAGCAAATGGAAAACAAAAAAAGGCAGGGGTTGCAATCCTAGTCTCTGATAAAACAGACTTTAAACTAGCAAGGATCAAAAGAGACAAAGAAGGCCATTACATAATGGTAAAGGGATCAATTCAACAAGAAGAGCTAACTATCCTAAATATTTATGCACCCAATACAGGAGGACCCAGATTCATAAAGCAAGTCCTTAGAGACCTACAAAGAGACTTAGACTCCCATACAATAATAAAGGGAGACTTTAACACCCCACTGTCAACATTAGACAGATCAATGAGACAGAAAGTTAACAAGGATATCCAGGAATTGAACTCAGCTCTGCACCAAGCGGACCTAACAGACATCTACAGAACTCTCCACCCCAAATCAACAGAATATACATTCTTCTCAGCACCACATCGCACTTATTCCAAAATTGACCACATAGTTGGAAGTAAAGCACTCCTCAGCAAATGTAAAAGAACAGAAATTATAACAAACTGTCTCTCAGACCACAGTGAAATCAAATTAGAACTCAAGATTAAGAAACTCACTCAAAACTGCTCAGCTACATGGAGACTGAACAACCTGCTCCTGAATGACTACTGGGTACATAACGAAATGAATGCAGAAATAAACATGTTCTTTGAAACCAATGAGAACAAAGACACAACATACCAGAATCTCTGGGACACATTTAAAGCAGTGTGTAGAGGGAAATTTATAGCACTAAATGCCCACAAAAGGAAGCAGGAAAGATATAAAATTGACACCCTAACATCACAATTAAAAGAACTAGAGGAACAAGAGCAAACACATTCAAAAGCTAGCAGAAGGCAAGAAATAACTCAGAGCAGAACTGAACGAGATAGAGACACAAAAAACCCTTCAAGAAATCAATGAATCCAGGAGCTGGTTTTTTGAAAAGATCAACAAAATTGATAGACTGCTAGCAAGACTAATAAAGAAGAAAAGAGAGAAGAATCAAATAGACGCAATAAAAAATGATAAAAGGGGATATCACCACCGATCCCACAGAAATACAAACTACCATCAGAGAATACTACAAACACCTCTACACAAATAAACTAGAAAATCTAGAAGAAATGGATAAATTCCTTGACACATACACCCTCCCAAGACTAAACCAGGAAGAAGTTGAATCTCTGAATAGACCAATAACAGGCTCTGAAATTGAGGCAATAATTAATAGCTTACCAACCAAAAAAAGTCCAGGACCAGATGGATTCACAGCCGAATTCTACCAGAGGTACAAGGAGGAGCTGACACCATTCCTTCTGAAACTATTCCTATCAATAGAAAATGAGGGAATCCTCCCTAACTCATTTTATGAGGCCAGCATCATCCTGATACCTAAGCCTGGCAGAGACACAACACAAAAAGAGAATTTTAGACCAATATCCCTAATGAACACCGACGCAAAAATCTTCAATAAAATACTGGCAAATCGAATCCAGCAGCACATCAAAAAGCTTATCTACCATGATCAAGTGGGCTTCATCCCTGGGATGCAAGGCTGGTTCAACATATACAAATCAATAAATGTAATCCAGCATATAAACAGAACCAAAGACAAAAAACACACGATCATCTCAATAGATGCAGAAAAGGCCTTTGACAAAATTCAACAGCCCTTCATGCTAAAAACTCTCAATAAATTAGGTATTGATGGGACGTATTTCAAAATAATAAGAGCTATGACAAACCCACAGCCAATATCATACTGAATGGGCAAAAACCGGAAGCATTCCCTTTGAAAACTGGCACAAGATAGGGATGCCCTCTCTCACCACTCCTATTCAACATAGTGTTGGAAGTTCTGGCCAGGGCAATCAGGCAAGAGAAAGACATAAAGGGTATTCAATTATGAAAAGAGGAAATCAAATTGTCCCTGTTTGCAGATGACATGATTGTATATCTAGAAAACCCCATTATCTCAGCCCAAAATCTCCTTAAGCTGATAAGCAACTCCAGCAAAGTCTTGATACGAAATCAACGTGCAAAAATCACAAGCATTCTTATACACCAATAACAGACAAACAGAGAGCCAAATCATGAGTGAACTCCCATTCACAATTGCTTCAAAGAGAATAAAATACCTAGGAATCCAACTTACAAGGGATGTGAAGGACCTCTTCAAGGAGAACTACAAACTACTGTTCAGCGAAATAAAAGAGGACACAAACAAATGGAAGAACATTCCATGCTCATGGATAGGAAGAATCAATATCATGAAAATGGCCATACTGCCCAAGGTAATTTATAGATTCAATGCCATCCCTATCAAGCTACCAATGACTTTCTTCACTGAATTGGAAAAAACTACTTTAAAGTTCATGTGGAGCCAAAAAAGAGCCTGCATTGCCAAGTCAATCCTAAGCCAAAAGAACAAAACTGTAGGCATCATGCTACCTGACTTCAAACTATACTGCAAGGCTACAGTAACCAAAACAGCATGGTACTGGTACCAAAACAGAGATATAGACCAATGGAACAGAACAGAGCCCTCAGAAGTAATACCACACATCTACAACCATGTCATCTTTGACAAACCTGACAAAAAGAAGAAATGGGGAAAGGATTCCCTATTTAACAAATGGTGCTGGGAAAACTGGCTAGCCATATGGAGAAAGCTGAAACTGGATCCCTTCCTTACACCTTATACTAAAATTAATTCAAGATGGATTAAAGACTTAAATGTTAGACCTAAAACCATAAAAACCCTAGAAGAAAACCTAGGTAATACCATTGAGGACATAGGCATGGGCATGGACTTCATATCTAAAACACCAAAAACAATGGAAACAAAAGCCAAAATTGACAAATGGGATCTAATTAAGGAGCTTCTGCACAGCAAAAGAAACTACCATCAGAGTGAACAGGCAACCTACAGAGTGGGAGAAAAGTTTTGCAATCTACTCATCTGACAAAGGGCTAATATCCAGATTCTACAAAGAACTCAAACAAATTTATAAGAAAAGAAACAAACAACCCCATCAACAAGTGGGTGAAGGATATGAACAGACACTTCTCAAAAGATGGCATTTATGCAGCCAACAGACACATGAAAAAATGCTCATCATCACTGGCCATCAGAGAAATGCAAATCAAAACCACAATGAGATACCATCTCACACCAGTTAGAATGGCGATCATTAAAAAGTCAGGAAACAACAGGTGCTGGAGAGGATGTGGAGAAACAGGAACACTTTTACACTGTTGGTGGGACTGTAAACTAGTTCAACCACTGTGAAAGACAGTGTGGCGATTCCTCAGGGATCTAGAAGTAGAAATACCATTTGACCCAGCCATCCCATTACTGGGTATATACCCAAAGGATTATAAATCATGCTGCTATCAAGACACATGCACACGTATGTTTATCGTGGCACTATTCACAATAGCAAAGACCTGGAACCAACCCAAATGTCCAACAATGATAGACTGGATTCAGAAAATGTGGCACGTATACACTATGAAATACTACGCAGCCGTAAAAAAGGATGAGTTCATGTCCTTTGCAGGGACATGGATGAAGCTGGAAACCATCATTCTCAGCAAACTACTGCAAGGACAAAAAACCAAACACCACATGTTCTCACTCATAGGTGGGAACTGAACAATGAGAACACCTGGACACAGGAAGGGGAACATCACACACCGGGGCCTGTTGTGGGGTGGTGGGAGGGGGAAGGGATAGCATTTGGAGATATACCTAATGTAAATGATGAGTTAATGGGTGCAGCACACCAACACGGCACATGTTTACATATGTAACAAACCTGCACGTTGTGCACATGTACCCTAGAACTTAAAGTATAATAAAAAATATATATATTTATAAAAAAAATAAAAAATAAAAAAGAATTAAAAGAAAAAAAATTTTTTTTTTTTTGAGATGGAGGTCACCCCTCTGTAACCCAGCCTGGAATGCAGTGGTGTGATCATAGCTCTCTGCAGCTCTGAATTCCTGGGTTCAAGCAATTCTCCATCTTCAGCCCCCCAAGTAGCTAGGACTACAGGTGCACCCAATCACACCTATTTTTTTTTTTTTTTTGTTTGGTTTTGTAGAGATAAGGTCTCACTTTGTTGCCTAGGCTGGTCTTGAACTTCTGGATTTTAGAGATCTTTCAGCTTTGGCCTCCCAAAGTATAAGTATTAGGATTATAGGTATGAGCTACCATGCACAGCCTTGATTTATTTTTCTAATAGACTGTAATCTAGATAGTAACAATGTGATTTAGGGTGGGGAAAAGACACTCCAGAAAAAATGACTATGTGATTTAGGAGGCTTTGGATCACACCAAGTGGAGCTGGAGACTGAGATCAAGCCAGAGGGCAGTCAGTCAATAATGCCTACATAATGAAACCCCAATAAAAACTCTGAACACTAAGGCTTGGGTAAGCTTTCCTGTTAGGCAATGCTCTGCACATTTTGTCACACACTGATGCCAAGAGAGCAACGTGTCCTGACTCCATGGGAAGAGGACAACAAAAGCTCTACATTTGGTATCTTCCCAAACTCCACCCTATGTACTTTTTCCCTTGGCTGGTCTTACTATGTATAATTTGCCTGTAATAAACCATAACTGTGAGTATAATAGTGCTCACAGAGTATTATAAATCCTTCTAATGAACTATCAAATCTGAGGGTGGTTTGGGGAATCCCCAAACTTGCAGTTGGTGCCATTAAGTGAGGGTGGACTTGAGTAAACTGTATAGTTGTTCATGCCATGGCTCCAGCGTGAGTGGATGGCTTGACTGAGATCCTGTTGCTCTGCTCCTCTGTGTTGCCAATCAATTTGGCCTTGAGACCTCACTAAGTTCTTTAAGCCATGGTACCTTTTTTACGTCTTTCCATCCAACACGGGACAAGAATATCTGGGAATAAGCCTCCCCAGTGACATGGGATAAACTTATATCTAAAATGCTGATCATCAATGCTTTCAGAAGAGAAAAATTTTGATCAAAAGGGGGAAATGAGAAAAGAAAAACAGCTCAGAGCAGCCTGAGCTATGTGAGGTATATAAAATTTATCAGGCCCAGAAGACATGAGTATGGGGACTTCAGTCACACCCCCCACACAATGCCCAGGGGGGGCAACTGTTTAAAGGCAATTTGTTGCTGACTAGCTGCCTCAACCATTATCTTCATGTTCCTGGAATTTGTGATACAAAGGACAATGTATAGCAATCAATAGCTTATGCTATTTTAATGTAAATTCTTGGTAAACAAATTAGATACTGCCTCTCCTTTTTTCCTTTAAAAACCTACTTGTAACTGCTGCTAATTAGAACATATATTCAGAGCAACTTGAATCTATGCTCCTGGGTTGCAGTCCTCAAACTTGGCCCAAATAAAAAACGTGTAAACTGTATAGTTGTTGAACTTCTCAGATGCCTAAATTCTTCATGCACTGAAATGCAGCAATATTCAGAGAATTTTGAGAGAAAATGATCTTAACCCTAGAATTCTACACCAGTCAAAAAATTGTTCAAATATGAGACCAAAATAACACTTTTATTCTTGAAGGGATTATCATCCACAAACTCATATGAAGAAAATGTGTGAGGATATACTACAAACAAAGACTAATTCACAATAAATAATTCAAGAAAGAGAAAGATGATGTAGATGAGAAAAAGCAGTGAGGAATGAAACTAATAAATCCGAACATAGCTGTGTGATTCAACAGGTTGTAATGGAGATTCCTCCACCACTCTCAGGTCAACATCTGAACACTGACAAACCATCTGTTTAAAACAAGTTCACCTATAAAGAACAATTGTTAAATGTTGCCCTAAGACATGCCTGTGTCCTAATCCCTATGAATGTGACATATGTGATATTATCTGGAAAAGGGGTCTTTACAGATGTGATTATGTCAAGAATCTTGAGATGAAGAGAGTATCCTGGATTATCCATGTGAGCCCTAAATGACATCACAAATGTCTCTATAGGAGGAAAGTAGATGGAGGCTTGACACACATGCAAAGGAGAAGGTAATGTGAACATGGAGGCAGAGACTACAATGATATAGCCACAAGCCAAGAAATACTGGCAGCCACCTGAAGCTGGAAGAGGCATGGAACAGATCCTCTCCTAGAGCCTCTGGAAGGAGTGTAGCCTTGCTAACACCTTAATTTCAGCCCAGTTAAACTGATTTTGAACTTCTGAAATCCAGTAGTGGGAGAAAATAAATTTTTGTTGTTTTAAGCCACCAAGTTTGTGATAATTTGTGATAGCAGCCACAGAAAGCTAATAACCATATATAAAAAGTTGAAAACCAAATATAAAAAGACACTCTTAAAACCAGCCAAAGGGGGCCAGGTGTGGTGGCTCATGCCTGTATTTCCAGCACTTTGGGAAGCCAAGGTGGGAGGATCACTTGAGCCTGGGCATTTGAGACCAGCCAGAGCAACATAGGGAGACCCGTCTCTAAGAAAAATTTAAAAAATTAGCTAAGTGTGATGGCGCATGCCTGTGGTCCTCCTACTTGGGAGGCTGAGGCAAGGCAGGAGGATCACTTGAGCCTGGGAGGTGGAGGCAACAGTAAGCTGTGATCGTGCCACTGCACTCCAGCCTGGGTGAGAGAGAGAGACTCTGTCTTAAAAAAACAAAACAAACAACAACAACAACAACAACAAAAGCCAAAGGTGGGGTAAGAATCATTATTTTTCAAGTAAGACTAAGAGAAATGACAATCTCTTTGAGAACATATGAAAGCCAAAGAAAAATGGAATGGCATTTTTAAAGCACTCACTTTAAAAAAAAAAAAAAACTGCCATTGTGAAAAACTAAAAAACTCTATGCAAAGAAAGTATTCTTTAAAAAAATGATGAAACAGATTTTCAGACAAAAGCTTAGAGAATCTCTCATCAGTAGATCAACATTATAAGAAACAATAAAAGAACTTCTTCAGTTTGAAGCAAACAAAATCGTACACTGAAACAGAACTGCAGGAAAACAATAAAGGACACAGAAAGAATTACAGGCATATCCCCTTTTATTGTACTTCACATTATCGCACTTCATGGATTTTTTTTTTTTTTTTTTTTTTTTTTTGGCAAATCGAAGGTCTGTGGAAACCCCATGATGAGACTATCAGCACCATTTTTCTGGTTTGTTTTTTTTTTTTCCTGCTTGGCCTGCACTTTTTGTTTCTTTTTATTATTATTATTATACTTTAAGTTCTAGGATACATGTGCAGAACGTGCAGGTTTCTTACACAGGTATACACGTGACATGGTGGTTTGCTGTACCCATCAACCCGTTATCTACATTAGGTATTTCTCCTAATGCTATCCCTCCCCTAGCCCCCACTCCCCGACAGGCCCCAGTGTGTGATGTTCCCCTCACTGTGTCCATGTGTTCTCATTGTTCAACTCCCACTTAGGAGTGAGAACATGCGGCAGCACCATTTTTCTAACAGCATGTGGTCGCCTCATGTCTGTGTTTTGGTAATTCTTATAACATTTCAAACTTTTCATTATTTTCATTCTATCTGTTATGACGATCTGTGACCTCTGATGTTACTATTGTGATTGTTTTCGGGTGCCATAAACTGTGCCTATATAAGGTGACGGAGCTAACGGATAAATGTTGTGTGTTCTAACTGTTCACTGACCAGCTATTCTCTTATCTCTCTCCCTCTCAGGCCTCCCTATTTGCCGAGACACAATATTGAAATTTGGCCAATTAATAACCTTACAATGGCATCTATGTATTCAAGTGAAAGGAAAAGTCACACATCCCTTGCTTTAAATCAAAAGATAAAAATAATTAAGCTTAGTGAGTAAGGCATGTCGAAAGCTGAGATGGGCCTAAAGCTAGGTGTCCTGTGACAAACAGTTAACCAAATTGTGAATGCAAAGAACAGTTCTTGAAGGAAATCAGGAGTGCTACTCCAGTGAACACACATATAAGAAAGCAAAACAGACTTACTGCTGATATGGAGAATGTTTTAGGGGTCTGGATAGAAGATTAAACCAGCTATAACATTTCCTTAGGCCAAAGCCTAATACAGAGCAAGGCCCTAACTCTTCAACTCTATGAAGGCTGAGAGAGGCGAGGAAGGTGCAGAAGAAAAGTTTAAAGCTAGCAGAAGTTGGTTCATGAGGTTTAAGGAAAGAAGCCATCTCTATAACATAAAAGTACAAGGTGAAGCAGCAAGTGCTGAGAGAGAAGCCACAGTAAGTTATCCAGGAGACCTAGCTAAGATCATTGATAAAGGTGGCTATACTAAACAACAGATTTTTCAATGTAAACAAAACACCCTTCTTTTGGAAGAAGATGCCATCTAGGACTTTCATAGAGAGAAGCCAATGACTGGCTTCAAAGCTTCAAAGGATAAGCTGACTTTTATTAGGGACCAATGCAGCTGATGACTTTAAGCTGAAGCCAATGGTAATTTACCATTCTGAAAATCTAGGGCCCGTAAGAATTATGCTAAATATACTCTGCCTGTGCTCTTGAAATGGAACAACAAACCTGGAAGATAGCACATCTGTTTACAGGATGGTGTACAGAAGATCTGTGGAGATCTGCTGCTCAAAAAGAAAAGATTCCTTTCAAAGTATTACTGCTCATTGACAATGAACCTAGTCACTCAAGAGCTCTGATGGAGACTTACGAGGAGATAAATGTCGTTTTCATGCCTGTGTGAAAGGAAAATAAATCTTGGGGCCTCCAAATCACTAAGCTAAAGGGAAAAGTCAAGCTGGGAACTGCTTATGGCCAACCTGCCTCCCATTCTATTCAAAGTCACCCCTCTGCTCACTGAGATAAATGCGTATCTGATTGCCTCCTTTGGAGAGGCTCATCAGAAACTCAAAAGAATAGAACCATTTGTCTCTTATCTATCTAAGACCTGGAGGCCCCCTCCCCACTTCGAGCCTTCCCGCCTTTGCTTCGAGTTGTTCCGCCTTTCCAGGCCAAACCAATGTTCATCTTGCATATGTTGACTGATGTCTCACGTCTCCCTAGAATGTATAAAACCAAACTGGGCTTTGACCACCTTGGGCACATGTTGTCAGGACCTCCTGAGGCTGTGTCACGGGTGTGCGCTCTCAACTTTGGCAAAATAAACTTTCTAAATCAACTGAGACCTGTCTCAGACTTTTGGGGTTCACACCTGCTAATACAACATCCATTCTGCTGCCCATGAATCAAGGAGTGATTTCAACTTTCAAGTCTTATTATTTAAGAAAAACATTTAGTATAGCTGCCATAGATAATGATTCCTCTGATGGATCTGGGCAAAGTAAACTGAAGACCTTCTAGAAAGGATTCACCATTCTAGATGCCATTAAGAACATTCATGATTCGTGGGAGGAAGTCAAAATATAAACATTAACAGGTGTTTGGAAGAAACTGATTACAACCCTCACAAATTACTTTGAGGGGTTCAAGACTTCAGTGGAGTGAGTAACTGCAGATGTGGTAGAAATAGAAGAGAACTAGAATTAGAACTGGAGCCTGAAGACATGACTGAACTGCTGCAGTTTCTTGATAAAACTTTAATGAATGAGGAGTTGTTTCTTATGCATGGGCAAGGAAAGTGGTTTCTTGAGATGGCAACTATTCCTGGTGAAGATGCTGTGAACACTGTTGAAATGACAACAAAAGATTTAGAAAATTACATCAACTCAGCTGATAAAGCAGTAGCAGGGTTTGAGAGGATTGACTCCAATTTTGAAAGAAGTTCTATTGCCAGTAAATTGCTATCAAATAGCAACACATGCTACAGAGAAATCTTTTGTGAAAGAGTCAATCAATGTGGTAAACTTCACTGTTGTCTTATTTTAAGAAATTGCCACAGCCACCACAACCTTCAGCAACCACCAGCCTGATCGATCAGTCAGTAGCCATCAACATCAAGGTGAGACCCTCCACCAGCAAAAAGATTAAGGCTCACTGAAGGCTCAGGTGATTGTTAGCATTTTTTTTTAAGCAATAAACTATTATGCTTAGTGAAATAAGCCAGACACAAAAGGGCAAATTTTGTATGATCCCACTTATATGACATATCTAGAACAGGCAAATTCAGAGACAGAAAGTAGATTAGAGTTACCAGGGGCTGAGAGTAAGGGGAATGGGGAGTTATTATTACTTAATGGTTACAGAGTTTTTGTTAAGGGGTGATAAAAAAGTTTTGGAAATAGCTAGTAGTGATGGATGCACAACATTGTGGATGTAATTAACATCACTGAATTGTGCACTTTAAAAAGGTTAAAATGGCAAAATTTTATGCTATACATATTTTACCACAATTTTAATAATGTAATATACTAAATTCCACTGAAGTGTACCCTTTAAATGGGCAATTTGTATGGTCTGTGAGTTATCTCTCAATAGAAGTGTTAAAAAACAAATAGAGATGGTTAAAAAACAATTTAAAAAGTACTTGAGTAATCAAAATAAAAAAGAAGAGGACAGGGATGCGGCAAATAAAAAACAAAGAGCAAGATACCTACACCTAACTCTATCAAAATTTGCATTACATGTAAGTGGAATAAGCACTTCAATTATAAATATACTTCATATACTCAAGGTAGAGGAAAGTATGCACATGTTAAGGAGACACATGGAAGATATAAAAAAGATCCAAAACAAACCTGTAAAGATGAAACATACACAGGACAGAAACAGCAGATTGCGAACTGCAGAAGAAAAGGTAAGTAAACTTGAAGACATAGCAATAGAAACTATTCTAAATGAAACATAGTGGAAAAAAGACTTAAAAATGAACAAAGCATCAGTGAGTTGTGGGACAGCTTCAAGTGGCTTAATACAGATGTCACTGGAAGCCTAGAAAGAGCTAAACATTTTCATAATTTGATGAAAACTACAACAAACTCAAAGCCAAAGAAACATAAAGAAATATATACCAAGGCATATATATTATAATCAAATTTCTTAAAACCAATGATAAAGAGAAAATCTTTAAAGCATCCAGAAGAAAAAAAAATACACTTTATGTATGTAAGAATGACAGCAGAATTCTTGTCAGAAACAATGTAAAAGACAGTGATGAACCACCGTTCATCAAGTATTAAAAGAAAGAAAAATCACTGACCTAGAATTCTATACTCAGTGAAAATGTCTTTCAAAAAAAAAAAGGAAGTGAAATAAAAACTTCTCAGACATACCAAACCTGAAAGAATTCATTTCCAGTAGACCTACACACTTGAACTACAATGGAAGATTATATGTTAAATTAAAGCATACAGGCAGAAAGAAAATAACATCAGATAGAAACTCGGCCTACACAAAAGAATTAAGAGCACTGAAATGGTAGCTGCATGGGTAAACAGAAAAGACTTCCCTTATTATTTAAATCTCTTTAAAAGATAATCAACTCTTTAAACAAAAACAACAACAATGTATTATGAAGTTTTTAATACATGTGTAAATAAAAATATGTCAACAATAGCATAAAGGCCAAGAAGAAACAGCTAGAAGTATACTATTATAAGGTTCTTATCTATTCATGAAGTGGAAAAATGCCACTTTAAGGGAGATTATAAATCAAAGACATACTGTAAACCCTAAAGCAATCAGAAAATGACAGAATGGAGCTATAGCTAATAAACTGACAAAGGAGACATAATGGAATAACAAATGTACTAAATCCAATGGAAGGCAGAACAAAAAGGGAACAAAGACTAGATGGTATAAATAGGAAACAAACAGCAAGATGGCAGATTTTAAATTTTCCAACGAAGAAAACTCGAGGCCCAATCTGCTTTACTAGTAAATTCTTCCAAACATCTAAGACAGATAATACCAATAGTACCCAAACTCAGAAGATAGAGAGGTAAGATTTCCCAACTTGTTTAATGAGGCCAGCATATTCCTGATACCAAAACCTAAAGAGAAAAATAAATTACAGACCACTATCTCTTATAAACATAGATGCCAAATTCCTGAACAAAACAATAGCAAATCCAATAAAGTGTTATATAAGAAGGGTAGTAAGTCATGACCTTGCAGGAATGCAAAGTTGGTTTAACACTGAAAAATCAATGTAATTTGCCATACTAACTGAATAAAGGAGAAAAACCAAAGATCTCAATAAATGGAGAAAAAGCATTTGATAAAATCATGAATACAACTCTCAAATGAGGAATTAAAGGGAATTCTTCCACCTATTAAAGGGTACCTACAAAAAATCTACAGTTAACCACAAACTTAACACTGAATTTATTTTTTTCAAAAAGTATTGAATTTTTCCCCACAAGATGGTCAATAGGCAAGGATGTTCACTGTTATCACTTGTATTCAGTATTGTGTAGAAGGTTCTAGCCAGAATAAGGGAAGGAAAATAAAAGGCAGGAATGTACAAAACAGTAACCAGAACTGGTAAATGAATTTTTCTAAGGTTGCAGAATACAAACAAGGTCAATATACAATAACCAACTTTATTTCCATATACTAGCAATAAAGAATTAGAAACAAAATTTAAAAATTTGTTACACAATACAAAAGCATGATATTCTCAAGGGTAAATTTAACAAATATGTGCAAGACCTGTACACCAAAAACTAAAAAATACTGCTGAGAAAAATTTTTAAATCCTAAGCAAAAGCAGAGATATGTCACGTTCATGGACCGAAAAACTCTATACTGTCAAGATACCAATGTCCCCTAAAGTGACCTATATATTAAATGCAGTCACAAAGATACACATTGTTGTGGGGTCAAGAGATGGAAAACAAGCTTATTCTAAAACATATATGGAAATGCAAAGCACCTAAAAGAGTGAAGACAATATTGGACAACAAGAATATAGTTGGAAGACTTACACTACTTAATTTCAAGAATTCTATTAAGTTATACTAATCAACACAGTGTGGTACTGGCATAAAGGTAGACAAACTGACCAATGGAACAAAATAGAGAATCCAGAAATAAAGCCCCACAGAGAAGAACGGATAAACAAATTGTGGTAGATTTGTATAATGGAATAATATAAAACAATAAAAAAGAATAAGTGATTACTATAATAAAAAACGTGGATGAATTTCACAGGCATAACAGTGAGTGAAAGAGGCCAGACACAAATAAATTTTAAGAACAGGCAAAACACTATCTGTGGTGATATAAGTCAGAAACATAATTACGTCTATTGGGGATTATTAACTGGAAGGGGTATGAGGCAGCCTTCTGGGGTGTTGGTAATGTTTTCTATCTAGATCTGGGTGGTGGTTACATGGGTATAGATATATATAAAAAATAATTGAGCTATACACTTAAAAGTTGTACACTTGATACAATTTGCTGCACGTATGTTATTCTACCATAAAGAGAGATACCTGTTAGTTCATTAGTACCTTCTGTTTTCAGTCATGAAGTCAACAAAATTAAGACTTTTATTTGTAAAGTACAGATCATACTACTATTGGTCAAAGACAGACCATTCCCCCTAAGCAGGGTAATCCTCAAGAATTAAGAATAACTAAGAGACAGCCTGGAAGTATCAAAGAAATTGGTCTGCAGATCTGGAATCAGATACTTCTCTGTTTTCTTTGCTCCCCAGCAATGGGTCACAAAGTGAGATCTAGAACCCAGGTGTTTTGACTTCCTGTATGGTAGCATCCTTCCTCCACCTACCACATGCTTTGATGAAAAAACTGTTTATAAACTCCTAGAAAACCTGATAGTAGACTGTATATACTAAAACCTGCTGCTAATAGATGTCCCTGTAAAATTAACAATAATGATGAACATTTAAATAGCTCTTACTATGTATCAAATACTGTGTTAGGCACTTTACATGCATTATCTGATTTAATCCTTAAAATGCTCTGAAGTGGGTACATCTTCATTTTACAGAAGATGATGACTGAGGCACAAAGAGGTTAAGTCATTTGCCTAAGGTCACACAACTAGTAAGTAGCAGAGGTGGGATTCAAATCCAGGCAACCTGATACTAGAGCCTGTGTTCTTAACCACTACAATCCAGCTGTCAGTCACAACGAACATAATCAATCACTGTTTTCTTTCAAGGTGTAAACCTGCACTGTACATTTACATTTATAATTGTGTAGACCCAAATTGTAGCTGATCTCTGCCCTCCTTCTGTTCACCATATATCTGTCATCTTTCCTTAAAACTTTCATCCACAGTAACTGCATTGAAAATGTGAGGACATACGGAACCATAGTATAAGCAGCTCACAAGGACACATTGTCTCCTTTAAGGCTTATTGGCGCTTTCCAATCGATGTCTCTTGATTGATACAAGGCAAGATGAAACTATCAGTGTAAGCAAAAAAGTGAATTGTCCAGTTTTCAAGATTCATACTGGGTCACAAACGGCTTGCACATTTGTTTCATGTTTTACAAATTTGTAAAGGGAACAGACTGTTACATGCAGTTGAGGTGCTAAATTATATAGGCCTCAATCCAAAGCTTTAGAAAATTGTTTCTGTATACTGAGTATGTTTTCCAAACCAAAGCTACCTTAATGGCTATTAGGGGATGATGTTTCTTTTCTATGCCTCATTGTTATCCTCATTATTACAAAGTAATCACATAATGGAAATGAGAAAGAAAAAAAAACCACCAAATATTTGAATTTAAGGTATTTCCCAATTATGTTAGCCATCATCCATAGTTTCTCCACTTTACATCAGACTCCATATTATCAGATTCCATACTTACAGAATCCACAAGATTTTCTGTTTTGTCAATCAATAATTCCAATCTTTCTCCTCGCTGAGCTACCAGATCTGAAAATATTGGAAAAGTAGAAAAGGTCAAGTTTTCCATTGTAGAATAAAATAAACTTTTTTTAAAAAAGTAATATAACTTAATGAATACACTGTCCTGGGGCCAAAGGACAGGCATGCTTCACCCACTGGTGACACCACTCGAAAACAAGGACTAGCCCACCTGAAATCCCCATGCCCATCAAAACTTCACCACAGCCTCCATAACAACTACACCCTAAGCCACTAAGAAAAATACAGACATGGTTGATGATGCTGTTTATAGCTGAAGAAATTATACAGACTACACTACTGAATGTACCCATAATCAAAGTCTAAGTGCCCTGCCCAACCAACACCATAGATATATCCTCAAGAAAAAGTCCTTGCATATTAAAGCAAATCTAAAAATTGGAAGAAGTGACCATAGAAATACTATTAACAACTATATGCTAATAAACTTGAAAACCCAGAAGAAATGGATAAATCCCAGGACACATGCAACCTACCAAGACTGAATCAGAAAGAAATAGAAAACCTGAACAAGCCAGTAATGAGTAATGGGATTGAATCAGTAATAAAGTATAATCAGTAATAAAGTCTCCCAACAAAACCAAAACAATGCCCAGAATCAGCTGGCTTCACTGGAGAACTCCATGAAACTTACAGAGAAGAACTAATATCACTTCTCAAACTATGCCAAAAAATTCAAGAGGAGGGAATTCTCCCTACTCATTCTATAAGGCCAGCATTACCCTGATACCAAAACCTGATAAGGACTCAACAAAAAAACAAAACTGCAGGCCAACAACCCTGATGATCACAGATGCAAAAATCCTCAACGAAATACTAGCAAACCAAATCAAACATCACATCAAAAAGATAATACACCATGATCAAGTGGGATTTATCCCAGGGATGCAATGATGATTCAATGCATGCAAATCAATAAACATGAAACATTCCATCAATAGAATAGAGAATAAAAGCCACATGATCACCTTAATAGATGCAGAGAAAGCATCTGATAAAAAAAGCATTTGATAAAATTCAACATCTCAGGGTGGTTGGCAAGATGACCGAATAGGAACAGCTCTGGTCTGCAGCTCCCAGTGAAATCAATGCAGAAGGTGGGTAATTTCTGCATTTCCAACTGAGGTACCCGGCTCATCTCATTGGGACTGGTTAGACAGTGGGTGCAGCCCACGGAGGGTGAGCCGAAGCAGGGTGGGGCGTTGCCTCATCCAGGAAGCACAAGGGGTCGGGGAACTCCCTCCCCTAACCAAGGGAAGCCTTGAGGGACCGTGCCGTGAGGAATGGTGCACTCTGGCCCAGATACTATGCTTTTCCCACAGTCTTCGCAATCTGCAGACCAGGAGATTCCCTTGGGTGCCTATGCCACCAGGGACCTGGGTTTCAAGCACAAAACTGGGCGGCCATTTGGGCAGACACCGAGCTAGCTGCAGGAGTTTTTTTTTCATACCCCAGTGGCGCCTGGAATGCCAGTGAGACATAACTGTTCACTCGCCTGGAAAGGGGCTGAAGCCAGGGAGGCAAGTGGTCTAGCTCAGTATATTCCACCCCCACGGAGCCCAGCAGGCTAAGATCCACTGGCTTGAAATTCTCATTGCCAGCACAACAGTCTGAAGTCGACCTGGGACACTCGAGCTTGGTGGAGGGAGGGGCGTCTGCCATTACTGAGGCTTGAGTAGGCAGTTTTCCCCTCACTGTGTAAACAGAGTGGCCAGGAAGTTTGAACCGGGGAGAGCCCACCGCAGCTCCGCAAAGTCCCTGTAGCCAGACTGCCTCTCTAGATTCCTCCTCTCTGGGCAGCGCATCTCTGAAAGAAAGGCAGCAGCCCCAGCCAGAGGCTTATAGATAAAACTCCCATCTCCTTGGGACCGAGCACCTGGGGGAAGGGGTGGCTGTGGACTCAGTTTCAGCAGACTTAAACGTTCCTGCCTGCCAGTTCGGAAGAGAGCAGCGGCAATCCCAGCACAGTGCTCAAGCTCTGCTAAAGTATAGACTGCCTCCTCAAGTGGGTCCCTGAGCTCCATGCCTCCTGACTGGAAGATACCTCCCAGCAGGAGTCGACAGACATCTCATACAGGAGAGCTCTGGCTGGCATCTGGCAGGTGCCCCTCTGGGACGAAGCTTCCAGAGGAAGGAACAGGCAGCAATCTTTGCTGTTCTGCAGCCTCCGCTGGTGATACCCAGGCAAACTGGGTCTGGAGTGGACCTCCAACAAACTCCAGCAGACCTGCAGCAGAGAGGCCTGTTAGAAGGAAAACTAACAAACAGAAAGGAATAGCATCAACATCAACAAAAAGGATGTCCACATAGAAACCCCATCCAAAGGTCACCAACATCAAAGACCAAAGGTAGATAAATCCATGAAGATGAGGAAAAACCAGTGCAAAAAGGCTGAAAATTCCAAGAGAACAAACTGGACGGAGAATGAGTTTGACAAATTGACAGAAGCAGGCTTCAGAAGGTGGATAATAACAAACTCCTCCAAGCTAAAGGAGAATGTTCTAACCCCATGCAAGGAAACTAAGGACCTTGAAAAAAGGTTAGAGGAATTGCTAACTAGAATAGCCAGTTTAGAGAAGAACATAAATGACCTGATGGGACTGAAAAACACGGCACGAGAACTTTGTGAAGCATACAAAAGTATCAATAGCCGAACTGATCAGGTGGAAGAAAGGATATCAGAGATTGTAGATCAACTTAATGAAATAAAGTGTGAAGACAAGATTAGAGAAAAAATAATGAAAAGGAATGAACAAAGGCTCCAAGACATATGGGACTATATGAAAAGACCAAACCTATGTTTGATTGGTGTGCTTGAAAGTGACAGGGAGAACAGAACCAAGTTGGAAAACATTCTTTAGGATATTAACCAGGAGAACTTCCCCAACCTAGCAAGATAGGTCAACATTCAAATTTGGGAAATACAGAGAACACCACAAAGATACTCCTCGAGAAGAGCAACTCCAAGACACATAATCGTCAGATTCACCAAGGATGAAATGCAGGAAAAAATGTTAAGGGCAGCCAGAGAGAAAGGTCAGGCTACCCACAAAGGGAAGCCCATCAGACTAACAGCAGATCTCTCGACAGAAACCCTACAAGCCAGAAGAGACTGGGGGCGAATATTCAACATTCTTAAAGAAAAGAATTTTCAACCCAGAATTTCATATCCAACCAAACTAAGCTTTATAAGTGAAGGAGAAATAAAATCCTTTACAGACATGCAAATGCTGAGAGATTTTGTCACCACCAGGCCTGCCTTACAAGAGGTCCTGAAGGAAGCACTAAATATGGAAAGGAAAAACCAGTACCAGCCACTGCAAAAACATATCAAACTGTAAAGACCATCAACACTATGAAGAAACTATATCGACTAACAAGCAAAATAACCAACTAGCATTATAATCACAGGATCAAATTCACACATAACAATATTAACCTTAAATGTAAATGGGGTAAATGCCCCAAATAAAAGACACAGACTGGCAAATTGAATAAAGAATCAAGACCCACCCATGTGCTGCATTCAGGAGACCCATCTCATGTGCAAAGACACACACAGGCTCAAAATAAAGGGATAGAGGATTATTTACTAAGCAAATGGAAAGCAAAAAAAAGCAGTGGCTGCAATCCTAGTCTCTGATAAAACAGACTTTAAACCAACAAAGATCAAAAAAGACAAAAAAGGGCATTACATAATGGTAAAGGGATCAATGCAACAAGAAGAGCTAACTATCCTAAATATATATGCACCCAATACAGGAGCACCCAGATTCATAAAGCAAGTTCTTACAGACCTACAAAGAGACTCAGACTCCCACACAATAATAGTAGGAGACTTTAACACCCACTGTCAATATTAGATTGAGACAGAATATTAACAAGGATATTCAGGACTTGAACTCAGCTCTGGACCAAGAGGACCTAATAGACATCTACAGTACTCTCCAAGCCAAATCAACAGAATATACATTCTTCTCAGCACCACATTGCACTTATTCTAAAGTTGATCACATAATTGGAAGTAAAACACTCCTCAGCAAATGCAAAAAATGGAAATCGTAACCAACAGTCTCTCAGACCACAGTGCCATCAAATTAGAACTCAGGATTAAGAAACTCACTCAAAACTGCACAACTACATGGAAAATGAACAACCTGTTCCTGAATGACTACTGGGTAAATAACAAAATTAAGGCAGAAATAAATAAGTTTTTTGAAACCAATGAGAATAAAGACACAACGTACCAGAATCTCTGGGACACAGCTAAAGCAGTATTTAGAGGGAAATTTATAGCACTAAATGCCCACAGCAAAAAGTGGGAAAGATTTAAAGTCAACACCCTAACATCACAATTAAAAGAACTAGAGAAGCAAGAGCAAACAAATTCAAAGGTAGCAGAAGACAAGAAATAACTAAGATCAGAGCAGAACTGAAGGAGAAAGAGACATGAAAAACCCTTCAAAAAGAATCAATGAATCCAGGAGCTGGTTTTTTGAAAAGATTAACAAAATTGATAGACTGCTAGCGAGACTAATAAAGGAGAAAAGAGAGAAGAATCAAATAGAAACAATAAAAAATGATAAAGGGGGTATCACCACTGATCCCACAGAAATACAAACTACCATCAGAGAATACTATAAACACCTCTATGCAAGTAAACTAGAAAATCTGGAAGAAATGGATAAATTCCTGGACACATACACCCTCCCAAGACTGAACCAGGAAGAAGTCAAATCCCTGAATACAACAATAACAAGTTCTGAACTTGAGGCAGTAATTAATAGCCTACCAAACAAAAAAGGTCCAGGACCAGAAGGATTCACAGCTGAATTCCACCAGAGGTATAAAGAGGAGCTGGTACCATTCCTTCTGAAACTATTCCAAACAACAGAAGAAGAGGGACTCCTCCCTAACTCATTTTATGAGGCCAGCATCATCCTGATACCAAAGCCTGGCAGAGACACAACCAAAAAGGAAAATTTCAGGCCAATATCCCTGATGAACACTGATGCGAAAATCCTCAATAAAATACTGGCAAATCGAACCCATCAGCACATCAAAAAGCTTATCCACCACGATCAGGTCAGCTTCATCACTGGGATGCAAGACTGGTTCAACATACGCAAATCAATAAACGTAATCCATCACAGAAAAAGAACCAATGACAAAAACCACATGATTATCTCAATAGATGCAGAAAAGGCCTTCGATAAAATTCAACACCGCTTTATGCTAAAAACTCTCAATAAACTAGGTATTGATGGAATGCATCTCAAAATAATAAGAACTATTTATGACAAACCCACATCCAATATCATACTGAATGGGCAAAAGCTGGAAGTATTCCCTTTGAAAACCAGCACAAGACAAGGATGCCCTCCCTCACCACTCCTATTCAACATAGTATTGGAAGTTCTGTCCAGGGCAATCAGGCAAGAGAAAGAAATAAAGGGTATTCAAATAGGAAGAGAGGAAGTCAAATTGTCTCTCTTTGCAGATGACATGATTGTATATTTAGAAAACCCCATTGTCTCAGCCCAAAATCTCCTTAAGCTGATAAGCAACTTCAGCAAAGTATCAGAATGCAAAATCAATGTGCAAAAATCACAAGCATTCCTATACACCAATAAAAGACAAACAGAGAGCCAAATCATGAGTGAACTCCCATTCACAATTGCTACAAAGAGAATAAAATACCTAGAAATACAACTTACAGGGGATGTGAAGGACCTCTTCAAGGAGAATGACAAACCACTGCTCAAGGAAATAAGAGAGGACACAAATGAATGGAAAAACATTCCATGCTCATGGATAGGAAGAATATGGCCAAACTGCCCAAAGTAATTTATAGATTCAATGCTATCCCCATCCAGCTACCATTGACTTTCTTCACAGAATTAGAAAAACACTACTTTAAATTTCATTTGGAACCAAAAAAGAGCCCACATAGCCAAGACAATCCTAAGCAAGAAGAACAAAGCTGGAGACATCACGCTACCTGACTTCAAATTATACTACAAGGCTACAGTAACCAAAACAGCATGGTATTGGTACCAAAACAGATACATAGACCAATGGAACAGAACAGAGGCCTCAGAAATAACGCTACACATCTACAACCATCTGATCTTTGACAAACCTGACAAAAACAAGCAATGGGGAAAGGATTCCCTATTTAATAAATGGTGTTGGGAAAACTGGCTAGCCATATTCAGAAAACTGAAACTGGCCCCCTTCCTTACACCTTATACAAAAATTAACTCAAGATGGATTAAAGACTTAAACATAAGACTTAAAACCATAAAATCCCTAGAAGAAAACCTGGGCAATACCATTCAGGACATAGGTATGGGCAAAGATTTCATGACTAAAACACCAAAAGCAATGGCAACAAAAGCCAAAATTGACAAATGGGATCTAATTAAAGCAAAGAGCTTCTGCACAGCAAAAGAAACTATCATCAGAGTGAACAGGCAACCTACAGAATGGGAAAAAATTTTTGCAATCTATCCATCTGACAAAGGGCTAATATCCGGAATCTACAAGGAACTTAAACAAATTTACAAGAAAAAAACAACCCCATCAAAAAGTGTGTGAAGGATATGAAAAGACACTTCTCAAAAGAAGACATTTATGTGGCCAATAAACATATGAAAAAAAAGCTCATCATCACGGGTCATTAGAGAAATGCAAATCAAAACCATAATGAGATATCCTCTCACACCAGTAAGAATGGCGACCATTAAATGGCAATCATTAACAAGTCAGGAAAGAACAGATGCTGGAGAGGATGTGGAGCAATAGGAATGCTTTTACACTGTTGGTGGAAGTGTAAATTAGTTCAACCATTGTCAAAGACAGTGTGGCGATTCCTCAAGGATCTAGAACCAGAAATACCATTTGACCCAGCAATCCCATTATTGGGTATATACCCAAAGGATTATAAATCATTTTACTATAAAGACACATGCACACGTATGTTTATTGCAGCACTGTTCACAATAGCAAAGACTTGGAACCAACCCAAATGCCCAACAATGATAGACTGGATAAAGAAAATGTGGCACATATACACGATGGAATACTATGCAGCCATAAAAAAGGAGGAGTTCATGTCCTTTGCAGGGACATGGATGAAGCTGGAAACCATCATTCTCAGCAAGGTAAGAAAGGAACAGAAAACCAAACACCACGTGTTCTCACTCATAAGTGGGAGTTGAACAATGAGAACACATGGACACAGGGAGGGGAACATCACACACTGGGGCCTGTTGGGGGTAGGGGGGCTAGGGGAGAAATAGCATTAGGAGAAATACCTAATGTAGATGATGGGTTAATGGGTGCAGCAAACCACCATGGCATGTGTATACCTATGTAACAAAGCTGCACATTCTGCACATGTATCCCAGAATTTAAAGTATAATAATAAAAAAAGAGCAAATGTGTAACATAGAAATTGCAATGGGTCAGGTTGAAATATTTCCATTTTCATCCATAATTTTAGCAGTATGATGACATAGCTCAAAAGGAAAATAGGATATTCTACTTTTATATATTCAAATAAAAATATATAGTTCAAGGTATCAAAAAAAATTCAACATCTCTTCATGATAAAAACTCTCAAAAAACTAGGCATAGAAGGAATATCCCTCAACATGATAAAGGCCATTTATGACAAACCCACAGCTAACATCATACGGAATGGGAAAAACGAAAAGCCTTTCCTCTAAGAAATGGAAAACTCTCACCACTCCTATTCAACATAGTACTGGAAGGAAGCCCAGTTTCACTACTCCTATTCAACACAATACTGGAAGTCCTAGCCAGAGCAATCAGGCAAGAGAAAGAAATAAAGGGCATCCAAATTGAAAAAGAGGATGTCAAATTATCCCTCTTTGCAGATGATATGATCTTATGTCTAAAAGACCCAAAGACTCCACCAAAAAACTCCTAGATCTGATAAATATATTCAGTAAAGTTGCAGGATACAGAATCAACATACAAATATCTGTAATGTTTCTATGCATCAATAATCAACTTGGTGAAATAAAACTTTATGAAATCAAGAAGGTAATCCCATTTATAATAGTTATGAACATATAAAATATTGAAGAATAAATTTAACGAGTAGGTGAAAGACTCCTACAAGTAAAACTACAAAACACTGATGAAAAAAACTGAAGATGACACAAAGATACAGAAAGACATCTTATGGTCATGGATCATAAGAATGTATATTATTAAAATGACCATAAGCCCAAAGCAATCTACAGATTCAATGCAATCTCTATCGAAGTACCAATGTCATTTTTCACAGAAACAGAAAAAACAATCCTAAAATTAGTATTTCAGGAACCAAAAAAGAGTCCAAATAGCCAAAGCAATCCTGAGCAAAATGAACAAAGCTGGAGGCATCACACTACCTGACTTCAAAACATATTACAAGGCTACAGTAACCAAAACAGCATGGTTTGGTATAAAAACAGACACAAGGTCGATGGAATAGAATAGAAAAGCCAGACATTGATCCACGTATGTACAGCCACACATATATAGGCAACTGATTTTCAACAAAGGTGCCAAGGACGTACACTGGGGAAAGGACACTTTCTTCAATAAATGGTATTGGGAAAACTGGATATCCATATGTGGAAGAATTAAACTGGACCTCTGTCTCTCATCACATACAAAAATCAACCAAGATAGATTAAAGACTTAAATTTCAGACCCAGAACTATAAACCTACTAGAAGAAAACATAGGGGAAACACTTCAGAACACTGCTCTAGGAAAAGATTTTATGGCTAACACCTCAAAAGGACAGGTAACGAAAAGAAAAATAGACAAATAGGACTATATTAAACAAAAAAGCTTTTGCACAGCAAAGGAAATAATCAAGAGTGAAGAGACAACCAGTTGAATGGGAGAAAATAGTTGCAAACTATTCATTTGATAAGGGAATAATATCCAGAATATATAATGAACTCAACAGGAGATATACAAATAATCCCCTTAAAAAGTGGGCAGAGGACATGAATAGCCATTTCTCAAAAGAAGACATACAAATGGCCAAAAGGTATATGAAAAAATGCTCAACATCATAGAAATGCAAATAAAAGCCAAAATGAGATATCATGTTACCCCAGTTAGAATGGTTACTAAAAAGATACAAAATAACAGATGCTGGCTAGTATAAGGAAAAAAAAAAAAAACACTTACACACTGTTGGTGGGAAAGTAAACTAGTGCAGCTACTATGGAAACCAGTGTGGAGATTTCCCCAAAAACTAAAAATTAAACTACCATATGATCCAGCAATCCTACTACTGGGTATTTATGCAAAGGAAAAGAAATCAGTGTATAGACGGGATATCTGCACTTGCATATTTATTGCATCCCTATTCACAATAGCAAAGATATGGAGTCAACCTAAGTGTCCATGAATGGATGAATGGATAAAGAAAATGTGGTTTATAAACACAATGGAATACTATTTGACCATGAAATAGAATGAAGTCATGCCATTTACAGCAACATGGATGTAACTGGAGGTTATTATGTTAAGTGATATAAGGCAGGCATGGAAAGACAAATATCACATGTTCTTACTCACATGTGGGAACTAAAACAGTTGATCTCATGGAGGTAGACAATAGCACAATAGATACCAGAGGCTAGGAAGGGTGTGGGTATGTGGGGCCGAGCAGGGAATATGAGAGGATGGTTAATAGGTACAAACACACAGTTGGATAGAAGGAATAAGTTCTAATGTTTGATAGCAGAGTAGGGTGACTAAAGTTAACAATAGTGTATTATATATTTCAAAATAGCTAGAAGAGAGAATTTGAAATGTTCCCATCACACAGAAATAAATTCTTGAGCTGATGGACACCCCATATATCCTGACTTGATCATTACACAGTCTTTGCATGTAACAAAATATCACACGTACCCCATAAATGTGTACAAATATTATGTATCAATTAAATAAAAGACACTAGACAGCTAGCTCTCTTTTCCTTGCCTGATGGGAGAACAGAGAGAGAAGATGCTGTCTGCAAGCCAGGAAGAGAGCCCTTACCAGAACCTGACCATACTGGCACCGTGATCTTGGACTTCTAGCCTCCAGAAATGTGAGAAAATAAATTTCTGTTGTTTAAGTCACTACGTCTATGGAATTTTGTTATGGCAGCCTGAGCTAAGACAAATGATCTCAAATTAACAACCTAACAACTTAACTTTCTACCTTATGGATCTAGAAAAGAAGGGTAAACTAAATCTAAAGCTAGCAGTGGGAAGGAAATAAATATTAGGGTGAACAAATTAAATAGAGAACAGAAAAACTATAGAAAAAAAATCTATGAAACCAGAAGTTGGTTCTTTAGAAAGATCAATAAAATTGACAAACCTTTACGTAGAATGACCAAGTAAAACAGAAAAAACTTACATTACTAAAATCAGAAATGAAAGAGGAGACATCACCACCAAACTTACAAAATGAAGAGGATCTTAGGGGAATTCTATAAACAGGAGTGTGTAAATAAATTAGGTAACTTAGATGAAATGCACAAATTCCTAGAAAGATACAAACTGCTAAACAGACTCAAGAAGAAATAAAAAATCTGAATAGCTACAGCAAGCATAGAGACTAAATCAGTAATTTTAAAACTTCAGGCCGGGCATGGAGGCTCATGCCTGTAATCCTAGCACTTTGGTAGGCTGAGGCAAGTGGATCGCTTGAGCCCAGGAGTTTGAGACTAGCCTGGGCAACATGGCAAGACCTTGTCTCTACAAAAAAACCAAAAAACAAAAATTAGCCAGGTGTGGTGGCACATGCCTGCAGTCCCAGCTGCTTGGGAGGCTGAGGTGGGAAGATTACCTGAGCCCAGGAGGTCAAGGCTGCAGGTAACCCTCCCACCAAGGGAATGAAAGAGGAATTAGAGAGGATCATGTCACTGCACTCCAGCCTGGGTGACAGACAGACCCCATCTCAAAAAACAAAAACAAAAACAAAAAAGCTTCACACAAAGAAAAGCCCAAGCCCAGGTGGCTTCAAAGGTGAATTCTACCAAACATTTCAAGAATTAATACAAAACTTTCACAAATCTTTCCAAAATAGAAGAAAAGGGGAACACTTCTTGACTCATTCTATGAGCCCAGCATTACCCTGGTATCAAAACCAAAGACATCACAAGAAAAGAAAATGGCTCTCCCTCTCCCTCTCCCCCTCCCCCTCTCACTCTCCCCACGGTCTCCCTCTCCCTCTCTTTCCACGGTCTCCCTCTGATGCCCAGCCGAAGCTGGACTGTACTACTGCTATCTCGGCTCACTGCAACCTCCCTGCCTGATTCTCCTGCCTCAGCCTGCCGAGTGCTGCCACGCCTGACTGGTTTTCGTATTTTTTTGGTGGAGACGGGGTTTCGCTGTGTTGGCCGGGCTGGTCTCCAGCTGCTAACCGCGAGTGATCCGCCAGCCTCGGCCTCCCGAGGTGCCGGGATTGCAGACGGAGTCTCGTTCACTCAGTGCTCAATGGTGCCCAGGCTGGAGTGCAGTGGCGCGATCTCGGCTCGCTGCAACCTCCACCTCCCAGCCGCCTGCCTTGGCCTCCCAAAGTGCCGAGATTGCAGCCTCTGCCCAGCCGCCACCCCGTCTGGGAAGTGAGGAGCGTCTCTGCCTGGGCACCCATCGTCTGGGATGTGAGGAGCCCCTCTGCCTGGCTGCCCAGTCTGGAAAGTGAGGAGCGTCTCTGCCCGGCCGCCATCCCATCTAGGAAGTGAGGAGCGTCTCTGCCCAGCCGCCATCCCATCTAGGAAGTGAGGAGCGTCTCTGCCCGGCCGCCCATCGTCTGAGATGTGGGGAGCGCCTCTGCCCCGCCGCCCCTTCTGGGAGGTGAGGAGCGTCGCTGCCCGGCCGCCCTGTCTGAGAAGTGAGGAGACCCTCCACCCGGCAGCCGCCCCGTCTGCGAAGTGAGGAGCCCCTCCGCCCAGCAGCCGCCCCGTCTGGGAGGTGTACCCAATAGCTCATTGAGAACGGGCCATGATGACAATGGCGGTTTTGTGGAATAGAAAAGGGGGAAAGGTGGGGAAAAGATTGAGAAATCGGATGGTTGCTGTGTCTGTGAAGAAAGAAGTAGACATGGGAGACTTTTCATTTTGTTCTGTACTAAGAAAAATTCTTCTGCCTTGGGATCCTGTTGATCTATGACCTTACCCCCAACCCTGTGCTCTCTGAAACATGTGCTGTGTCCACTCAGGGTTAAATGGATTAAGGGCGGTGCAAGATGTGCTTTGTTAAACAGATGCTTGAAGGCAGCATGCTCGTTAAGAGTCATCACCACTCCCTAATCTCAAGTACCCAGGGACACAAACACTGTGGAAGGCCGCAGGGTCCTCTGCCTAGGAAAACCAGAGACCTTTGTTCACTTGTTTATCTGCTGATCTTCCCTCCACTATTGTCCCATGACCCTGCCAAATCCCCGTCTGTGAGAAACACCCAAGAATGATCAATAAAAAAAAATAATAAAATAAATAAATAAATAAAAGAAAATGATATACCAACAACTCTTAAAAATACAGACATTTAACAAATCCTCAACAGACTACTGGCAGGATGAATCCAATAATATGCAAAAAGGACTATACACCATGATGCAGTGGGATTCATTTCAGAAACACAAGGTTGATTTAATATCTGAAAATCAATTGTTATAATACATCATATTAATAAAGAACAAAAACCATCATTTCAATAGATGTAAAAAAAATTGACAAAATCCAACACTGTTTAATGATAAAACCACTCAACAAATAAGAAAAAGAAACTTCCTCAACCTGATAAAGGACATCTATGAAAAACCCACAGCTAACCTCATACTTAATTGTGGAAGATTCTTCAAGATCTCCCTAAGAGCAGGAATAAGACAATGATGTCCACTCTTACCACTTCTATTCAACATTATACTGGAGGTTCTAGCTAGGGCAAATAAGCAATAAAAAGAAATGAAAAGCATCCAGACTGAAAAGGAAGAATTAAAACTATCTCTATTTGCAAGTAGCATGATTCTATATAGAGAAAATCCTAAGGAAACTATTAAAAAGCTATTAGAACTAATAAAGGAGAACAAGGTTGTATGATACAACACCAATTTATAAAAATCAATAAAATTTCTATACATTAGTACTGAACAATCCGAAAATGAAAGAGAAAAATTCCATTTACAATAGCATAAAAAAATACTTAGGAACAAGGCAAGAAGGATGTTAGAAGAGATATTGTTAAAGAAAAATTATTCTGACACTGGTTAAAAAATGGTAAGGCAGATTTTGAGATTACTGCAATAGGGGTCAAGGCTATCACAATGGAGGGGAGAGATTGAGCTCAACTCCTAACACAACCAAGACCAGTGGGGATTTGTGGCCAATGAACAGAGTGAGGGGGTCAGAGGATGGAAAATTACTAAGAGGAGGCATCAAGGGCAAGGGGATTCTCTCTAAACTGGCCTAACAGGATTCCTGCTAAAAGCTGGCCGGACTTATATAACAAATATAGGGGACAAGGAACTTGATCAAGGGTGGGGTATTAGCAGGATTCTTTGCTAAGACTTCCTTAGGCAGGCCAAGGACAGAGCCCGAGGATGAGACCTAGTTTAACAGAGTGCTCAGAGGAGCTTGTCTAAAATTTGGTGAAGCAGAGTCTTTGTCATGTAAGACTTGCACACTGAAAACTACAAAACATTGTTGGAAAAAATTAAAGAAACCTAAATGAATAGAAAGAAAGCCCATGTTCATGGATCAGAAGTTTAATATTGTTAAAATGGCTCCCTAATTGATCTACAGATTCAACACAATCCCTATCAAAATCCCAGATAGCTTTTTTTGCTATCTGAAATTGACAAGCTCATCCTAAAGTTCATGAAAATGAAAGGTACCCAGAATAGTCAAAGCAATTTTGAGAAAGAATAAAGTTGGAAGATGAATATTTCCTGATTTTAAAACCTACTACAAAGCTATAATAATCATGACAGCCTGGTACTGGCATAAAGATAAACTGAACAGAACTGAAGGTCCAGAAACAAAGCTATACATCCATTGATAACTAATTTTTGATAAGAATGCTAAGATCATTCAACAGGGAAAGAAAAGCCTTTTCAGCAAATGGTTCTGGAACAACTGTATATACATATTCAACAGAATTAAGTTGGATCTCTTCTTTATTCCATACATAAACATTAACTCAAAATAGATCATAGATAGAAATGTAAGAGCTAAAACTAGTCTTAGAAGAAAACAAAGTAGTAAATCTTCATGATCTTGGCTTAGGCGACAGTTTCTTAGATATGTTATTCAAAGCACAAACTAAAGAAAAAAATAAATTGGACTTCATAAAAACTGTTGTGCTTCAAAGAACACCATCAAGAAAATGAAAAGACAACTCACAGAATAGAGCAAAATATTTGAAAATCATGTATCTGATAAGGGTCTAGTATCCAGAATATATAAAGTACTGTTATAGCTCAACCATAAAAAGACAAATAACCCACTTAAAAACAATAAAGTATTTTTAAATAGACATTTCTCCAAAGGTAAAGAAAATATACGAATGGCCTATAAGCACATGAAAAAATGCTCAACATCATTAGTCATCAGGGAAATGCAAATCAAAATCACAATAAAGTACCATTTCACTAGACTGGGTATAATCAAAAAAGATAAGTTTTGGCAAGGATGTGGAGGAATCAGAATCCTCATACATTGCTATTAGGAATGTATAAAGGTGCAGTCACTTTAGGAAAGTTTGGCCCTTCTTCAAAATGTTACAAAGTTGCCATGTGATCCAGCAATTCTATTCCTAGGTATGTAAGCAAGAGAACCAAAAACATATATATATATATATAATATATAATATATATATATGCTCACACAAAAACTTGTACACAAATGTTCATAGCAGCATTATTTATAATAACCAGACCATGAACTAATGAGTAGATACATAAAATGCATTAATGCATTGGAATTATTAGTCATAAAAAAGAATTAAGTATTGATTTATGCTACGACATGAATGAATCTCACAATCATTACGCTAAGTGAACGAAGACACAAAAGGCCACATATTACAAGATTCCATTTATACGAAATGTCCAGAATAGGCAAATTTATGAAGAAGAAAAGGGAATTAATTGTTGCTTAGGTCTGAGAGTTGAGGAGCAACTGCAAATGAGTACAGGGCTTCATTTAGGGATGATAAAAATGTTACAAAATTGATCGCAGCAATGGTTGTACAATTCTGTGAATATAGTAACCACTGACTGTATACTTTAAATGGGTGAATTATATGATATGTGAATTATATTTCAATTAAGCTGTTAAAAAAATGAAAGGGAATTAACTAGGAATGTTCTTGTCACATTTTAAATTTGCTTTTTTTATTTTATTTTATTATTATTATACTTTAAGTTTTAGGGTACATGTGCACAATGTGCAGGTTTGTTACATATGTATACATGTGCCATGCTGGTGTGCTGCACCCATTAACTCGTCATTTAGCATTAGGTATATCTCCTAAAGCTATCCTTCCCCCTCCCCCCACCCCACAACAGTCCCCAGAGTGTGATGTTCCCCTTCCTGTGTCCATGTGTTCTCATTGTTCAATTCTCACCTATGAGTGAGAACATGCGGTGTTTGGTTTTTTGTTCTTGCGATAGTTTACTGAGAATGAGGATTTCCAATTTCATCCATGTCCCTACAAAGGACATGAACTCATCATTTTTTATGGCTGCATAGTATTCCATGGTGTATATGTGCCACATTTTCTTAATCCAGTCTATCATTGTTGGACATTTGGGTTGGTTCCAAGTCTTTGCTATTGTGAATACTGCCGCTATAAACATACGTGTGCATGTGTCTTTATAGCGGCATGATTTATAGTCCTTGGGTATATACCCAGTAATGGGATGGCTGGGTCAAATGGTATTTCTAGTTCTAGATCCCTGAGGAATCGCCACACTGACTTCCACAAGGGTTGAACTAGTTTACAGTCCGACCAACTGTGTAAAAGTGTTCCTATTTCTCCACATCCTCTCCAGTAACTGTTGTTTCCTGACTTTTTAATGACTGCCATTCTAACTGGTGTGAGATGGTATCACATTGTGGTTTTGATTTGCATTTCTCTGATGGCCAGTGATGGTGAGCATTTTTTCATGTGTTTTTTGGCTGCATAAATGTCTTCTTTTGAGAAGTGTCTGTTCATGTCCTTCGCCCACTTTTTGATGGGGTTGTTTGTTTTTTTCTTGTAAATTTGTTTGAGTTCATTGTAGATTCTGGATATTAGCTCTTTGTCAGATGAGTAGGTTGTGAAAATTTTCTCCTATTTTGTAGGTTGTCTGTTCACTCTGATAGTAGTTTCTTTTGCTGTGCAGAAGCTCTTTAGTTTAATTAGATCGCATTTGTCAATTTTGGCTTTTGTTGCCATTGCTTTTGGTGTTTTAGACATGAAGTCCTTGCCCATGCCTATGTCCTGAATGGTAATGCCTAGGTTTTCTTCTACGGTTTTTATGGTTTTAGGTCTAAATGATAAAGGGGATATCACCACCGATCCCACAGAAATACAAACTACAATCAGAGAATACTACAAACACCTCTACGCAAATAAACTAGAAAATCTAGAAGAAATGGATAAATTCCTCGACACATACACCCTCCCAAGACTAAACCAGGAAGAAGTTGAATCTCTGAATAGACCAATAACAGGCTCTGAAATTGTGGCAATAATCAATAGCTTACCAACCGAAAAGAGTCCAGGACCAGATGGATTCACAGCAGAATTCTACCAGAGGTACAAGGAGGAACTGGTACCATTCCTTCTGAAACTATTCCAATCAATAGAAAAAGAGGGAGTCCTCCCTAACTCATTTTATGAAGCCAGCATCATCCTGATACCAAAGCCGGGCAGAGACACAACCAAAAAAGAGAATTTTAGACCAATATCCTTGATGAACATTGATGCAAAAATCCTCAATAAAATACTGGCAAACCGAATCCAGCAGCACATCAAAAAGCTTATCCACCATGATCAAGTGGGCTTCATCCCTGGGATGCAAGGCTGGTTCAGTATACGCAAATCAATAAATGTAATCCAGCATATAAACGGAACCAAAGACAAAAACCACATGATTATCTCAATAGATGCAGAAAAGGCCTTTGACAAAATTCAACAACCCTTCATGCTAAAAACTCTCAATAAATTAGGTATTGATGGGATGTATCTCAAAATAATAAGAGCTATCTATGACAAACCCACAGCCAATATCATACTGAATGGGCAAAAACTGGAAGCATTCCCTTTGAAAACTGGCACAAGACAGGGATGCCCTCTCTCACCACTCCTATTCAACATAGTGTTGGAAGTTCTGGCCAGGGCAATCAGGCAGGAGAAGGAAATAAAGGGTATTCAATTAGGAAAAGAGGAAGTCAAATTGTCCCTATTTGCAGATGACATGATTGTATATCTAGAAAACCCCATTGTCTCAGCCCAAAATCCCCTTAAGCTGATAAGCAACTTCAGCAAAGTCTCAGGATACAAAATCAATGTACAAAAATCACAAGCATTCTTATACACCAATAACGGACAGAGAGTCAAATCATGAGTGAACTCCCATTCACAGTTGCTTCAAAGAGAATAAAATACCTAGGAATCCAACTTACAAGGGATGTGAAGGACCACTTCAAGGAGAACTACAAACCACTGCTCAGTGAAATAAAAGAGGATACAAAGAAATGGAAGAACATTCCATGTTCATGGGTAGGAAGAATCAATATCATGAAAATGGCCATACTGCCCAAGGTAATTTATAGATTCAATGCCATCCCCATCAAGCTACCAATGACTTTCTTCACAGAATTGGAAGAAACTACTTTAAAGTTCATATGGAACCAAAAAAGAGCCCGCATCACCAAGTCCATCCTATGCCAAAAGAACAAAGCTGGAGGCATCATGCTACCTGACTTCAAACTATACTACAAGGCTATAGTAACCAAAACAGCATGGTACTGGTACCAAAACAGAGATATAGATCAATGGAACAGAACAGAGCCCTCAGAAATAACGCCACATATCTACAACCATCTGATCTTTGACAAACCTAAGAAAAACAAGCAATGGGGAAAGGATTCCCTATTTAATAAATGGTGCTGGGAAAACTGGCTAGCCATATGTAGAAAGCTGAAACTGGATCCCTTCCTTATACCTTATACAAAAATTAATTCAAGATGGATTAAATTTGCTGTTTCTATAACTCTAAAAATAAATAAGTCATTTAAAAGGAGTCGATTAAAAACGTTGATTTTTCTGGAAACTTTATGCATCTGCAATAAATAATATTGTAGCAATTGTCTGCCTCCACTTTCGGGCAAAATAAATACATTTGGTGACAAAAAAAAGAATAAAAATAAATAGTAGTTGTCTCAACAGATTCTCTAGTCTCTATCTAGATATATAATTAAAACTAAAATCAATTAAAGGAAATCACTTTAAATAGCCAAGACGTACATATCAAGAACCACGAAAACGTTTGCGCATTTTGATTATTAATCCCATTCCTGATAATTAATCTCAAGAAAATAAGAAAAACATAATAGGCACAAAAATATAACAGTATGGTTACTACTGTAGGATAAACTTCTAAATCAGTCCTACTTAAGAGTATTTGCAACTGGTTGACTAAGTCTCTAAGCATACTGTTCAGTCCAATTGACATTTTCATAGCAAGAGGGCCTCAGTGAAGGAAGCACAATATTGATTGACATTCTTCAGCAAGCTCCTTATCTGGTTGCAAAACAGCACTCTAACACTGTGCTAAAGAACCTATGCGTCCAAAATTCAGGCAAGGTTAGGTAACCCGTGATACATTAACTCAGTGAAATACTGTACAATCACACTGACCAAATTATTCTAAACTGCTGAATTATCATAAGGTTCTTAGAAATTAGTCTTGTTAAGCAAACTAGTAAATTTAGAATGAAGAATAGTTGCAAGGACAAAGAAGAAACCATTTGCACAAGCAGACAGTATCACAGTTGTCTCAGCTGACAATTAACTTCCAATGGTAAGAATAAGGAAGTGCTATTTTGGCTTCTCTAGAATAATTTGACCCCAGTCAAGTAATCTTTATCATTTTTGCCCACATGCATGAAACTATGCCATGAAACATACCTATGTTTCTGACCATGATTCCTTTCAGTTCATCCACTTGGGCTTGAGTCTCCATCACTTTGTCTAGGCCCTTATTCTCAGAGTGATGCTTCTATAAGAAAATAAGTTTTAACTTATGGTACCTAGACATTATTTACAATAGGAAAACAAAAATAAGGGGAATGACAATTTACACTGAGGAATGCTATAAAATTATGTCTCTATTGATATAAAAGATACATGTCACTTCACTGGAAAAATGTTACAATACCCAGGAAAAAATATGGGCAGCATAAAAAATGCTTCTATACAAACTATAAGTATGTAGTCTAAAAATTACCTTATTTTAAATAAAATAAAAATAAACATTATATCAAATATACATGTGACTTGTGGGGCAGAGATTGGGGGGGATATATAATCTGTGCTCAGACAAGGAAGAAAGGAGAAAAAGAAGACTGTAGTTGGGGCAGTGGGGGAAAGAATGCTGCAAAATTGTTCCCCACTTCTTGAGTATGATGAGGTAGGGGCTGGCCCAGCTTCTCAGAATCTGTTCTTGTATCTGCCAGGATCACAGCATATAAACTATTTTTATTGGCTTCTCACAGGATCTAGAATCTAAGACACTGATAATATATAGTTTGAAATTATTTATCCATAGCTAGCAATTATGGGGTGCTTAATACACAATGTTCCAGTCATTTCATTGTGTTAAGTGCTTCAAACGGGATATTATTTAATCCACCCCAAAACTCTATGAAACGATGCTATTATCTCTATTTACAGACAAAGGAACAGGTAGAGATTTTGTTCAGAAGGTCACACAGATCTAGAGCTAATGACAAATTGGTTAATTTGAAAGTTTTGTTTCTAGCTGACCCTTTACTTTTGACTAAGTACTGGTATTTTTGTTGTGGGTAGTGTTTTACACAGTTTTACACAGATGAACATTTCCTAGTGGGGAGTATGAAACAAACCAACTGCTTGAATAATAAAGGTTTATAAGTAACCAATTTAAAGGGACTTTATTGCCAGAAGAGTATGTGTGTGCGTGTGTGTGTGTGTGCATAAAATTTAGAAATGTAATACTCAGAGTATTAAAACCACAGGAGAAGTGAAAGTATTCCATTACAATACAGCTTTTTTTTAAACTCACAACAAAATCATAGCTAGAGCTTACGTCTTTATACTCAAATAGTTTCATGGATAAAAGGGAAGCATTTCGAAAGGTGTCTGACATCATGAAAACATAAATTAAAACCACAATGAGATACCATTACACATCAACTGGAATGGCAAAACTTAAGACCACATCAAGTACTGGCAAGGACGCAGAGACACTGGAACTGCTGGTGAGAATATAAAATGGTACAACCACTTTGGAAAAAAAAGTGGTGATTTTTTTTTTTCAATTACACATCACCTACCATATGACCCAGCAATTCCATTCCTAGGTATTTATCAGAGAGAAATAAAAACATATGTCCACACAAAGACTTATACATGGAGGTTAACAGCAGCTTTATTCATGATAGCTGAAAACTGGAAGCAACCCAAATATCCAGCAACAGGTGGATGGATAAACAAATTGTGGTATATGCATATACTACTACTTAGCAAAAAGGGGAACAAACTACTGATTTATACAACATGGAAGAATATCAAGAGCCTTACACTGACTGAAACAAGCAAGACACAAAAAAGTACATACTGTATGATTCCATTTACAGAAAGTTTACATACTGTATGATTCTATTTACAGAAAGTTCTATGAAAGACAAAACTAATTTATAGTGATAGAAAACAGATCCGTGGTTGCCTGGGGCAAAGTGTAGGGGAGGGGACCAACTGGTAAGGGATATGAGGGAACTTTTAGGGTGATTAAAATGCTGTCTTAAGTACAGTGGTATTTCACAGGTATATTCACATGTAAAACCTCACTAAGCTGACAATTAGGGATTCATACAGATGAGGAGAGTTTCAAATTATTAATTTGGGTTGTTAGAAAATTAAATTTCCCTCATGGAAGGGTAGAAGGTTTACGTATAGTTTAAAAGATCATTTGGCATGCTGAACACATTTAAGCATCAGATGGGTAGTTCAACTAGATGATCTTTAATGCTCTTCCAATCATGAGACACTGTGACCACTATTAATAGAGATAATAAAGACTATCACTGTTTTCTACCCTAAAATGGCCCCTTTACATTTTTTTTTTAATCAGGGAAGTTTTATTATGTTGGCTTACAGTAACACAATCAGAAAACTATATTGCAGGTCAGGGCCCCCTAGATTCATAGTGTTTGAAGGTAATGAAGAAGATATAAATCAAAATACCTTATCCTGAGAAAGATCTTACCAGCTGTGCAGCTAAGACACTTGAGAACTCGCTATTCATGGCATATGGAAGTGCTGTCTGTGCTCTTGAACCGTAAGTAGTCTGGAACCTCTTCTTTATCTCATTCAGAAAATTAAAGGCTCGGGAACGTTCAAAATCCTGAAAAGAGATCAACACAGAACTCACATTTAGAAAGTAAACAAAGATGATGTGAGTGATTAAGAACAACAATAAAAAACAGCTAACATTTACTGAGCAATGATTATCTGAGGAGGAACTAGCATTGATCCTATCTTAAAGATAAGTAAAGGAAGGCTCTGAAAAAGTAACTAACTTGTCCAAAGGTCCAACAACTAGTAAATGAAAGAGCTGAGAATGAATCCAGATATATCTGGTCATTGACAACTGAAGATAATGATACCTAGGTTATCAACTTCTTGACATCAGGAATTGAATTTTACTTCCTCCATATATTTCATAAGATCTATTAGAAGGCCCAGCACAAGAATATGTTTAATAAATCCCATAATAATCATAGAGTCTTTCACACATACAGATACTACTACTGATATTAACTTCAAATCGAATTTTTTCAATAGTGGTGGTATATTTGAAAAGATCAAGTGACATACTCATGTCTAATCCCAGCCAGCCAAAAAGTATGTGTGTTCTCTGTAAGAATACCTTAGAGGAAAAAAATGAATGTGTGTATGTGTGTTTATGTATACATGTATATGTGTGTATCAAATTATAGCTCAAGAAATATGAGGCTCGACTCTAACTATCCCAGATTTCATTAGTATTTTCCTTCTATTCCAAGCTGTTTCACATCAGTCATTTCACATATAGCTAGATTTTTTCGTACTTTTGGAAAATATTGTGAAGCCAGAGATAAAAATCATTGTGATGATCACTATGGTTGACAGTCATTTCCCTTTCACCCAAGATGCTTAGTCTAAGCCAAGGGTTCTTAAATTGGGGTCAATGGTCCAAATTCAAGGGGCCTTTGAACTTGGATAGAAAAAAAGAAAATCACATCATTATTTTTATCAATCGTTAACTTATATTTCAATTGTGAATATAGGTTGTATATTCATAATCGGGGTAGTATTAAACAGTACCTGTAACTGTCACCAACAGAAATCTTTTTTTGTATACCATCACAGTTACAGATATCTCAAAATACTGTCAACACCCATCACATCAAGACTATTAGTTATTAGACCTATGACTAGATCTTGTTAATGAGTTCATAAAGAAGCATATATATTACTACATCAAGTTTTTAAAATATTTTGAATACTATATATATATATATTTCAATATAATTGGCTTTGTTAGAATTGTGTGTGTTTTATACATTTAAAAGCATTCTGGAAAAGGAAAATTAAAAAAAGAAAACAAAAACATTCTGGGAGTGTCCCACAAGTGACGAGTCTGTGATACAATAAAGATTAGGAACCCTGATCTATGGCAACCATGCCAATTCCAAGTCTCTTTGCCAGTAGGCAGTTTAGAAATGAGCATGCAGCCAATAAGACATGAAAGGAAGTTCACTTTGAAAGCAGGGGGAGGGGAGGGCATGCAGCTGGGAAAAGCTTCCTCATTCCTACAATAAGACACTCAAGAAGACACAGTCCCTCTACTCCGGACATGAATAAATAAGTATGTAGCTCTACGAAACCATAATGGCAACCTGTCTGGGAAGAAGGAGACACGGAGATAAGCAGAGAAGAGAAAGGACCTTAATGACATCATTAAGTTACTGAGAATTTTGGGCTGAGAGCCGACAAACAGTCATACCTAACCAATGTAAACTACAGGTTTATATAGCTGATCATAATGTATTGTAATTTTGTTTTTCCAAAGTTCACATACATTAAAGGATTCATTAACTACTGATAGAAGAAATGATGCTATCTAATTTAACATTCCACGTAAACAATTTTTGAGAGGTTTTGATATCAAAGAATTATAATTATGAACATCAATTCTCACTACAAAATAGAATAAATATAGAAGTTGCAAGAGGCTAAGCTAAAACTCTACCAAAATTGAGTTGATTTGCACATACCCCAGTATCAAGTTTTCTTAACATTTGCTGCTCTATATGACAAATGCAAAATATTAACAATTCCAGCTATGTAAAGTTCGCATCACGTTTGCCCACTATAGGTACAGATCAGCAGTCCCCAACCTTTTTGGCACCAGGGACCGGTTTTGTAGAAGACAATTTTTCCAAGGACTGGGGGAGGGTGAATGGTTTCGGGATTAAACTGTTCCACCTCAGATCATCAGGCATTAGATTCTCCTAAGGAGCATGCAATTTAGATCCCTCGGATGCAGAGTTCACAACAGGGTTCACACTCATATGAGAATCTAATGCTGCTGCTGATCTGACAGGAGGCAGAACTCAGGTGGTAATGCTCATAGGCCACTCACCTCCTGCTATGTGGCCTGGTTCCTAACAAGCCACAGACCTGTACCGGTCTGCAGCCTGGGGGTTGGGGACCCCTGGTATAGATAATTAAGAACTGGCTGTATTAACAGTACACATAGTTAAATAGCAATATGTCTTCAAGTTACTTACATCATCAGTGATACAAAGATATACAATCCTGTCTTGGCAGATGTAATGAAACAAATAACTGTAGAATAAAAGATATAAAACTTACTGTGGTTATAAGCAACATCACTTTTACTTCTATCTTCTATCTATGTATAAGCACGTTCAGTACTGCCAATGTCACCATATTACTTACGGATACAGTCTCTTCTCCCTCTTCCCCTTCCCAATATACCTGTTTCTTTCAAGTCAAACTGATAGAAGTACATAAGAAATAAAAAGATCTCTATTCTAGCTACATAGCACAACAGCATGTGTATTACCCATTAGAACGATAGCTGCAAAAGCATAATTGGACTCTTAAAGCATGAACAAGAGATGACATCTTAGGAGGAGGATGTAATTAAGATTAACCCCCAATAGGCCATATGGTTTTCTTTGCTTTTTCCTAAGTTCTTAAAGCAAACATCTTTTCTACCAAATTCTCAACATTTGAGTATCCACTTTGAGTTAGTTACTGTGCTGGATGCTGAGGATACAAAAAAGCAAAACCACCAAGTCCCAGTCTTCATAGGGATCACAGTGTAAGGAATTACAGTGCAGCATGGCAAACAGGATGACAGGAAAGTTAAAGGCAGTACATGGTGCTCTGGGGACACATTAATAGATGAGGCACGAAATGGAGATTTGCCAAAGGGTAACCAGAAAGACTTCCCAGAACAAGTGATGTCTGATTTAAGACCTGAAGAATAAGTAACAGATGGCAAGGTAAAGAGTGAGCGAAAGGCCAGGCGTGGTGGCTGGCTCATGCCTGTAATCCTAGCACTTTGGGAGGCTGAGGCGGGCAGATCGCTTGAGCTCAGGAGTTCAAGACCAGCCTGGGCAACATGGCAAAACCCCGTCTGTACACAAAATACAAAAATTAGCCAGGTGTGGTGGCACACGCCTATAGTCCCAGCTACTTGGGAGGCTGAGGCAGGAGGATCGCTGGAACCCAGGAGGTTGAGGCTGTAGTAAGCTGAGATTGCGCCACTGCACTCCAGCCTGGGTAACAAAGTGAGACCTTGTTTCAAAAAACAACAACAACAAAAAAAAGTGAGCAAAGAGTTTTTCCAGAGAGGAAGCAGCAAGCATAAGGGCCTAGAGGTAAAACAGCACCTAATAGATTTAGGAAAGTAAAATTGGCTCACATGACTAGAGTACAGAATGTGAAGAAAAAGTGAATTATCTGGACAGACAAGACTGGAGAAGTAAGCAAAAACCAGGTTATACAAGACTTTATAAACCACACTGTGCATTATCCTAAGAATAATGAATAAACATCCAAAAGTTTTAGCCTAGGGAGGGTGTGATCAGATTTGCACTTTAAAAAGGACACATTAAAAAAAAAAAAAAAAAAAAAACAAAGGACACATTGGCTAGAGTGCGGAAAACTGACTCAAAGGAGGACCAGACAGGAGACTACTGCAGTATACCGGGTAAGAAATGAGGAGGGAAATAAACTAAAGTAGAATGGGTAATAAAGAAAAAGGGACAGAGAAGAGATAGGAGGCAGCATTTATAGAACTTGGTGACTGGCGTGAGACAGGTTAACTAAATTTTGCCTCCCACATTTGTACCTTGGGCAAGTGGATAGATAGGGGTACCTGTTGAATTATATTAATGTTCACAGAGGACTGACATGAATTACAAGGAGATACAGGAACTCAGGCAAAATCTTTTCCTCCAATACTCTAAAACTATTTGCACCATTTCCACCAATGACTTCCACATTGCCATATCCAGTGGCTCTCTCTGAAACATATGATAGTGTTGACCACTTCCTTTTGGAAAGTGTTTTATCTTCACTAGATTTCTTGACATCAGGCTTGCCTGGTGCTATAGACTGAACTGTGTCCTTTCAAAATTCATATGTTACAGTGTGACTATATTTGGAGACAAGGCCTTTGGGAGGCACTTAAGATTAGATGAGGTCATGAGGGTGGGGTCCTCGTGATGGGATTAGTGGCTTTAAAAAAGAGGAAGAAAAAGATCACTCTCTTTCCACCACCTGAGAACACAGCAAGAAGGTGGCCATCTGCCAGCCAGGAAGAAGGCCCTCATCAAGAACTGAATTAGCGGGCACCTCACGCAGTCTCCAGAACTGTGAGAAACAAGTATCTGTTGTTCAAGCCACTCAGTCTATGGTATTTTGTTATAGCAGCCCAAGCAGGCTAATATACCTGGTTTATATCATAGTCCCTTTCCCTCTACACTAACGTTTTCTAGCTTCCTTAGCCTCCTGCTTTTTTCACACTTACTTACTCCCTGGAGGGCAGCATGCACTCTCATGTTTTGTTGTAGTTTGTTTTCAGCTACCACAATTATGCCAATGATTCCCAAATCTCCATCTGACCTATCTCCTGAGCTCCAGGACTACCTACACTACTGTCTACTAGACATATCCAACTGGACATACCATAGACAGCTTAAACATGACATGCCCAGAATGAAAGTCATCACTTTCCCCATAAAATTTGTTTCTCCTAAACCAGACTTGTAAGTCACTTGGTGCACAGGCCACAAAAGGTAACAAGGTATGATCCCTGCCATCAAGAAGCCTACAGTCAGGGTACAGAAATAAACAATCATTTCAATTATAATACAGTCTGAGGCCAGGCACGGTGGCTCATGCCTGTAATCCCAGCACTTTGGGAGGCCGAGGCGGGCGGATTGCCTGAGGTCAGGAGTTCGAGACCTGCCTGGCCAACATGGTGAAACCCCATCTCTACTAAAAATACAAAAATTAGCCAGGCGTGGTGGCACACGCCTGTCATCCCAGTTACTCGGGAGGCTGAGGCAGGATAATCACTTGAACCCAGGAAGTGGAGGTTGCGGTGAGCTGAGATTGCGCCATTGCACTCCAGCCTGGGCAACAAAAGCGAAACTTCGTCTCAATAATAATAATAATAATAATAATAATACAGTGTGAAAAGTGTTACAATATGAACAAACTAGATGCTATGTAGACACATAAAAAGAGTGTCTGATTGCGGTGCCTGACTCAGTGTTAATGTTCAGGGGTTTCTGGAAAAGGAAACATCTAAGCTCAGGCACACAAAGTGAGATTTTTAAAAAATTAAGTAGATAAATATATTCCAGTAAAAGGTAACAGCTATTGCAAAGGCTAGGAAGAGAGAAAGAACCTAGCATTGAATTGTAAATGGCTAAGTATGAAGTATGGCTGGAAAGCAAAACTGAGGACTAAAGTAGTAAAAGATGAGCCCACAGAAGGAAAAAGTGGCAGATCTTGAAGAATATTCCAAGTCCCGTTAAGGAATTTTACCTTGAGGGCAGACAGTATCTGTTGAAGGAAGGAATATGATCAGAACTGCCCTTTTAGAAGCATTAAAGTACAAATTAAGAAAGTATTTCGCTTGGGACCTGTAAAGTGAGCAAAAGTTTACAAGGAGGCTTAGGGGGAGAACAGCATTCCTAGAAGATAACAAAAGCATGAAAAAAAGGTACCAAAGCTCGAAATAACACAGCTAGATCAGAGACACAGGCAGAGAGGCATGGCAGACAGATAACATCTCCTTCTACTATAACTGCATTTTAATTGGATTACATATTCTATACTCTCTTAAAGCTACATATGGCTGTGACTAAATTCTGGCTCATAATACATGAGTGGAAGATATATGCCCTATTTCCCAGTCTTGCCTCTAAAAGGACGACTACATGTGCTTTCCCTGGACATTTTCCCAGGAACTGCCTAGAAACACAAAGACTGTAAGTCTAATACATTTTTAGAGAAAGTATAAAGCCAAAATCATAAGAAGCTAAGATTATTTAACCCCTAACCTCTAGGCCCACAAACCTACGCTGGCAGCAAGAGGACTACAAAATGGGTACAATTCCCAAAGATGATATACTCTCTAACTACCATTTTGGATGTGGCCAGAAAGGAAAAACTTCCTGGAGAACAAAGCCAGGAGTCAGGGAAAAAGGGTGAGGGAGTTCCTCCAAGAAAGCAGAACCACTAACCACTTCCTGGTCAGAATAGGGAGTCTTTGAAATTGTGTGAGGCAATTATTTGATCATTACTGGAAAGCAATGACTTCTACATGTTTCTCATTCTTCCCTTTTCCAAATGGGAGTTTGTAACTCTCACTGTGATGATCCTTTTCTTATTTCACCATTGTCTACTGGGTTAGGCTGGGAAAGCAGGGAAAACATATGACTTATCTTTTACTTTATGGTCAGTGGACCACAGGAGCCACACCAGGGCCTGATGGATAGGACTGTGTACCACCTAGACATGCTGGACTTGGAGCCAAACACAGTGACTAGATAGGTCTTTGGAGCTACCTCTCTCAGAGAAGAGGCGTATTCTATGTTTGGGAAGAAAGGTTCACTGAAATATCTGGGTGGCCAGGAGAGTAGACTGGAAGACTGCAAGTCATCCCCTGATATCCTATAACTTCCTCCAGAGTAACAGAGTTTTAGTTGAGCCTACGACTACATAGCCAGAGATGACAATTCCTGGCCTCCCTTCTAGCTATGCTAGCTACATGACTGTGTAGTGAACAGTAAGATGTAAGTGGAAGCTTCTCAACAATATCAGGCCACTTCTGGGCCCTGCCTTTAAAATTACTGGGCAAGCACTGGGATATAACAAGCACCAAAGGAGCTGCCTTGGCCAGAAGTGGAAAGCACTAATTGCTTTGGGAATTAGGGAATTGGAAATGGCAGAGCCACCCCAACATCCCAAACCACTCATCTCTGGACTATCTCATTAAAATTAATACTGTATCTTGGGGGTCTCTCTCATAGTAGCTTAGAGTACACCTTAAACTGTATAAGGGGTTAGCCATAGAAAGTAATAAGGACCTCATTCTGAGATAAGAACTAAGGAAGTAAGGCTGGGTTAAGTAAGAAAAGATTTTTAAGTGCCAACGGGGAAGGTTGAGGCACTTTTTAAAACTAATTACTAAGATTTCCCAACTATGGCCACTCTAATAAGCCACCAGAGTGATCTTTCTAAAGCAAAAACTGACTGAAGGGCCAGGGGCAGTGGCTCACGCCTGTAATCCCAACGCTTTGGGAGGCCAAGGCAGGCGAATCACCTGAGGTCAGGAGCTTGAGACAAGCCTGGCCAACATGGTGAAACCCCAACTCTACTAAAAATACAAAAATTAGCTGGGCATGGTGGTGCACGCCTGTAATCCCAGCTACTCAGGAGGCTAAGGCACGAGAATCATCTGAACCTGGGAGATGGAGGTTGCAGTGAGCCAAGATCGCACCACTGCACTCCAGCCTGGGTGACAGAGTGAGACTCTGTTTCTAAATAAATAAATAAATAAATAAATAAAACAAACCTGACTCTGTCACACCCTGGCTGAAAACCTTCAATGCCTTTCCACTGCCCACAAGGTAAAGTCCAAGCTCTTAATATGGCCTACAAGGCCCTACATGACTTTTCTTCTACCCATCTCTCTAGCTTTATTTTCACCATCCTGGGCACCAGTCACAGAGAACAGTCTGCAGTTCCCTAAATATGCCCGCCCTATGATCTCATGCCTCCATACTTCTCTACCTGCTGTTCCTTCTACTTGGAATACCATTCTCCTATCTACTACTTCCCATCCCCCCAACCCTTGACATCGTGGATTTGACTTTCTCCCTCATTAAACTATAACCCTTATGAGGGCAAATACCACATATCTTGTTATATCCCCAGCACCAAGCAAAGTGCCTGGCAATAGTTAAGTGCTCAGTAAATATTTACTGAAAGAATGAACAAAGGAACATTATCTATCTTATCTGAATTATTTTCACATATCACACAGCTCTAGAGCAAAGTCATTTTTACATTTAACATTTCATCTTTCTTCAAAATAAAATATCACTTCAATAATAGAATAAAATAATTACAAGTTAAATTTATAAGTAACAAAACCAGATATATTTTCTAAGTTGGTGAAGGTTACTATTCTGTCAGCTTATTCAAATTATGTACCTAGAAGCTTGTTTTCTACTTTTCTACCGTTCTGATTAGAGTAACAGAATTCCCTTCTTTCATCCCTTACCACATGCAGAACAGAACTCACTTGCCATGTGAGTACGTTAGTTTGTTATTTTCAGAAGGTATCTTAGCCAGAATCTGCTCTGTCACCTCCAGGAAGTTTCCTCCACACCAAGCATGTTTGGCAAGGATAGTGGTCCCCCTGGCAACAACAGCAAAAAGAATCGCCATGGCTTCAGTCTATCAAAAGGAAAAAGACACAGATTTAGAATATTTCTTTGACATAATCTTTCAAAGGTAACTTACTATCATTTATCAACATACTACCTGGAGATAGTATCTAACGAGGCACTATAACATGAAACTTAACAACAGACTTAAGAGCAGGCTTAAAAAGAAGGTCAAAGTTTTCTACAAACTTACAACCTAAGCCATGCTTGTATGCATTCATATAAAGAGACATACAAAACACATACACACACACACACACCATTGATAGCTTGCATTTACAAATTATTATAGCACAAACAGATATCACCCTTTTGAAAAGCAATGACTATAGATAGCAAAGGGACATAAAGATGTCTTCATTCTTTAATGTAGAAATTCCATCCTGAAAATTTATCCTAGAGAAATAGTTCAACAGAAGTTAAGACTCTAGATTCACAAAGATAACTATTAACAATAAAAATAGCCTATATTTATTGTTTACTATGTGCCAGGTACCATTTTAAATACTTTATAATTATTAATCCATTTAATCCTCACAACTCAATGAGATTATACACTATTATGATACTTCTATTATAGATGAGAAAACTGAAGCACAGATGACTTAAATAATTTCCCCCAAATTACAGAGCTAGTAAGTGTGGAGCTGCAATTTAAACCTAGGCAGTATGGTTCTAGAGCTCATAATCTTAGCCTTTTACTGTACACTGCCAGTATAAAGGCATTATCCATAACAGAAACAAAGTGAAAATAACTCAAAGCTTCCACAAGAAAGGAATGGTAAGACCCTTCATAAACAAAACATTACTAAAACCATATGGCATGAGTTTAAGATTATTTTCCTTATGTCTGCCTATGAATATGTGCTATTATTTCCCACCTAACAAGCCCAGCTTCTCTTATTTAATGGCATAAACATAAAAAGAGATGAACAAATCCTTGTCTAGTCTTCGATTAACTGTTAAACCTACTCTTATTTGTTAACATGCTCAGTACCCAACATACCAGTGGTTCTCAAACTGTAGTGGGAATACGAATCATCTTGTGTGGCAGAGTATGAGTCATTTGCTAAAAATTCAAACTCTTGGCATCACTTCCTGAAATTCTGATTCCGTAGGCCTGAGGTAGGGCCCTGGAATCTGTATTTAATACAAGTCTGTCTGGATGCAGGTGATTCACACAAACATACTTTGTGAAACACAACAGCAAACTATAAACTGTTTGAGATCAAGGAATGTGCAGATTCCTTATTGCAATCCCAGCATGGAAGGACAGCACACAGAGCAGAAGGTGCTCATCTGTCTCTTGGGCTGAATGCCTTTTGGGGATCTCTTTTTCATTCCTACTCTCTAACTGAAGTTGTTCCCCAGGGTTGTGATCTCAACCATCTTCTTTCTAGAATTCTCCTTACACATATGCAGTAAGTTATAGTTTCCAAATTGCTGTCTTATACTTTATCTCCCTTGATCCTAAAGCCTCCCTAACTGTGGATCCTACTGTTCTGTTTCTTTTCTTTTTTTTTTTTTTTTGAGACAGGGTCTTGCTCTGTCACCCAAGCTCCAGGCTAGAGTGCAGTGGCACAATCTTGGCTCACTACAGCCTCCACTTATCAGGCTCAAGTGATCCTCCTACCTCAGCCTCTGGAGTATCTGGGACTACAGGTGTGTGCCACCATGTCCGGCTATTTTTGTATTTTTTTTTGTACAGACAGGGTTTCACCATGTCACCCAGGCTGGTCTTGAACTCCCGGGCTCAAGTGATCCACCTGCCTTGGCCTCCCAAAGTGCTGGGATTACAGGCATGAGCCACCGTACCTGGCCCTGTTCTGTTTCTTCAAAGCATCGTTACGCATTATCTCTGCTCCTCTGCCTCCTTTCAACTCTTCTACTTACTATAATCCAGCTTTTGCCCTTAAAACTCCAGAAAACCATGCTTCCTAAGGTCACCAACAGCCTCTATATTGCAAAATACAGTGGTTGCTTCTCTATTCTTACCTTACTTGACCTCTTAGGCACAGTCAACACTGCTGACCGACCCTCCTTCTTGAAATGCTCCTACATCTCTGGCTGCTCTTTTTGTCTTCTTGCTGACTCTTCCTCCTCTACCTGACCTCTAAATGTCGACTTTCCTCCGGGACTGATTCTGTGCCCTTTTATTCCCAGATGAGCTCAGTTAGATCTGCCATTTTAAACATGATTTATTTGCTGAAGATATATTGCATACAGAAAAAAAAAATAGTGCCAAAGATAAAACCCAAAGCACAACCAACAGTTGAGGGAAAGGTAGATAAATAGAGACTCACAAAGACTGAGGAGGACCAAATGGGAAAGCCAAAAGTGTGGTGGCCCAGAAGCCGAAAGGAAAGAAAGAGAATGAAGACTGTAAAACAATCAGTGAAATTTTATAACAAGGAAGGAGGTCATTGCTTAGGGTCAAAGAGACACAGTAGAGAGGAACAAAAACACAAAGAGAAACAGAGATAAGAAATCATATGGTCCCTGGAACAGAGAGATGAAAAAGTAGCAGCAGCCTCAGTCCCTGTGCAGGTTCAGAAGGAAACTTGACCTTGGCAACAATTAATACAAAAAGATCTAGTGTTTCAGTGGACTGTAAGTTCATTATGAACCAACGGTATGCGATATTGCTTAAAAATGCTTACATAATCTCAAAGTACATTAAGAAATAGGGTGTCTTGACCTGTTTAAGTACTAGTCCCATTACACTCTGTGCTGGTTAGAACATATGTAAAATACTGAATTCAATTCTGGGTAGAATATTTAACGACTAGACAAAAGGGAGGCAATACAATATGGGTGAGAGACATGGAGATTGTGTCATCTGAAGACTGGCTGGAGGAACTAGAGATATGTAACATGAGAAAGAGAGGACTTAGAGGGAACATGACAATAGTTTTTGAGTTTATATAAAGTACAGTCACCTGGAACAGGGAGCACATTATTCAGAATATAACTAGGAACAATGAATATAAGTTATACGCAAGTAGTGTTTCTTCCAATAAAAGCAGTCCCCAACTTAAAAATGACTGTTAAACAGTGGGTACATAGCAACAGAAACTTTACTTTCCTTCCAGATGTCACTAATAGGAATTCCTTCCTCTCTGCTATACTGCTAAAAATCCCACCTATGAAGTCTTACCTGCCCCCATTGTAAGTGTCTTGTAATAGAATCCATAACGTCTTGATGAGTATTGGGATAACAGAAACAATTGTGGCACAATGAACACTGCACTTGAAGTTAGAAAACCTGGCTCTGCTAATTATTAGCAGTATGTAAATGCCTAATAAACCATAAAGTGCTATATAAAGATAAGATCCAAGAAGAAAAAGAATGAAAAGATAAGCCAGAGAGAGAAGGGAAGAAAAAAAGATAATGCAACATAAAGGAAAGCCCCATATCAACACTGTTCCTCTTTGTTCTCCTATTCACTCCCCACTTGGTCCCACAGCCACCATCCCAATTCTACTTTATTCCTGCTAAGAATCCTGTATTAGTTTCTTGTAGCTGCAGTAATAAAGTACCAAAAACTTGGTTGCTTAAAACAACAGAAATGTATCGCCTACCAGTTCTGAGGGTTAAAAGTCCAAAATCAAGATGTTGGCAGGGTTATGCTCCCTCTGAAACCTGTAGAAGAGAATCTTTCCTTATCTCTTTCTAGCTTCTGATAGTTTGGTGGCAATCCTTGGTGTTCCTTGGCTTGGAGGTGCAGCACTTCAATCTTTACCTCTGTAGTCACATGGTGTTCTCTGTATCTGTGTCTTCACACTGCATTCTCTCTGTCTCTCTTCTTTTATATGGATGCCAGTCATATTGGATAAAGGGCCCACTCTACTCCAGTATGACCCCATTTTCAATTACATCTTAATTACATCTGCAAAGATCCTATTTCTAAATAAGATCCCATTCACAGGTACCACGGGTTAGGACTTCAACACAGCTTTCTGGAGGACACAATTCAACCCACAACAAACCCCCATTTTAAACTGATACTACACCTGATCTTAGCCAAAAGGCTGACAAGCAATGCAAACTTCCATTTTAGAAACTCACTGTTCATCCCAAATAAATCCTACCCTTCCCTTTCCAGATACTCATATCACCCAACTTGCCTCCCTCTCTAAAACCTCTGTCCCTTCGTTTTCCTTGCTCATATTGGAGGACTGTCCTTAGAGCTAAGGGCTAGAAGGGTCACCCACAACAGTTTGGAGTTAGAAAAGCCTGTTTTTACTATGTTAAGGGACTAAAGAAAGGATATTTTTGTTCTAGTTGTTGGGTTTCTAAAAAAAGATATGCTATAAGGGAATTCAAATGAGAATTATAAATGCAGTTTTTTAATAGAGGAATTATTGTAAATTGTGGGGAAGGTCTTCGAGTCCACTAAATTAAAAGTTAATAAAATGATACTGGTTGGCATAACAGTGTAAATGTCATGGATAGCATTATTTATAGAAGGAAATGCATCCAGCGTTCCAAACAATAAGCTTACAACAGTACTTTTAGAATATATCCATTTGTAAGTAAGAAATTGCCTGTATTAAAAAATTTGGTAATAACATAGAACAGCAATGATGAAAATGCTCCTCCTCAGCAGAAGCATCTTCAAGTAGAGGCTGAAGACAGTTTCAGGTAACTGAGTAAGGGGAAAGGCCAAGTCCATGTGTTTTGAGAAATCTTTTAATTCTGCATTTGTATTTTGATAACACTGAAAAATGTATAAGAATATTCTGGATCATCTACATGTGTATCTTATAAACGAGCAATGGCACACAATTCAGTGCTGCACTTGCATTCCTGTCTATAAAGAAATAGGTGTCAATAAATCACCTAAAATAACAATGCTTAATGTTTACATCTTAGAAGTATCTGGCTGATCTTAGGTTGGCACATCCTAAATTCACGACAGTCATGACTCAAGCACTCTTGTACTGCTGTTGTTTTTAATCAGTTATAAAGACAAAATTTGTCTTTTGCAGTAATGATTTACAATTGAAAGATACCTGCATGGAATAAGACTTTAATTTTGGCTGGGCGCAGTGGTTCATGCCTGTAATCCCAGCACTTTGGGAGGCTGAGGCGGGCGGATCACCCAAGGTCAGGAGTTCGAGACCAGCCTGACCAACATGGAGAAACCCCGTTTCTACTAAAAATACAAAATTAGCCAGGCGTGGTGGCGCACGCCTGTAATTCCAGCTACTTGGGAGGCTGAGGCAGGAGAATCGCTTGAACCCGGGAAGTGGAGGCTGAGGTGAGCCAAGATCATGCCATTGCACTCCAGCCTGGGTAACAAGAGCAAAACTCTGTCTCAAAAGAAAAAAAAAAGTTTAATTTTAATACTTGAGGCTTTTATCTGACATCCTGAAAATGACAATGTGGCAGAATAACATTACCACTTAAATTACCTCAGGCTGAGAAAGTAATACTCAAAGATGTGTTTCTTGGCCGGGCATGGTGGCTCATGCCTGTAATCCCAGCACTTTGGGAGGCCGAGGTGGATCACCTGAGGTCAGGAGTTCGAGACCAGCCTGACCAAAAATGGTGAAATCCCGTCTCTACTAAAAATACAAAAAAAAATTAGTCAGGCGTGGTGGTGTGCACCTGTAATCCCAGCTACTCAGGGGGCTGAGGCAGGAGAATTGCTTGAACCTGGGAGGCGGAGGTTGCAGTGAGCCGAGATCGCGCCGCTGCACTCCAGCCCAGGCAACGGAGTGAGACTCCGTCTCAAAAAAAAAAAAAAAAAAAAAGATGTGTTTCTACCAAGTAGAAACCAAATGATACCAAAACATGCTGTGTGAACAGAGGTTATACAACTGTTCAAATAAAGTAGTAGAATTAACTCATTACATAGCACATGGTGATAGTCAATGCAAAATCTTTAAAAAGTATTCTGTATCATTATATTATTGCAGTAGGATCTATTACATTAATTCTTGCAAGAGTTCATTGGCAGAATGTTTCATAGGAAATATAAAAAGGAAATTAATTTTTTTCCACCCCTGTATCATGAGCAGATTATTAAATTAACTGGCCCACCAAATTAATGGAGGGAGGTACACAAGGTGCTTGGGAAGAGATGGGAGATCCTTTTAGGAGGGATGGATGGAAGAAGAGAAGGCACTGAGAGCAAGGTAAAGAAGGTACATAAGCTAGCCTGATAAGATGGAATGGTCCACCTTTGGTGAATGAGAAGGTTGAGGAATACGGCTGATGGCCTTACATAAAGAAGGCCTTGTATAAATCATGTCATTTAAATTTGATCAAATAGGGAGTCTATTTCAGTTCAACACGTATATACTGGTGGGTTACTATATGACAGTCAAAGTAGACACTAGAGGTATAAAGTTAAGGAAGAAGGGACTCCTATACTTGAGGGAGCCATAGAACAATGGGGAAGACAGATATAAATAAATGCAATAAAGTATAATAAGTGAATAATCTAAGAATGTCCGCAATTGCTCAGGAAATGTCTTAATGTTTTGTGATGATCTCACCTCGGATGAAGAACAGGAATGCAGGTGTCAGCCTATGCCTTAGAAATTTCCTCAGTATACTGTTAGGATTATTTCTCCTTGGAAGAGAGGTCAAAGTGTCTATTTTACCCTATTTTCCCAGTGCTCAGCACAGTGCCTACCATCTAATATTCCCTCAAATATCTGTTGAATAAATGAGTGAACATTGAGCATATTTTGGTTTTAAAATATACTATAAATGGTAGATAACTTTATATTCAGAAGGACCTGGTAAGAATAATATTTTCACAACCAAACTATCTTTCTAAGTAAGATAAAGCAGTTGAGCTAATAGTAATCCAATCCCCCACTCTTCTCTCTGGGTCTTAGAAGGAATAAACCAACTACAGATAAACCATGAATTCTGATGCAATAACCTTGGAGGAGATAGAAGAATGAAGAATAAACACTGCTTAGACAGGGGAAAAGAAGAGGTGTTTACGAAAAGTCATGTTACAGATCAAGATTATTCCTGTTGGTATTACAACTATTCTTTCTGGACGATGCCCTGACCTCTGACTTTCTTAGGATAGGATCCCATCCTTTCAAGTCAACCACCTGTTTTATTTTGCATTAACCAATATATAACATAATCCTGATTATTCCTGTTTTCCCCTCTAGACACAAACATGTAAGTTCCTGAGAGTAGCAACCTCCTAAGTCTTGTTTACAGCTGTATCCCCTGCACTTAAAAGAGTGTCAAGCATATACCAGCCGTTCAATAAATATTTGTTAAATGTATGAATGGATCTGCTCTCAGCCACAGGTATTCAAAGGGAATTAATATCCTAAACATGACTGTATCCTCTGGGATCAAGGGAGGGATAATGGAGATACAGGTAGTTGAAAGCAATTAATGAGGCCAAATGAAGACAGTTGGTTGGTTGTGAGAGTTATGGGAGACGGAGATGTAAAGCATTTACCAAAGTACGCAGTCAGAATTTGATAAACATTGGCCATTAATAAAAACACCAAACAGGTCTGAAGCTGAGGAAACGGGTCTAGGCAGAAATACAGTCCCTGAACAGAGGAAGAAGGGGACTGTCAATACTGAGCAGTGGAGGAAGGGCGAATAAGGGGCTAGGAACCCACGAAGGAGCATAAACAGCCAGAAGTAGAAGGTGAAGCAGAAAGTGACGTCATCGAACAAGGACGTAGAGAGTTTTTAGAAGACTCTGGCGATCTCAAGAGATTTAAATGCTACAGAAAGGTCTTGTAGAATACAAACTGAGAGAAAGTTAACATTTTTTCCCTCCTGTAATGACAGCTTAAGTGACGCATTCTGACACTCTTTAACTCGAGGCCTTTCCAGTGGCATAAGACGCACCTCGCCAAAACTGGTCCTGCCCGACAACTGGAACTGTCGACACCAGAGAAGCCCAAGTCACCCCTGCACTGCCTCCTCGCTCCACCCCAGCACCTTTCCATCGACACCTCCGCCCTCCCTCCGCAGTTCTCTCCCCGCCTCCCGCAGGCGCACCCCACTCCATTTACCTGTCCGGGCACCCTCTGAGGGCGCGCGGGCTCGGGACGGAGGGACGCGGGTCAGTGCAGGGTCGCCAACTGCCCGCTCCCAGAGGAGGCTGGGACCGGACGCCGCTGACTTCCGCATGAAGCGCCCCGTCTACGCGTGGCCTCTTGGGAGTGGGAGCGCTCCTCCAATGGCAGCAGGCGACACGGCTAGGCCTGCTGCGTTCCCAGCCCCCCGCACTTCCCAGGAGCCGTACTGCATTCTGGGAGTAGTAGTTCCGGTTGGAGTATCACTGAGTGTTTCACGTTCGTTCGACAGCTCTTGTGGTAAACAGCGTCAAATGCCGTATAGGGATCCAGGAAAATGAGAGGATGCAGGCTAGATAAAGAATCTACCAGCAATGAGTAGGCGGCATAAATGAAGAGCCAAGCTTGCCCCGTCTCTCCTGCTTAGTCTCAGTAGGCAGCGTCGCCCGTTTCCTCACAGACAAAATAGAATTCATCTGACAGGAACTGCCTCTACTTTCGCCATGAAATTTTCTAATTTTCTTGTACCCCTCACCAATCCTTTCTCCTATTCTTTTTGCAATAATAATAATAATAAACGACTACTCTCCTTTGATCTAAGCCAGCCCTCTTCCATCTCTATTCCCTGTTGCCGACTCAGAGTCAAGCTCCTCTGATGAACCCTTCCGTTGCATGACTCCTCAACGGCTCTCTGCTAACTCGCTCTTTACTATCAGGACTTAAAGGCTGTCAAAATTTCTCTCATCTAAAACATTCCAAAGTCACCTTTCTTAACCCCATACCCCAAGCCCCCTCATCAAACACAGACCAAACACAGATAAGCTAGTGGTCTTTCTCTCACCTCTCCTTTACAGACAGAATTCTCAACAGTGTTGCTAAAACAAATAGATACTTTTAAGCCATTACCGTATTTCAACTCTGCAGGACTTTAGTTTCATTATTCCTTTTTTTTTTTTTTTTTTTTTTGAGATGGAATCTCACTCTGTTGCCCAGGCTGGAGTGCAGTGCCGCGATCTCGGCTCACTGCCAGCTCCGTCTCCCGGGTTCAAGCGATTCTCCTGCCTCAGTCTCCCAAGCAGTTGGGACTACAGGCGTGCGCCACCACAGGCAGCTAATTTTTTATATTTTTAGTAGAGACGGGGTTTCACCATATTGGCCAGGCTGGTCTCGAACTCCTGACCTCATAATCGACCCGCCTCAGTCTTCCAAAGTATTGGGATTACAGGCATGAGCCACCACACACGGCCCTTATTCCCTCCTTTTTGAACCCCTTTATTCTGTTAGCTCTTTCCAAGAACTACACCCTGCTGGTTCTCCTCCCACCTCTGTGGCAGCTCTTCATTTTCTTTAGAAATGTTCACATTCCATAGGGTTCTGCCCTATGCCATCTTCTCTTCTTACTCTTCACACTCTTCCTGGTGATCTTAATCATTCCCCTTGCTTTATCTCCCCTTTGCAAAGGTTCGCATTTGGTATTAATATCAACTTAATTATATTGTATTCAATATCTATTCTTTAAGAGGCAGCATAGTATCCTAGAAAAAGAATGAGTTTTAGAGTCAGAGAGATCTGAGTTACTAAGCTGTGTGAACTCTAAATATCGCCTCTCTTTAGAGCTTTCAGGACTCTAGCAAAGCCCCCTCTTACTCCATATTCTCTCCTAAAGTAATCTTATTTATACCCTAAAATTTGTAGTGTAATTATCTGGCCATGTAAGATGTGCCTGCTTCCCGTTTGCCTTCCACCATGATTGTAAGTTTCCTGAGGCCTCCCTGTCAGAGGTATGTGAACCAGAACAACTTTGTCTTGAATAGGAGCTGGGTAAAATAAGGCTGAGACCTACTGGGCTGCATTCCCAGACAGTTAAGGCATTCTAAGTCGCAGGATGAGATAGGAGGTCAGCACAAGATACAGGTCATAAAGATCTTGCTGATAAAACAGACTGCAGTAAAGAAGCCAGCCAAAACCCACCAAAACCAAGATGATGACGAGAGTGAATGTACACAGGCTAATTTCCTTAATATGGTTATTTTCAGCATCTAGGGTTACCATAGTGAATGGTGGGGCACTGATAAACATGGCTATCTAGACATTTAGAAATAGCTCCTGTATAAGTGTTCATCCTAGGGCTGGCAAATGCAGACCCTAGAAGGGCAGGCCAGGAAAGCCCTATATTCCAGTGGGACAGCAGAAATATTTGCCTCCTGGCAATTGGATCAAGATTGGATCCTGGCAATTGGATCAGGGTTTGCCTCCTGGCAATTGGATCAGGAATCTGATCCAGTTCTCCCTTGATGGGACTGAAGTAAGTTACTAAATCTTGGAGCCTTAGTTTTCTCCCCTGTAAAATGGAGATAATTCTATCCACCAAGCCCTAGCACGATCAGATGAGATAACAGAGATGAAAGCAGTCTGTTGACTTTTAAAGGGCTGCCAGATGTTCTAAATTATTACTATGCTAGGCAGTGCTGCAAATATGCATCTTAGATTTAGCAGTTTGTCCTCTATCCTACTTATTTTTATTTTATTATAAGTTCTGGGGTACATGTGTAGGATGTGCAGGTTTGTTATACAGGTAAATGTGTGCCATGGTAATTTGCTGCACCTATCAACCCATCACCTAGGTATTAAAGCCCAGCATGCATTAGCTATTTTTCCTGATGCTCTCCCTCCCCCAACCCCACCCCGACAGGCCCCAGTGTGTGTTGTTCTCTTCCCTGTGTCTATGTGTTCGCATTGTTTAGCTCCCACTTACAAGTGAGAACATGCAGTGTTTGATTTTCTGTTCCTGCATTAGTTTGGTGAGGATAATGGCTTCCAGCTTCACGTGATGTGTTATTTTGTGGTTTACAAACAAATCTAGTGATTCTGTTGCTTTTGAATCAAAATCACATGATTGCAGTGTATCACTGATTGCCATTGCTGTTCATGCTTCTTTTCTCCTGGATGTTTGGACTTAGGCAACTTTTCTTCCTCTTATACTATGCTGAAAACAGACCTACATCAAGGATACCTGTTCTCTTTTGAAATTCACAATCCGTAGAGGGAACTAACACATTATCAATAGCTATAAAATAATTGACATTTGAGTATGGGACATATTTTTGGTTGCAGCTTATTCCAGTTAGAGTCGTCACATATCTTCCTTTGTTCATCTGAGCCATCTGTGGTTCTAACATGAACTTTTGCAAAGCAGTTGTGAATAATTATTTTTTTTCTTTTTTTCTTTTTTTTTGAGATGAGGTCTGGCTCTGTTGCCTAGGCTGGAGTGCAGTGGCACGATCACAGCTCACTGCAGCCTTGAACTCCTGGGCTCAAGCGATCTTCCCGCCTCAACCTTCCTAGTAGCTGGGACTACAGGCACGTGCCACCATCCCCAGCTAATTACTTCCGAGGTGTCTGTGTTCCACATAGTAGTAAGATTTCTCATTACATCAAGAACATGCCATTTCTTTATATCTGTGATAGGAACACTGCTTCTCATAATGTGTCAAGCACTTCCAGCATCCACATTTTGATTATTTATTATATCTCAGTTTAATAGCTGCTTGTAGCCATGGTGCTGGCAGGCAAAAAATTTTTTTAAAGGCCACAGATGTGTTTGATTTAAACCTTCAATGACTATGTGCAGCTATTGGTAATAGAGTGTTCACGTTCTGGCAAGCCGTTTTTCTCTCTAATTATAGGAGCCATTCCCTAAACAACCTGCTAGATATCAGTGCATTTTTGTTAATTTTATATGCACACAGTTAAATTGTGTATATAAAGGAAATTTTAAATTCTTCATATAGATTATTTAAATTTCTTGTTCTTCTCAGCACTCTGGCAAAAGAAGGCTGATGACCCAACTCTCTTTATATATTTATTTTTGTCCAAAGAAATATTTTTCTGTCAGAGAATGCCTCTGGTTTGGTTGCAGATTACAGAGGTGTAGTAGATGTGCCCCATGGGTATCTCTATTCAGATTTCACTTCCTACTTTCAAGATCTTCAGCAAACAGAGTTATTGTAGATTCTTCACCTTTTAGGTGAAGTGACATGATATTGTGATAATGCCAAAAGCATTGTCACTTGCCATAAGACTTGACATCAACTCCCATCTGGAGAGCAGTTTCATTAGCCTTTTCTAAAAACTCGTGAGCATGCAGATATAGAAATACCTGCTCTGATGTGGCAAAGTTATTCAAGTGTTTTATTTACTAAGTTAGCATGTTTTGCTCCTCTCATTCTGTTACCAATTTCACCTCCCCTGGCTGCTTGTCTTTTTATCTTTTCCTAATATTTAAGAAACCTATGGAATATTCATATAGAAACTCCAAATTCTGAGACTATTTCACTTTTTGACTTCTCTTTCTTACCGAGTAACTTGTAGCTCTGGAGAAACTGGGAGCTAATTTTTCTCTTTAAAGCCACAACTAACGCATTGCATGGAGAGTAACAGAAAAGGCCTGCTTCACAGAAAACGAACATTCTAAAAAGGAAAGCCTAAGGGCAAGCCCAAGGCTTGGTGCAGAAAGTGGAAGTGTAGCAGTGAAGAAGCAACTCATTTTCTTAAGTTTCAAAGTTTCTAAAAATAGCAAAGATGATGTCAACTTCACTGGAAGGGCTAATTTGAATTATCTTAATAACCAAGGTATACTAATGACTTTGAGATAGATACTGTTGCTATCAGATATTGAGTGATTAGTTTTAAGACATAAAATGATGAAACTGAAGGACAGCACAGTTTTTTAAATTATCTTCTCTTAAAATTTTGATGGAAAATTAAGAACAATTCCAGTTCAAAGTTCTAAGCATAAAATGAGGGTATTCCCATCTGTTGGTTCTCTTCTTTGATTGATATTAATAATCCATACTCTTATTTCAATCTTAATGTCCATGTATACCCACTGTTTAGCTCTCACTTATAAGTGAGAACATGTAGTATTTGATTTTCTATTTCTATGTTAATTCCTATTAACATAGAAATTATTTCTATGTTAATTTCACTTTCTTTGCTAATTCACTTAGAATAATGGCCTATGTTTTCTATTTCTATGTTAATTCACTTAGAATAATGGCCTCCAGCTGCATCCATGTTGCTGCCAAGGACATGATTTCATTCTTTATTATGACTGCCTAATATTCCATGGTGTATATGTTCCACATTTTCTGTATCCACTCCACCGTTGATAGGCACTTAGGTTGATTCTATGACTTTACTATTGTGAATAGTGCTGCAATAAACATATGAGTGCAAGGTTTCTTTTTAATAGAGCAGTTTCTTTCCCCTGAAAAACTACCTTATTGGGTACTATGTTCACTATTTGGGCAATGGGTTCACTAGGAGCTCAAAGTCAGCATTATGCAATATACCCTTGTAACAAACCTGCACACATACCACTTGAATCTAAAATTTAAAAATTAAATAAATGTTTTTAAAAAAGAATGCATACTCTAATGGAATGGTAAACCACAAAACTGGTGTCCTCATGAAAAAGGTCTGTAACTTGGCATTAGATTTTTTTCCGCCTTGGCTTATTTCCAGTTGTTCAGGATTTTGGCTAAAAATCCTTCAGCATTTAACGAATTATCTGTTGGTGAAAGGTGCTGGATCTGTTTCTCTGCGCATATACTGATCTTTGTCATCAATCACTTTAATAATGAGAAAACAGCTGGGACAGGTTCCCATATCTTTCCCGTTCTCCAACTCTTGGCGAGAATGAAGATGCCCATATAAATTGTCCCTACATGTGCAGGGATAGAAATACATCTTTAAGTCATTGTCATGTAATAAGTGCATGATTTTCACCTTGGAACAGACCAAGCATGCACTCACCTTTGAGTTTTTGCGTCAGCTGTTTACTCTGCACTGAATGCTGAACCTGCAGATCTGTGTGCATGTCTTTCTTGTTATTCAGGCCCCTCCTCAGATGGACTTTCCATGACCACTGGCTTTTCATTAGCCACTTGCCACATGTTCACTCTGTACATATTTTCTTGTTTTATTTTCTTATGATAATTAAAATAATTATGTTTTTATTGTTTACTAGCTTATTTTTCATTTACCATCATTAGGATATACATTTCATATGGGCAGGAACGTTATTAGTCTTGTTCACCACTCTTATCTCCTCAGGGTAGCACAGAGCTTGTGCTCAATTACAGTTTGTTGACAGAATGCATACTAATGACAAGGGCTAACACTCCTCAGTACCAAACAGTATTCTAAGATAGATATATATTACTGCATTTAATCATCGCAGTAATGGTGTGAAGTAATTATTATTATCAGCAACCCCCTTTTCCAGATAAGGAAAACCGAGGCTTCTAGCCTCACAGACAGCGAGGGGGCTGAGATTTGCCTCCCACGCTCTTGGCTTCCTGACTCCGCCCCTCTCGAGCAATTTTCAGAAGCTGTTTAAGAGGGAACACAGAGGAATGAGCAATCAGTGTTGGTTGACCAAAGCGAACAGTTCCAGTTGGGCACATAAAGTGTTTGCTTCTGCGCTCCTCCTTCATCTCGGTTCCTGCCTCCTCCCAAGATGGGGACAGGGAGCATGGAGCACGCATTCCACAGCAAAAAGGTTGGAAGACAGTGAGTAAATACTAGCAAGGGGCGGAATGTTTCAGAGTGTACCTCCCAGGGCCCTCATCAGAAATGCCCCAGCAGCTGCAGAGCTTGAAGCGAGCCGGGGACAGGGACCGGCGGCAGCTGCTCTGGGAAGGCGTCCTCCCCGTTGTTCTCTTCACTCCAGCGGGGAGTGGACTCGAGGACCGCTACCTTTAGATGCTGAACGTGACTTCTGAATGCGAGGTCGTGGCCCGGGACTCCGGAGAGCGGCGGCAAAGCGACGGATCGTGTGACCTTTTTCGAGATGCAAGGAGACCAGATTGGCTTTGGTTTTCTTTTTTCTCCTCCCACCCAGCTCGAGATTCACACGGAGCACTTCTCTGAAAGAAAGGAGACTGTGGTTAAAATAATGGGGGAAAACCACCGATGGAGTGCACCCCCATAGTCTAAAACAGTAAGGCCCAAAGGCGTTGCTCTAAATCACCCCCGAGTTTGGGGCCACGGAGGTAGGACTGCAAGTCCAGCCAGAACGCAGCTGCCTGCTGGACCCTTACTCTCTCCAACACATTCCCAACGATTTTTTTCCTGATACTACTGCCCTCAATTTTATTTCAAATCTGTGCTTGCGGTGGTTCCCTGTAAGGAAAAAAACAAAAACTTCAGGTAGCTCGAATGCGAAGGTAATGGTTTTCATGTTATGTTTGAGTGTTTGAAAGCCATGAGTCCATATGTGACACGAATGAAATCAGGGAATGTGTGTGTGTTTTTCAAATTGTTCATCTTCCTACATTGAACATTACTACATCTTCTTGACACAGCTGTGCAGATCATTAACTTTGTTGAGAGATGGAAATACTTTTCGTAAGAAGACAGTAAATTTCTAAGTATAATGGAAAGTCACACAAATTTAAGAGACGTGAAGAATATTTATGCATGATACAATGATAGTTGATATGAAATATATTTTATTAACAAAGTAGGCAGAGGAAGGAAGGGAAACACATGAGCATTATTTGTTGAGTTTCTGCTATGTCCAAGGCACTAATACAACAGTACACAAAACAAAGTTCCTGTCCTCTTGGAGACTGCATTTGTTGAGTTCCCCTTATATGTCAGGCAAGATTTCTTACATTCTGTTTTTTGAAAAATATACATGGTTTCAATGAATATTCCAACAATCCTGGGTAGTATCATCTTGAAGTCCATTTCTTGAAATTCCAGCAACAAGTAGAATTTTAAAAACAATCCATAGACATGTCCATGGTGTAGATATATCTAAGGATATAGTGAACAATGGTGAGAAAACTTAGGTTTAAAGAGGTTAAGTACCTTAATAGCAAAGCTGAAAATCAAATGCAACTCTGTTTTGTCTCCAAAGTACCCTTTATATTAATACAATGCAGCTTCCTCTGTGGCCAAGCGCAAGCTGACTTCACAGCAAGCTGACTTCACAGCAAGCTGACTTCACAGCAAGCTGACTTCACAGCAAGCTGACTTCACAGCAAGCTGACTTCACAGCAAGCTGACTTCACAGCCGAACTGCATCTTCAAGGATGAGTGGGGGCAGAGATGTAATAGGGAAAACGTCACTACTTACGTAGTAAATCCCACAAAAGGGACTTCTCTTTTTTTCAGTCATTAAGGCAACATAATTCAGTTGTCCCAGATTTATTGAGAGAGTTATTCACACAGCTTTACTCCGACAAATTAGAAAGGCCAACATTCTAGGTAAATATGTTTAGAAGCTATCACCATGACTTTAATTTTTACTACTTGGAGTTTAAACAGAGCATTCAATTCAACAAACTTTTACCCAGGCATCATGTGCCAGGAAGTGTGCTAAGTAGTAGAGATACATGCTCTCAAGGAACTCCAATAATATTCATAATGGATTCATTAAATACATGGTAAAGTGGAAAAACACACAAGTGTAAGAGTACTTGTGTCCTGGGTTTTGTAACAACTCTGCCACTATCATATGACTTCATTTCTCTGACTCTCATCTGTAAAATTATGAGGTTGAATTAGCTGGTCTAAGAATTCTTTCAGTTTTAAATTTTTTATGATCTGGATGTATTGGAGTCTGACAAAAGGTTTGCTTTAAGTGACTGCTTTTCCCTTTCAAATTTTGCTGCATTCTATTTTTTGGTGCTTGATACTGAGGAGTAACACTGTTGATTCTCACTTTTTTTTTGGTTGGGAAGGATAGGCAGTTGATACAAGTAGAAATTGTATCACAATTTGTATTGCCCAAAGAGGACCATACCCTAGGAAACTCTCTGTTATGTGATCATGAAGTGAGTGTAAATGTTCATTCACCAAGGGCTTGGTGATTTCTTCCTAGAACCATTGGCCTAAAACATTGATTCCTAAACACGGTTGTATCGATAAGCTACTTCAGAATCACCTATGGTTAGCTGATATTCCTGGCCTACAAAGTCACATTTTTGAGGGTGCAACATGAGGATCTGTATTTGTAGCAAGAGACCCAGATGATTCTGATAAGCAACATGGTTTAGAAAATGCTGAAAAAGCAGAGACTATGACAACCTATTTATTTAATCCTCAAATCTCAAAATGGGATTTGATTTAATTCTAAACTGGAGTCAGATTTTTCAGTTTGCAGTCATGCTTCCAGAATTAACAACATGAACTGTCAGAATATTCTTTAGTAAATATAACCTTAATCTCTCATATTGTAGTTTCAAGTCTGTTATTTGTCCCTAGCAACTGGTACCCTGTAATTTTGGGCTTAATGACTCTAGAATTACATGACTACCAAGGTCTAATTTCAGTTGACAGTTTGTGATACAAATGCAAATGAAAGCTGTCACCAGACAGGGACTATAAACCTCATTGTTTTCAAACACTATTCAAAGCCTACTTTCATTTAATAAGTCATGATAGTTTATTTATACAAGTCATGCATGACCAGTAATAGAAAAATCAAAAAATGTTCACAGGAAATAAGAAAAAAATCAGAAAATGTCACAGGAAATAAGAAAAATATAAAAATCAACTTTCATCCTGCAATTTGGGGCCTCTATCTCACAAGACTTTATATATACATGTGTAGACATGTGCATGTGTGTATGTGTATATACAATTATTTTTAATTTTTTTCTGAGTGCTTATAAGTTATGATGTATAGTAAAGAAAAGTCCCTTATACCATAGAAATTTTCACCAGTAAATTAACCACTTATAAAATTAGTCCTCCTCAAAAACCCCTTTCTGCTAAACAATAGCACGTATTATTGTCCATCATATCACTGGTCCTCTGTTGACTATTGAATGTTAACAATAAAAAAAAGAAATTAATTGCAATGTAGAATTATAAATCTTGGAAAATACACAGGATTTCATAAAGTTGAAAGTGGTATTGGATAACTATTTCAATATGTCAAAGCCAATGAAAAACGATTTAAATCAGTTAAGTTGAAGTGAAAAAAATCCACTTGGATGATGAGTGATGGGTATTTTGAATATCCAATTAATGAGAGACCTTTGGAGGAAACAGTGAATTGTTCAAACGTTTTGGTAAAAATAACCCTATTTATGAGGTAAAGGATACTGTATCATTCAACACTTTTATCAGAGAACTACCCCAAATCCCTCAAATAGTTCTTATTTCATTCTTTGTCCATTCTAAAAATTATTGCATAGCTGCAATTAAAATTAAATTTTAAATTAATTATATTTTAATATAATTATATTAATTATATTTTAAATTAAAATTTAAATTATTTTAAATTTAAATATTTTAAATTAAAATAAGATTAAATAAGCTTAATTTAATAATTTTTGGTTTTAGTTTTCTAAAGTCCCAAATAAAACTTCTTTTCTATCATTTCTGATGAAATTTTGTTCCCCTATTAAGTTGATTCCCTTCTGGTGGCATTTTCAGTGCCAGCTGTCCTTGGATAATGGGAACTTTCTGTGTATGTGTGTGTGTGACATTTTTTAAAACAAACATTTATTAATTAGATGCCAGAAATCATAAATGTCAGAGTTACAGATATAAATTTGGATGTTATGAGCACATAGTTGGCATATAAACCCATGGACAGGAATGAGATCATCCAAGGTAGAAATGTATACGAGAGGGTCCAGCATCTAGCCCACAGGAATTTCGATATTCAGAGGTCTTATCGAGGAATAACAACCATAACAGGACAAGTCAATAAAGTGTGTAGAGAGGTAGGAGAAAAAACAGGTGAAAGTGGCCTCACAGAAGCTGAAATAGGAGAGTGTTTCAAGAGGAGCTTGGTCAGATATACATATGCTGCTTAAAAGGTTGAAGTAACAGTAAGATGGAAAATGTTAACTTGACTGGGACCATGAATCATATTATTGTTGATATTTTCAAGTGTCATTTTATTGGAATTGTGGGGATAAAAGTGTATACCAAAAATAAAATTCTAAGGCCCCCTCAACCATCTAAATGGACTTCCTCCTCGGCCAGGGCTCTTAAAATTTAACCTGAAAGACTGGTTCAGGCCATGAAGGGAAGTGGGGGTTGGACACGCCTCATTATACCTCTCTGGCATGAACATCAACACAGACTTTAAGTCTGATAAGAAACATTTTACAGCCTGTTCTTTCTGAAGCCTGCTAGCTAAAAGCTTCATCATTTGCATGATAAAACTTTTTGGTTTCTGCGACTTCTCATCACAACCCAAGCATTCCTTTCTATTGATCCCAAGTCTTTAGACAAACTCAATCAATTGTCAACCAGCAAATGTTTAAATTTACCTGTGGCCTGGATCCCCCACCCGCTTCTTTGTGTTGTCCCGCGTTTCTGGACCAAACCAATGTATTTCTTAAATGTACTTGATTAATGTTTCATGCCTCCCTAAAATGTATAAAACCAAGCTGCATCCTTGGGCACATGTCCTTAGGACTTCCCGAGGCTGTGTCACGGGCATGCATCCTCAACCTGGGCGAGAGACCTGTCTGACATTTTCTGGGTTCACAAAAGCCACATCAAAGAGGTGATGAAGTAGAGATAGCTTGTGTAGAAAACTCTTTTGAGAAGTTTTTCCCTGAAGGGAGGAAGAAATTTGGTAGCTAGATGGAGATGTAAGGTCCAGGAAAGGATTTTATTTAAGCTAGGATATCCCAGAACAAATTTGCATGTAAGAAGGATCTAAAAGAGATGGGAAAATTGGTGATGCGAGCAAGGGAGGGCAGCAGGGGGAAGACTAAAGGAGAAAAGAAGGTAAGAGGGGATGGTGAGAAGGCATTGAGCTTTAAGCAAAGGATAGCTCCTTCATTTTAAGAATATGACAAAAGGAAAGCAAGTTCATTGGCTCAGAATAAGTTGGGAGAGGTGGTATTGGTGGTTTGAGGAAAGAGAAATACTTATGGACTAATCAGCTCAAAGAGTGGGAAGAGTAAACTTGGGGAAAAGTGGTAAGATTGTCAGATAATATGTTGATTTGAGGTTTGTGAACATGAATTTATTATAAAACATGGTGGGGTTATTTTTTCCTGTGATATTCAGCAAAAGTAGGGCAGGCACAGAGAAGGCAAACATAGGATGATACCATTCATAATATTTTGTAATATATTTCTCTCACTCAGTAATGTATTATGAACCTCTTTCCATGTTGAGTATAGTTTTACAGATCACCTTAAGTACTACATAGTATTCTATTATGTAAGTGTGTTACAGTACTTATCACCTACTGTTGAACAATTACATTTCTGGCTTACCTATGTTGTATACAATGTGATAAAATACCTTGTAATCAAAGCTTTATCTACAAACTTAAATGTTTCCTTAGGATAAATGTCATAGGCCGAAAGAATGAGGGTCGTGATCAACTCAGTATACCACTGGAGGCTATATGAGTGGGCAGCAAACTGTTCTCATCAATGCAGAATGTTGGTAAACTGACAAACTGCATCTGCTGCCCAGAAGGAATGCTGAGGGTAGTCACGACCCAAGCACAGTGTTTCTTGCGATTAGGTACATCTGAAGCCGGTTGGTAATAATATGAACCTGTTATCAATTAAGCAGCCAACCAATCATTACCTCCTCCTCCCTGCTCTTGCTACCCAATAAATATGAAGGGCTGTGGAAGCTCAGGGGCTGCCTATGCTCACTAGAAGCAGGGAGCTCTCTTCTTCTTCCCCTGGACCCTTCCTTTAAAACAGTTTCTTTTGTCTTAAGTTTTCATTTCTATGTTCGTCCCTTCATTCAGTCTTGTAATGATGGTCTCAAGTAGTGACAGTAGTAACTGTCATAGTGACGGTCTCAAGTAGTAACAGTGGCAGTTGGCCACAGATAAGTCTCTGTAATTGGAATCTCCGAGTCAAAGGATATATAAATTTTAAAAACTATTGTTGTATATTGCCAGATTTTTTTCAGAAAAGATTATACCAGTTGATTTACTCCTTCCCTGTGTTAAATACAGTGAGTTCTAAGTTTCTCTTCAAAGAATCAGTATGTCAGTATGTTCAGGTCCTTGTTCTCCATTTTAAAGTTTAACTTTCTCATTCTCTTCATCTCCTTGCCCCTAGTTTCAGTAAACAACCTTTCTGCCAGTTCTAATCAGTAGTTCACATCTGTTCCCCTGGTCACCTGCTCCATCCTGAATCACCCCTGGTCACCTGCTCTGACCTGAGTCTCCCTTAGTCACCTGTTCCATAACCACCTTTCCCACCAAAACTGCTCACCCCGCCTCTCTGGCTTGTACACCTGGTCTCTTTAAAATGGCCAATTGGAATTAGTTTAGACTGTGTGGTCCAACCCTAGCCAATAGGGGAACGACACAGCAGTAGGAGCAACCTGTGTCAGGGATAAGAATCCCTTCCCCTCCCTTGTTCAGGTGTGTTCTCGCCATTGCTCCATCTGTGAGACACACCCTTCTATAGAAGTAAAATTGCCTTGCTGAGAAAATTTATGTTTGAGTGCTATTTCTTTTGTGGCACCGAAAATTTATTTCCAACACCTGGACATCAAGTGATGAAAATAACTTTTTCATACTCTAGTCAGTGCTGCTATTTTCATTCTATCTTATCTGTGGATGTTTCATAGGCAATAAATTATAACTAACTCATTTTCACTTGCATTTATTAATTACGAATGAACTTAAACCTTTGTAAAAGTGTTTTTGTTTTAAAATTATTTTTATTGCTGTTTGTTTTTAATTATTTTGTGAATGACTTGTTCTGCTTTGTTTTGTTTTTCTATTGGTATTATATTGGTCACTAATTTTTTACTGAGATATATTTGACATCTCTTAAATTGCTATCCATTTTCTTACTGTTTTTATTCTACAAATAAATATTATAAATATTTATAAGACATAGTTTATCAACTTAACAAAATGATTTGAGATGCCCTATAGTATTAAAACATAAGGTAGGATAGATTAAAAATAGATTGGAAAGGAAATTAGAAATTAAGAAGAGAAACTATTTGAGGAATCCAGGATAAAATATTTATTTTTTATGAGTGCTAAATTTATCTCTGTGCTTCATAGCAGCCAATAGAAAAGAGAAGTACATATTTTTGTTTTTTTTGGTTTTAATTATCATTATCTGACAGAATGTGTTTATCTTGAGAGGCAAAATTTTCCCCAACAGTGGAATCTGGGAGTTTATTTCATGGTCTCTTGTACAGAAAACAGTAACAATGGATGCATAATAAGTACTCACAATATTAACTATTATATTATCTAAATGACAGTTTGCAAGAATACTTTTTGAAAATGAAGTATGCAAGTTCATACTTGACAGCTAGGTCGGTACTTCAAAGGCCTGTTTTGCTTTCAGGTTCTGGGTGGTGTTTCAAGTAGTTGAGGTTGCCTGAAACCTGGCCTCCATATTACTGGGATATTTCTATTCTTGAATTTTTCTAGGTATGTACTTTGTGGATAGAAGTAGTTCTATATTTGGATAAAGTATTTAAGATAAATAAACTATTAAAAGGTGATTTCTGTTATCTTCCCTAAGAAAAAGAAATGAATTTCATGCAATTCTTAGCATGTTATATGAAATTCATTTCCAAGTTGGCTGATGAAAAATAATCTTCCCATTTCATACTGTCAGACCAAAGCTTTTAAGTAGGAAAATGTACTTTAGAGTCAAGACAGTATAAGTATGTGATGGCCAGATATTCACAATAAAAATTTTTAATAATATTGGATATTCAGGAAGAACTACGAATCTAACCCATCTTTTGGTCTTCAGTTTACTATGATTTTTGAGGAAACAGAGAATACTTATACTTCCTGGTACCTTCCTAGCTAAGAATGTGTTTATTTTTTTCTACACGTGTAGTTTCTGCCAGCTATTGTCTTTCTAACCTTTTAGGAACAGTAAGATGCTGACATCGGAGTTTGAGCTCACAGTGAGCTGTTTTGTGCCACTGCACTACAACTTGGGCAACAGAGCACGACTCTGTCTCTTGATAAAAAAGACACCAAATGCAGTAGTGCTGTTTGTGAACATAGATTTGAGTGACACAAGAGTAACAGATAATCACTTGTTTCTAGAGTTAGAAGCCAAAATGCCTGTTTTTCCTACCAAGTGCTAAACCCTGAAGTATTCTCATCTGTGATGTAAACTTTGGTCACATTGTGTCCAAAATTGGTGGGTTCTTGGTCTCACTGACTTCAAGAATGAAGCTGCAGACCCTCCTGGTGTTACAGTTCTTAAAGATGGTGTGTCCGGAGTTTCTTCCTTCTGGTGGGTTCGTGGTCTCGCTAGCTTCAGGATTGAAACTGCAGACCTTCACGGTGAGTGTTACAGCTCTTAAAGGTGGCACGTCTGGAGTTGTTCATTCCTTCCAGTGGTTTCCTGGTCTGCAGCTTCACTCCAGTTCATAAAGGTGGTGGGCATCCGGAGTTGTTCATTTCTCTGGTCCGGAGTTGCTTGTCCCTCCCAGTGGGTTTGTGGTCTCGCTGGCCTCAGGAGTGAGGCTGCAGACCTTCGCTGTGAGTGTTACAGCTCATAAAGGCCGCACAGACCCAAAGAGCTAGGAGCAGCAAGATTTACTGTGATGAGCATGAAAGCGGTCCCGAACAGGTTGCCCCTGCTGGCTGGGGCAGTCTGCTTTTATTCCCTTATCTGGCCCCACCCACATCCTACTGATTGGTCCATTTTACAGAGAGCTGATTGGTCCTTTTTGACAGAGTGCTGATTGGTGTGTTTACAAACCTTTAGCTAGACACAGAGTGCTGATTGGTGCATTTACAAACCTTTAGCTAGACACAGAGTGCTGATTGGTGCCTTTACAATCCTTTAGCTAGACAGAAAAGTTCTCAAGTCCCCACCAGTCCCAGAAGCCCAGCTGACTTCACCTCTCACTGGCAGTCACTGTGCTGCGGGAGTTTCTGGCACCCAGCAGGGACACTCCGGCAGCCCAGAGGGAGCTCATCCCGGATCAAGCCCAGCAGGCACTGGCTGGTGGCGCCAAGTGCGGGGCCCACGGAGCCCGTGCCCACCCAGAACCCATGCCAGCTCACGAGCTCCACACCCTGCCCTGGCTCCCTGCGGTGCCTCTCCCTCCACACCTCCCCGTGAGCAGAGGGAGCCGGCTCCGGCCTCGGCCAGCCCCAGAGAGGGGCCCTCACAGTTCAGTGGCGGGCTGAAGGGCTCCTCAAGCCTGGCCAGAGCGGACACCTAGGCCGAGGAGGCACCAAGAGTGAGCAAGGGCCGCTAGCACGTTGTCACCTCTCAATATTTCTGTGTGTGTAGCACTAATGTTTATTTTCATTTTATATCTTATCAGTTTAAGGGGTATTTTTCCATCATTCTCCCCACACTCATGGTTAATAACACCATTCTTATAGTAACTTAAGTAAAAAACTAAGAATTATTCCCAACCCAGTCTTTTATCTTATCCCTCATATCCAATCAGTCTCTAAGTTCTGTAAAGGCTGCCAAATTTATTAACTTATCATTTTCATTATGAGTACTTGAGTTCAGCTCTTGATATCTCTTCTGGACTATTTCAGTAACCTCCAACTGATCTCCCTGCCATTATCACTTTCTTCTACAACTCGTTCTGCAATACCACAGATAGACACCAAGGGGAGTAATAGAATGTGGACTCCTGAGAAGAAAACAGGAGCAAACCTTTTTCACTGGGAAATTACATGCACAAGCTCACAGAAGAGGTTAAGAGGTCCACAGATTCTCTAGCCAAGCTGACTGGTGAAGGTCTTTCCCTTTATGAAGCCATTCATTAAGACTGGGAGAGATGGCTATCTTTTTAAATACCCAAATCCCAATAAAAGATCACAAGGCACACAGAAAAACAAAACAGGGAAACATGGCTGAATTCAGCAAAATAAAGTTCCAGAAACTAACTCTAGAGACATGATCTAGGAATTATCTGACAGTTAGTCAAAATAACCATCTTATAGATGTTCAGTGAGCTAACAGAGAACACAGATAGGTAAGCAAACGAAATCAGGAAAACGATTCCTGAACCAAATGATAAAATGAACAAAGGGATAGAAACTACGAAAAAGAACCAAATGGAATGAACCTAAGTGTTCATCAACAGATGAATGGATAAAGGACATGTGGTACATATACACAATAGAATATTATTGAGCCATAAATAATGAAATCCTGTCCTTTGCAACAACACGGATGGAACTGGAGGATATTATATTAAGTGAAATAAGCCAGGCACAGAAAAGTTTTCACAAGTTCTCATTCAAGTGTGGTAGCTAAAAAGTAAAACAATTAAACTCATGGAGATAGAGAGTAGAATAATGGTTACCAGAGGCTGAAAAGGGTAGTGGGGAGTGGGGATGGCTAATAGGTGCTAAAATATAGTTAGATGGAATGAATAAGATACAGCATTTTATAGCACAACAGGGTAACTGTAGTCAACAATAATATATATTTTAAAACAACTAAAAGAGTAGAATTGGAATGCTCCTAACACAAATAAATGATAAATGCTTGAGATGATGGCTACCCCAGTTACCCTGATGTGTATATTACTCATTGTATGCGTATGTTAGAACATCACATATACTTCATGAACATATACACCTATTATGTACCCGTAATTACTAAAAATAAAAAGAAATCTGAAGAGCAAACTATATACACACACACACACACACACAGAGTTTAGAATACTGAAATGAATTTTTTAACAGATGAAAAACTGTTCAGAATCATGTTTTCTATATAGTATGCAAATCACTTGTGTCTCTACTGGACAGTGCTCATTTGTGTTTCTATGGACAAAAATCATTTATACTGCCATTAGTTTTCTACAACTTTTAGAGTTGTAAAATAGCCATGTCAAAGACAAAGATGCACAACTCTACAAAATCGGATCACCCGGAATTCCATTGCCAGTATTCCACTAAATGGACACCCAGTCGTTTTTGCCTATTTAACAATCTTTCATACATTCTCATGACAGTTTTTGACATATCATGTAGATAAAAATAAACAAGGAGATAAAAATTAGTAAATGTGGTTAAATATTCACATTTATACAAGAAAAGAAGTTTTCTTTTTCAGCACTATGGAAATTTTGTCTGGTACTATGTCACAAAATCTCACCTGAGTCTCAAAACAGAGATCATATAAGCTAAATGCAATGGTCACAATTGTATTTAAAAACTGGAAATTATTTAGTGTTTGTATAAAATCACAATTACTGGGACATTTTAAAAAATCCTGCAAATAAATCCTGGATCAAATAAGAAATACAAATTACAACTACAGACTATTTAAAAATATGGTCAAAGAGAGTATTACTTTTCAAAATTTATGGGTTGTAGTAAAAACTGTTGTTGAGGAACTTATAAATCCTTAAGTACCTTGGTTACTAAACAAGACTGAAAATAAATGTACTATATATTGAATTCAATAAGTTAGAACAAAACAGCAGCAGTAAAAACAAAGTAAGCAGGAAAATGTAATTAATAAAAACTGCATGTAATTACTTAGAAAACAGAAAAATTGATAAATTGTAACCTCTTGTGTTGGAAAAAACAAATATATAAATATTGGGTGTATTAGAAGCAAATAGACCTCAAAATGTTAAATGGTTCAAGGACAACAAAGTTTCTCAATTATGTAACAGTATAAGGCAGATATGCTTAGTAGACAAGTGATGATTTGTCTCTACATGATCGTTCAGGGATCCAAGCTGATAGCGACTCTTCCATCTTCAATATATGGCATCTAAAGTTACATTGATTATCTCCATCACAGTCCTCTGAAAGAAGAAATAAGCATAGAGAAGTGTGAATGAAACATTCATATGTGCCAGACCTGGAAGTGGCACACACCACTTATTAACATTTCATTGGCCAAAACTCAGTCATATGGCCACTCCAAACTGGCCACTTCAGCATGGAAGGCTGAAAAATGTAGTCTGTTTAATGAGCCCAGAAAGGTCAATATAATACAGATTATGGTGTATAGCTGTCAGTCTGTCATGTCTAGCAAGGTTGATCAAGAAAAATGAGAGGTAAGAATTACCCAAAGTCAAAATAAGGAAGTAGGTATAACCACTGAGAACTCAACAAAGTGAAAATTTTAGTAAAGAATATCACTAATGAGTCTATAAAAATAATTCTAAACTACTGATGAAAAAGAGATTATCTAAAAAAGCAGTACCAAAATTGATTCTGGGAGAAATAAAAAGCTAAGTAGATCAAGAAACATGAAAGAAATTGAATTTATGAAAAATAAGGTTTTTCCATTGAGTACGTGTGGACACAAAGGGGGGAGCAATAGACACAGGAGCTTACTTGAGGGTAGAGGGTGGGAGGAAGGTGAAGATTGATAAACTACCTATCAGGTACTATGCTCACTGCCTGGGTAACAAAATCATTTGCACACCGAACCTCAGTGACATGCAATTTACCCATGTAACAAACCTGCACATGTACCCACTAAACCTAAAATAAAAGTTGGAAGAATGAAAAAGAAAAATAAGGTTTTTCAGGCACATTATTACAGACCTTCATGGAATAGACATTTTCATGGTTCCAAAACATTTAAACTGATGGACAGCATCATATTCTTTCTATGAAGTGGATGCCAAAATGTAAAAAACTCCCAAATATTATAAAGTCACAGAATATCAGTTAGAACAGGCTGAAACCCTTTTAAAATGTTAGCAAACTAAAGAAGACATCATAACGAAGTAAAACTTATGCCAGGAATAAAATAGTGAAATAAATAATAAATAATAAAATAAAATTAATACAAAGAAATCTAAAATATAAATTATTATCTCAAATAGGTTTTAAAATATTTCCTCCATAATGGAAAGGATTATCCAAAAGTTATTTGATAAAATATATCAATTATAACTATCTTTTTAAACCACAGGAAACTATGGTAAAATAATATTTCCTTAACGTCATACAGACTATCTGTAACCAATACTCATTCTTAGAAACGAGACACAGATGACCATTACCAACATGACATGGCTCCAAAAGTCTTTTTCAATATAATAAGAGAAAAAATAAAACCTACCAAATACTGACAAGAAGAAATACAACTCATAAGAAGATTCAGTATGGTATTATAAAGGTAATTTAAAATCTATAGCTTTCTATTCCAATAAACAAAAAATAACGATTTAGAAGATATGCTGAAAAAGTAACCCCTACAGAAACAAAACAATACAATAAAAATAATCTGTGCAATACTAGGATATGTACAATACTTTAAAACCTTACTGAGGGACTTAAAAGAATACTTTCATAATTGGACAAACCTACTATGTACCTAGAAGGGGAAATGTCATAAGATTTCAATGTCATGAGGTGTTTATTTCTTCTGAATTTAGTTTTTTTGATAAGAAGTCTCACTCTTGTCGCCCAGGCTGGAGTGCAACAGCATGATCTTGGCTCACGGCAACCTCCGCCTCCCAGGTTCAAACGATTCTTCTGCCTCAGCCTCCCAAGTAGCTGAGATTACAGGTGGCTGCCACCATGCCTGGCTAATTTTTGTAGTTTTATTAGAGATGGGGTTTCACCATTTGGACCAGGCCGGTCTCGAACTCCTGATCTCAGGTGATCTGTCCGCCTCGGCCTCCTAAACTGCTGGGATTACAGGCGTGAGTCACCACGCCCGGTCCCCAATTTAGTTTTTAGGTTTAATGCAATTTCTATAGGTATCCCAATAGGATTACTTGTGGGGAGGGACCTGTTAAAATGATCCCTAAATTCATATGGAAAAGTTATGCACAAGAATAGCCAATAGCATTCTTTTTTTTTTTTTTTTTTTTTTTTGAGACGGAGTCTCGCTCTGTCGCCCAGTCTGGAGTGCAGTGGCGCGACCTCGGCTCACTGCAAGTCCGCCTCCCGGGTTCACACCATTCTCCTGCCTCAGCCTCCCGAGTAGCTGGGACTACAGGCGCCCGCCACCACGCCCGGCTAATTTTTGTATTTTTAGTAGAGACGGGGTTTCACCGTGTTAGCCAGGATGGTCTCGATCTCCTGACCTCGTGATCCGCCCGTCTCGGCCTCCCAAAGTGCTGGGATTACAGGCGTGAGCCACCGCGCCCGGCCGCCAATAGCATTCTTAAAAAAATACCAGGGAGTGATTTTCACTTTTAGATATTAAAACATTATAAAGTTACAATAATTAAAATATTTGTTAGCAGTAAAATAATAGAAACAAAAAACAGAATGGAAAAAATAAGTGCAACTATGCATAAATATTTGCTATATAAAAAAGTGTATCATTTCAAATTAGTTGGAAAAGAATGAGTTGTTTTATCAATTACAGTAAAAAACTAAATTTGATCATTACTTCATAAGCATACATCAAAATACACTACAGGTGGAAAAAATAGTTAAACATAAAAAAAGAAAGTAAAAGAGGTCGGCCACGGTGGCTCACACCTGTAATCCCAGCACTTTGGGAGGCCGAGGCGGGTGGGTCCCCTGAGGTCAGGAGTTCAAGACCAGCCTGGCCAACATGGTGAATCCCCATCTCTACTAAAAATACAAAAAATTAGCCAGGTGTGGTGGCACATGCCCATAATCCCACCTACTTGGGAGGCTGAGGCAGGGGAATCGCTTGAACCCGGGAGGTGGAGGTTGCAGTGACCTGAGATCGCGCCATTGCACTCCAGTCTGGGCAACAAGAGAGAAGCTCTGTCTCAAAAAAATAAATAAAATAAATAAATAAATAAATAAATAAATAAATAAACAAAAGAAATGGAGAAAAATATAGGAGACCCTTTATGTAGGCCCTTTTCCCTAAGCAACAAAGAAAAGGCAGAAATAGTAAGAACAATTACATATCTGATTATATAAAATTTAAAATTTCTTTAAAATACTATAATTAAAATAAAGAACTAACAATATCTTAAATAAGTTTGCAATATATATGCCAGACAAAAGGTATGGTCCTAAATATATATAAAGTGTTCTTACAAATGAATTAGATGAATACCCCAATTTTAAAAAAAGTTAAAGTCAAGAATGGGAGCAAGAAATGCAGCCGAAGAGTACATCTATTGTTTTGTTTGACCAGCACCACCTTTCTTCTGGATTTTTACATAGTCACACATCCCTAACAATTTATTCGTCCAGTTTCTACTTTCTACTTCTATGAGATCAACTTACTTCACTTCCACATGTGATTGAGAATATGTGGTATTTATCTTTCTGTGCCTGGCTTATTTCACTTAACACAATTGAACAGAAATTTATTGCTCTTAATTCTGAACGCTGGGAAGTCCAAGATTAAGGGGACAGCATCTGATGGGGACTTCTTGCTGTGTCATCCCATGGCAGAAGGTAGAAGGGCAAGGGAGAGAGAAGCTTAACTCACCATTTGTAACTAACCATCTCCTGTGATAACAGCATTGATTTATTCATGAGGGCAAAGCCCTCATGGCCTAATCACTTCTTAATGGTCTCACCTCTTCATACTGTTACAATGGCAATTAAATTTCAGTGTAAGTTGGCTGGGCGCAGTGGCTCATGCCTGTAATCCCAGCACTTTGGGAAGCCAAGGTGGGTGGATCACTGGAGATCAGGAGTTTGAGACCAGCCTGGCCAACATGGTGAACCCCATCTCTACTAAAAATACAAAAATTAGCCAGGCGTAGAGGCACACGCCTGTAATCCCAGCTACTGGGGAGGCTGAGACAGGAGAATCACTTGAATCCAGGATGTGGAGGTTGCACTGAGCCTAGATCATGCAACTTACTCTTTAATGCTTCAGAAACTAACTAAAAATACATACATAAAAATAAATACCATGTCATAAATAATATGTAATTAATGATATTTATTTCATAATATTTTTATATGCGTGGACAGAAACAGAGAGAGGAGAGAGAATGAGCATGGAAGGGACAGATAGACATAAAGTAATGTGGTAAAATTTTAACATTTGGAGGATATGGGTGAAGGGTATATATGAATTCTTTGTAATGTTCTTGTGACATTTATGTGTATCTGAAACTGTCAAAATAAAAAGCTACAAGTGAAAACTTTTTTTCACTCATAGAAGTTTAAATATGCTGGATAATTTAAAAAATAATCTCTTGTTTCTTGCTTTTTTTTTTCTTTCTTTGAGACGGAGTTTTGCTCTTGTTGCCTAGGCTGGAGTGCAATGGCGCAATCTTGGCTCACTGTAACCTCCACCTCCCAGGTTCAAGCTATTCTCCTGCCTCAGCCTCCCGAGTAGCTGGGATTACAGGCACCCACCACCACGCCTGGAAAATTTTTGTGTTTTTAGTAGAGACGGGTTTCACCATGTTGGCCAGGCTGCTCTCGAACTCCTGACCTTGTGATTCACCCACCTCAGCCTCCCAAAGTGCTGGGATTACAGGCGTGAGGCAACGCGCCCGGCCCTTTCTTGTATTTTTAAATACCTTTTGTTTCTTGAAAAACATTAAACATAGTCTAAAAATATTTGGTGTCTGATAATTCCAATATCTGAAGCCCCTTGGAGGTCTGATTCTGCTATATATTTTCAACTTTTTTTTCCCCCTGACTCAGAATCATGGTGCCTTATTTCCTTCAGCATTTTGTGAGTTTTGACTTTCAGCTCATGTTCCTTGGAACTTTGTACTTCTCCAGAAAGGATTTGCATTTGCTTCTGCTGGTCACCTGGGGGCACTACCAACCTGGGACAGCTTTAAATTTTTGGTTGAGACTTGTGGTTTGAGGGACCTCACACGTTGTGTGTATTTTGGACCACAAACCTGCAGTGAGGGCCACTTTTTGGTTAGAAATTCTTAGGGGAGACTTTTTTTCCCCACTTCTCCAGTTCCAGAGTCAAAATTAAGCATGTTTCTTTGCTATTCATTTCTGTTCCCTTTTATACTGATAGTGAAGACTTTTGAAGTTCCAGCTAAATGTAGCTGTCCTAATAGACTTGTCCTTTTGGATAGGCTATAGGATTTATAGCCTGTCTCCTGTGCCCTGTGCATTCGTCAAAACAGAAGCTCAAGGTCACTCAGGTTTGGCAGATATTTTCTGGGTAAACGTCAACTTTAGTGCTAACTTACCTTTCAAGGTCCCCACATTTAGTTTATATTTCTGTCTTTATGGATTTCTTACTTTCTCTCCAGCTTGGTGATTCATTAAAAATAAGTCTTTATATCTTAAAACACCTTTTCTTAATATCTTTGTAAAGTTATTATCATTGGGAAGGTCATTTTCTAAACATTTATTATTTTCAACCATTTTTAAATTATTTATTTCTTATTTTATTGAATTATGGTCAGAAAATATTGCTTTGAAATCTATACTTTAAAACAGTTTTGAAAGTTTACTTCATGGCTTAAAGACATGACTGATTTTTATGGTTTTCTGTGGGCATGAAGATTGCCTATCCTGTGTTTGAGAGATGTAATTTTCTATATACATCTTTTAAATCAGTTTCTTGAATGTATTAAATTCCAATTTTCTGACTTGTTTTATCCGTCCAATCCTTAAGGAGGTATATTGAAATCTACTGCTCTAATTGTGTTAGCAACATGTCCTTGCATGTATAACTACTTTTGTTTTAAATCTTTAGCTGCTATGTGTATTCATTGATCATTTTCTTAGTTTTAAAAAATCACTACATAGTGTTTTCCTTTATTCCTATTAGTGCATATTAATTTTCAGCTTGTGAAGCATTAAGATTACTACTACTGCTTTTTTTGTTTGCATTTGCTTTATATCTTTTTGCAATCTAGAAATCCTACATTATTTTGTCAGTAAGCTCACACTCCTAGGTAACTATTTCGCATCTTCTCTCTCTTCAAACTACCAGTGTCTCCTCCTATCTCAACAGATAACTATGCATGCAAGCTTGTCAAATGTCTTTAGAAGGCTTCCCTTTATCTTATTATTCTGTTAAGCTATCATGTCATTTTCATCTTCCTTTCTACAGAAAGTATTGAAAGAATTGTCTGTGCTTAGTATATCCATTCCTTTTTCCTCCATTCTCTCTTGAATACAATCACAACTTTGTACCTACCATTTCACCAAAACTTATCTTCTGAAGGTTAACAAAGACCCTCATATTATTAAATCCAGTAATGAAGATAGCCACTTTCTGCCTTTATTAACTTATTTTGACAATCAACACTATTGAGATAGAATTTACATAAAATAAAATTCATTTTAGGTATGCAGTTATGAATTTTGACATACATATCTGTAACCATCACCAGAGTCAAGAGTTACATTCCTTCTATACATTTACAGTCAATCCCACAACATCACATCCCTTGTCTGAGGCAACCATTCATCTCACTCTGTCAGTATAGTTTAGCCCTTTCTTGAATTTCACATAAACAAAGTCAGACAGGCTGGGCATGGTGGCTCACACCTGTAATCCCAGCACTTTGGGAGGCCAAGGCGGGTGGATCACGAGGTCAGGAGATCGAGACCATCCTGGCTAACACACTGTGAAACCCCGTCTCTACTAAAAATACAAAAAATTAGCCGGGTGTGGTGGCGGGAACCTGTAGTCCCAGCTACTGGGGAGGCTGAGGCAGGAGAATGGCATGAACCTGGGAGGTGGAGTTTGTAGTGAGCCGAGATTGTGCCACTGCACTCTAGCCTGGGTGACAGAGCGAGACTCCATCTCAAAAAAAAAAAGAAAAGAAAAGAAAAAAAACAAAGTCAGACAGTATGGGCACTGTTATATCTTTCTTTAACACAACATCATTATTTTGAGAAATTCACCCCTATTACACTGTGTATAAATAGCATGTGCCTTTTTATTGCTGAGTAGTACCGCATTGTATGAGTGTATCACAGTTTATTCATTCACCTGTTGGACATTTGAGCTGTTTTCTATTGGGGATTTGAGCTGTTTTCTATTGGGGGCTTAACTACTATGAAAATTCTTATAAAAGTGTTTTTTATTTGTATAAATTTACGGGATGCAAGTGTAATTTTGTTACATGGATGGATTACATTGTGGTAATTCTTTTTAATTTTAATCATTGTAATAGGTATATAGTGGTGTCTAATTGTGGTTTTAATTGGCATTTCCTTAAGAGACAAAGAAGGCCATTACATAATGGTAAAGGGATCAATTCAACAAGAAGAGCTAACTATCCTAAATATATATGCATCCAATACAGAAGCACCCAGACTCATAAAGCAAGTCCTTAGAGACCTACAAAGAGACTTAGACTCCCACACAATAATAAAAGGAGACTTTAACACCCCACTGTCAACATTACACAGATCAACGAGGCAGAAAGTTAACAAGGATATCCAGGAATTGAACTCAGCTCTGCACCAAGCGGACCTAATAGACAGCTACAGAACTCTGCACCCCAAATCAACAGAATATACATTCTTCTCAGCACCACATCGCACTTATTCCAAAATTGACCACATAGTTGGAAGTAAAGCACTCCTCAGCAAATGTAAAAGAACAGAAATTATAACAAACTCTCTCTCAGACCACATTGTAATCAAACTAGAACTCAGGATTAAGAAACTCACTCAAAACCGCTCACCTACATGGAAACTGAACAACCTGCTCCTGAATGACTACTGGGTACATAACGAAATGAAGGCAGAAATAAAGATGTTCTTTGAAACCAATGAGAACAAAGACACAACATATCAGAATCTCTGGGACACATTTAAAGCAGTGTGTAGAGGGAAATTTATAACACTAAATGCCCACAAGAGAAAGTAGAAAAGATCTAAAATTGACACCCTAACATCACAATTAAAAGAACTAGAGAAGTAAGAGCAAAAACATTCAAAAGCTAGCAGAAGGCAAGAAATAACTAAGATCACAGCAGAACTGAAGGAGATAGAGACACAAAAAAATCTTCAAAAAATCAATGAATCCAGGAGCTGGTTTTTTGAAAAGATCAACAAAATTGGTAGACTGCTAACAAGACTAATAAAGAAGAAAAGAGAGAAGAATCGAATAGACGCAATAAAAAATGATAAAAGGGGATATCACCACTGATCCCACAGAAATACAAACCATGATCAGAGAACACTATAAACACCTCTACGCAAATAAACTAGAAAATCTAGAAGAAATGGATAAATTCCTGGACACATACACCCTCCCAAGACTAAGCCAGGAGGAAGCTGAATCCCTGAATAGACCAATAACAGGCTCTGAAATTGAGGCAATAATTAATAGCCTACCAATAAAAAAAGTCCAGGACCAGATGGATTCACAGCCGAATTCTGCCAGAGGTACAAGAAGGAGCTGCTACCATTCCTTCTGAAACTATTCCGATCAATAGAAAAAGACAGAATCTTCCCTAACTCATTTTATGAGGCCAGCATCATCCTGATACCAAAGCCTGGCAGAGGCACAACAAAAAAAGAGAATTTTAGACCAATATCCTTGATGAGCATTGATGCAAAAATCCTCAATAAAATACTGGCAAACCAAATCCAGCAGCACATCAAAAAGCTTATCCACCATGATTCAAGTGGGCTTCATCCCTGGGATGCAAGGCTGGTTCAATATACGCAAATCAATAAACATAATCCATCATATAAACAGAACCAAAGACAAAAATCACATGATTATCTCAATAGATGCAGAAAAGGCCTTTGACAAAATTCAACAGCCTTCATGCTAAAAACTCTCAATAAATTAGGTATTGATGGGACGTATTTCAAAATAATAAGAGGTATTTATGACAAACCCACAGCCAATATCATACTGAATGGGCAAAAACTGGAAGCATTCCCTTTGAAAACCAGCACAAGACAGGGATGCCCTCTCTCACCACTCCTATTCAACATAGTATTGGAAGTTCTGGCCAGGGCAATCAGGCAGGAGAAAGAAGTAAATGGTATTCAAAAAGGAAAAGAGGAAGTCAAATTGTCCCTGTTTGCAGATGACATGATTATATATTTAGAAAACCCCATTGTCTCAGCCCAAAATCTCCTTAAGCTGATAAGCAACTTCAGCAAAGTCTCAGGATACAAAATCAATGTACAAAAATCACAAGCATTCTTATACACCAATAACAGACAAACAGAGAGCCAAATCATGAGTGAACTCCCATTCACAATTGCTTCAAAGAGAATAAAATACCTAGGAATCCAACTTACAAGGGACCAGAAGGACCTCTTCAAGGAGAACTACAAACCACTGCTCAATGAAATCAAAGAGGACACAAACAAATGGAAGAACATTCCATGCTCATGGATAGAAGAATCAATATCGTGAAAATGGCCATACTGCCCAAGGTAATTTATAGATTCAATGCCATCCCCATCAAGCTACCAATGACTTTCTTCACAGAATTTGAAAAAACTACTTTAAAGTTCATATGGAACCAAAAAAAGAGCCTGCATTGCCAAGACAATCCTAAGCCAAAAGAACAAAGCTGGAGGCATCACGCTACTTGACTTCAAACTATACTACAAGGCTACAGTAACCAAAACAGCATGGTACTGGTACCAAAACAGAGATATAGACCAAGGGAACAGAACAGAGGCCTCAGAAATAACACCACACATCTACAACCATCTGATCTTTGACAAACCTGAGAAAAACAAGAAATGGGGAAAGGATTCCCTATTTAATAAATGGTGCTGGGAAAACTGGCTAGCCATATGGAGAAAGCTGAAACTGGATCCCTTCCTTACACCTTATACTAAAATTAATTCAAGATGGATTAAAGACTTAAATGTTAGACCTAAAACCATAACAACCCTAGAAGAAAACCTAGGCAATACCATTCAGGACATAGGCATGGGCATGGACTTCATATCTAAAACACCAAAAGCAATGGCAACAAAAGCCAAAATTGACAAATGGGATCTAATTAACCTAAAGAGTTTCTGCACAGCAAAAGAAACTACCATCGGAGTGAACAGGCAACCTATAGAATGGGAGAAAATTTTTGCAATCTACTCATCTGACAAAGGGCTAATATCCAAAATCTACAAAGAACTCAAACAAATTTATAAGAAAAGAAACAAACAACCCCATCAACAAGTGGGTGAAGGATATGAACAGACATTTCTCAAAAGAAGACATTTATGCAGCCATCAGACACATGAAAAAATGCTGATCATCACTGGCCATCAGAGAAATGCAAATCAAAACCACAATGAGATACCATCTCACACCAGTTAGAATGGTGATCATTAAAAAGTCAGGTGCTGGAGAGGATGTGGAGAAATAGGAACGCTTTTACACTGTTGGTGGGACTGTAAACTAGTTCAACCATTGTGGAAGACAGTGTGGTGATTCCTCAAGGATCTAGAACTAGGAAATGGCCATTTGACCCAGGCCATCCCATTACTGGGGTATATACCCAAAGGATTATAAATCATGCTGCTATCAAGACACATGCACATGTATGTTTATTGTGGCACTATTCACAATAGCAAAGACTTGGAACCAACTCAAATGTCCACCAATGATAGACTGGATTCAGAAAATGTGGCACATATACACCATGGAATACTATGCAGTCATAAAAAAGGATGACTTCATGTCCTTTGTAGGGACATGAATGAAGCTGGAAACCATCATTCTCAGCAAACTATCACAAGGACAATAAACCAAACACCACATGCTGTAACTCATAAATGGGAATTGGACAATGAGAACACTTGGACACAGGAAGGGGAACATCACACACCGGGGCCTGTCGTGGGGTGAGTGGACAGGGGAGGGATAGCATTTGGAGATATACCTAATGTAAATGATGAGTTAATGGGTGCAGCACACCAACATGGCACATGAATACATATGTAACAAACCTGCACGTTGTGCACATGTACTCTGTAACTTAAAGTATCAAAAAAAATAGTGTCCACTGTGTCTCTAAGACAGTCAATATTTGCTGAATGAATAATTGAAGGAATTAATAATTGGAAAGTGTACAAACCACATAAGTTATAAAAAACAGACTGGGAGTTTAGAATAAATGCTTGACTTACCTGATTTTAGTACAAATAAATTCATAAATCAGAGCAAAATATCACAGGGGAGATAGAAATTCTGGGAATGAAATCTGGCTATGCTATAAATATAGCATAAATTATTGCTCAAACTTTTGAATGTCCCTGTTGTATTTCAAGTCTACCCAAATAAATGGATTGCAAATAAAAAAAAAAGAAAATATTTTGTCCTATTTTTCTTTTGAAAGTTTTATAGTTTTGGCTTTTATTTCTATGTCTATGATACATTTTGAGTTAATATTGGTATATTATATGAGAAAAGGGTTCATATTCATTTTTTATATGAGTATCCAATTGTGCCAGAAATATTTGTAGAAAAGATAACCTTTTCTCCGTTAAATTATATTCATACCCGTGTTGCAAGTCAATTGACCATAAAAATAAGGGTTTATTCCTGGACTCTTAATTCTGTTCCATTGATCCATTTGTCTATGTTTATGACAGTGCCTCATTGTTTTGGTTACTATAGCTTTATATAAGATTTTAAGTTGAGAAGTAAACGTACTGCATTTTGTCCTTCTTTTCCAAAACTGTTTTTGTCATTCTGGATCCTTTGCATTTTGATATCAGCTTGTCAACTTCTGAAAAATATCCTGTTGTGGTTTTGACAGAGATTACATTGAACCTATAGATCAATATGAGGAGAATTTCCATCTTAACAATATTTAGGCTTCTGGTCCATGAACACAGAGTGTCTCTCCATTTATTTAAATCTTTTAAAATTTCCCTTAGCAATGTTTTATCATTTCCATTGTACAAATCTTACACTTCTTTTGATGTTTTATTTCTAAGTATTTTAATCATTTTGATGCCACTGTAAATAAAATTGTTTTCTTAATTTCATTTTGGACATTTCTTTGTTAGTACATAGAAATACAATTGATTTTTGTATATCAATCTTATATTTGTGATCTTGTTGAATTCATTTAGTAATTCTAGTAATTTCTTTGCTCTAATCATGTATTTTCCTCTTTAAAAGAGTAATTTATTTTTGACACATAAAAATTGTTTATATTTCAAATGTACATGATATTTTAATATATAGTTACATTGTAAAGTGATTACCACAATAAATTTATCCACCATCTCATATAGTTACTATTTTTGTGTGTGTGATGAGAACATTTAGGTTCTACTCTCTTACAAATTTCAAGTATACTATACATTATTAACTATAGTGACCATGTTATACATTAAATTTTCAGAAATTATTCACCATATAACTGAAATTTTATGCCCTTTGACCAAAATCATTTCATTTTCCCCACTCTCCAGGCCCTGGCAACTATCTTTCTACTCTGTGCTTCTCTAAGTTCAATCTCTTTAGATTCCACATATAGGTGAGATCATGTAGTATTTGTATTTCCGTGTCATAAATCTAAAGAATATTTCACTTAGCACAGTGTCCTCTGAGTCCATTTATGTTGTCATGAATGGCAGGATTTCCCTCTTTTTAAAGACCAAATAAAATCACATCGTGTATATATACTATATTTCTTTATCCATTCTTCCATCATTTATTGTTTCCATATTTTGGGTATTGTGAATAATGCTACAATGAACATGGGAGTGCAACTACCATCTCTTCTGACTTCAATTTCTTTTAATTTTTTGAGGACCTCCATACTATTTTCCATAGCGGTTGCACCAATTTACATTCCCACCAATGATGTATAAGGTTTCCTTTTCTCCACATCCTTGCAAACATTTTTTACCTTTTTTTTTAAGGTGGAACTATTACTTTGTTATTGTCTTTATTTGCATTTTGTGGAAAATCCAAATGAGCGGATAGGCAACTTGATACGGCAATGATGAAAACTTGTTTGGCATTTCTTCTAGCTGACGACGTTCCAGGAGCTTGTAACGAATTATTATTTTTTAATTTAAAAAATTTTAAATTTAATTTAACTTTTAATTTTTGTGGGTACATAGTAGGTGCATATATTTATGGGGTACATGGGGTGTTTTGATATAGGCATGCAATGTGAAATATCACATGAAAAATGGGGTATTCATATTTAAGTGCTTTCTTAGTCTATTTTCTGTTGCTATAAAGGAATACCTGAGACTGTAATTTATAAAGAAAAGAGGTTTATTTGGTTCACAATTCTGCTGACTGTAAGATTGGGCGTCTGGTGAAAGCTTCAGGCTGCTTGGAAAGGTGAAGAGGGGCCAGCTTGTGCAGAGTTCGGATGATGAGAGAGGAAGCAATAGAGAGACAGCGGGGAGATGCCAGGCTCTTTTTAGCAACCAGCTCTTCCAGGAACTAATAGAATAAGAACTCATTGACCTGAGGATGGCAGCAAGCCTTTCATAAGGGACCCGCCCCCACTACTAAAACACCTACCATTATGCCCCATCTCTAACACTGGGGATCAAATTTCAACATGAGTTTTGTGGGGGAAAACATCCAAATTATAGCAGATGCTATTATAGGTGAAATTTTTTTCTTAATTTCATTTTCAGATAGTTTATTTTGATGTATAAAAATGCAACTCATTTTTATATGTTGATTTTGTAACCTGAAACTTTACTGAATTATTTATTATTCTTTTTTTTTTTTGAGACAGAGTCTCACTCTGTCGCCCACATTGGAGTGCAGTGGTGTGATCTTGGCTCACTGCAACCTCCACCTCCTGGCTTCAAGTGATTCTCCTGCCTCAGCCTCCCAAGTAGCTGGGATTACAGGCACCCACCATCACACCTGGCTAATTTTTGTATTTTTATTAGAGACGGGGTTTCACCATGTTGGCCAGGTTGGTCTCGAACTCCTGACCTCAAGTGATCCTCCCGCTTCGGCCTCCCAAAGTGCTGGGATTACAGGTGTGAGCCACCACACCCGGCCTGAATTCATTTATTATTCTAATAGTTTGTGTGTGTGTGTGTGTGTGTGTGTGTGTGTGTGTGTGTGTGTGTGTGTGTAGTCTTTAGGATTTTCTACATATAATATCATGTCATCAGCAAACAGATAATTTCATTTCTTCCTTTCTTATTTGGATTCTTTTTATTTGTTTTTATTGCCTAATTGCTCTGGTTAGGACTTTAAGTTGAATAGGATAGGTGAGAGTGGGCATCTTTGCCTGTTCTGGATCTTAAAGAAAGGCCTTGATTTTTTACTATTGAGTGTGATGTTAGTTTTGGGCTCCTCATAAATGGCCCTTATTGTGTTGAGGTTAGTTCCTTCTATTCCTAATTTGTTAAGAGTTTTTATTATAAAAGCCTATTGAATTTTGTCAAATGCTATTCATTTATTGAAATGATCATTTGACTTTTAGCCTTCATTCTGTTAATGCAGTGTATCACATTGATTGATTTGTGTATGTTAAACCATTCTCATATTCTAGGGGTAAATTCTACTTGATCCTTGTTTATGATGCTTTTAATGAGCTCTTGAATTCATTTTGCTAGTAGTTTGTTGGTGATTTTTGCATGTATGTTTATCAGGGATATTGGTCTGCAGTTTCCTTTCTTGTGTTATCTTTGGCTTTGGTATTAGGGTGATGTGGGCCTCACAGAATTAATTTGGCAGTCCTCCATATTTTTATATTTTTTGGAAGAGTTTAAGAAGGATTGGAACTAATTTTTCTTTACATGTTTGGTAGAATGTACCAGTGAAGACATCTGGTCTTGAGTGTTTCTTTGTTGGGAATTTTTGGGTTACTGCTTGAATTTCTATATTTGTTATTGGTCTGTTCAGACTTTTAATTTATTTCATATTCAGCATGGGTAGGCTGTATGAGTCTAGGAATTTATCCATTTCTTCTAGGTTGTCCAATTTGTTAAGATATACTTCTTTGTAATTGTCACTTATAATCCCTGTTTCCTGTTGCATCAGTTGTAGTATCTCCTCTTTCATTTCTGATTGTATTTATTTGAGTGTTTTTTTCTTAGTTTAGCTAAGGATTTGTTGATTTTGTTTATCTTTTTGAAAAATCAACTCAGTTTCTTTGATTTTTTCTATTGATTTCCTGTTCTCTATTTCACTTATTTCTGTTCTAATCTTTATTATTTTCTTCATTCTGCAAATTTGGGGCTTAGTTTGTTCTTTTTCTTGTTCCTTGAGGTGTAAAATTAAGTTGTTTATTTCAGATATCTCTTTTTAAATGTAAGCAGTTATCTCTATAAACTTCCCTCTTAGTAGTGCTTTTGTTGCACGCCATAGGTTTTTGGTAGGTTATGTTTCCATTTTTGTTTGTCTTGAATAAGATGTGGGTAAAATGAAACTGTTCTTTTCACTGTCTTAAATAAGTCTTTTCTATTTCTGTGCTCCATCTGGGCACTGCAACCTCTTACCTGGATTTCTGAGCTCTCTTGAAGGTACTTTAATCAGTTGATGGTTTTTAAATCCGTGTTTCTGTGGGGGTATGAGGGCTGGAACCTCCTACTCTGCCATCTTTTAAAATTTAGCCTTTGTAGTTAACTCAGTTTTTAGTTTTCACTTTCCTGAAGAATAGTGAGGCCAATAGCCTTTTAAAATAGAGATATACCTTTGTTTCAAGGTGGTTTATGTATGGTTTTGCTGGGAGAAAGTGGAATGAATGAAACCATCTTTGAGTCCCTTATTCCAGTGGTTCCCAAACCTGGCAGCATATCAGATTAATTTGTATAGTTTTATAAATGTTCAAATGCTTAGGCTCCACCTAAAAGTGACTGAATCAGAATATCCAGTACTGGATCTCAGATAATTATATCTTATAATTCAATCATATTCACACATAGCTTAATTTAGGAACCACTACTGCCCCTATCTGCATTCAGTTTATTTTTAGCAATTTTTTTTCCCAGGTGGTTTTTACACAGAGTACAATTTGAGTACCACTGATATGTTTATTATTGTTGCCTAGTGCAGGGTTACTTCGCATCTGACCCCCTTTTTAATTTTTCTGCTAATATTACCATATGCAGAGCCATGCATTCAGCTGGTGTGGACTCAAAAAATTGAGACTGTCATTCTGTTTGGCTTTGCATAATATTAATGAGCTTTAGTGCTTCCATAAACTCATGTCCTGATGTTCAATGCCAAATATAAATGCTTAGGAGATATACCTAATGTTAAATGACGAGTTAATGGGTGCAGCACACCAACATGGCACATGTATACATATGTAACAAACCTGCACGTTGTGCACATGTACCCTAGAACTTAAAGTATAATTAAAAAAAGAAAATAATAAAATAAAATAAAATCTAGATGTTTCTCAAAAAAAATTACCAATAAAGAAAAAAACTTTGCTGAGAAAAAAAAAAACAAATATAAATGCTTTTTGCCTAAACCATTGTGTGTAATTCAATGGCTACAGGCATCACTGTGGCCTGATATTCCAGATGTCAATAATGCACCTGTGGTAGACAAGTAAAAACAATGAGAAAAATGATTACTTCTCATTTTAGGAGAAAGAAATGGCTTTGGAATTGGACTTTTGAAACCACTCCCTGGGTTTCTGCACCAGCATGATACAGGATAAAACAACAATGTGGGTCAGCAATTTTTTAATGACATGCACAAATGCTATTTAGCATCATTACAAACTCACCCTAGTATTCTCTATAGAAGTGTAGAATGGGCGAGTAGTGAAATAAAATAATTTTCCATAATAAAAGTCATTCTGGAAATGGGGGATAGTTATATACTAGAGCCATGGAATCTAATCCTGACTTTGCTACTAACTTAGTGTACTGTGTTTCACTTTCCCCATTTTACAATAAAGAGAAGAGATTATGTAGTCCCTTGGAGGCTTTCTAGCTCTGAACTTACATAAAACTGTGATTATCACCACCTTTCTCCTTCTTTCAGACTGTGAGGAAAGAAAATATGTTGTATTGCTTTTACCCTTTCATCATAACAATTAGCTCTTGATTAGTGCTTTTCTGGCAACTATTGCATCTTAGTGAAGATGATTTCGTATTTCAGCAATTGCTGGATTCTTAAAAATGTGCCAGCATGGTGTATTGAAATTAGTAACGTTTCAAAAGGTATTTCAAACTAGCCTTAATTAATTAAATGCTTGATAGATGCAGTCCAAGGTTAACCACTTAATGAATTGGCAACCAAATAAAAAATGGAATCAAACACTTTAAGCAGCTTACTGGAAGGGATCTGGGCTCTCCACCAAGAGATTCTGTAGCAGTGCTGGCAGCAGGGTGGGTCATTTTCAAGCTCCTGATTCATTGTCACTATACCCTTTCACCCAAGACTGAACCCTTCCCCCCAAAATGCACAGTATTGCTTAATCTGCAGCAATGATGTTTGTGTTAGTGTCAACAGACTAAAAGAAAATTCCCACCTGAAATGTGAGTAGTTAAGATGTTAAGAATCATCTTTAATTCACTGTGTATTTGAACACAAGAATATTGTAAAGGAGGACAGTGGTGATATTTCTTAGGTATGTAGAAAAGTTCTCTGCTGTTTCTGTGAACTGGCATTTAAGTGGAGGACTAGATTAAAGAAAAAAGGATGTTGCTGAGAAAAAGAGATCATAGGCTGGGTGCGGTGGCTCACACCTGTAATCCTAGCACTTTGGGAGGCTGAGGCGGGCAGATTTGTTGAGCTCGGGAGTTTGAGACCAGCTGGGCAACATAGTGAGACTCTGTCTCTGCAGAAAATACAAAAGTTAACTGGTTATGGTGGCACGTGGCTGTAGTCCCAGCTACTCAGGAGGCTGATGTGGGAGGATCACCTGATCCTAAGGAGGTTGAGGCTGCAGTAAGCCCTGATTGCACCACTGCACTCCAGCCTGAGTGACAGAGTGAGACCCTGTGAATACAAAATCATAAAGTAAGATAATTTGATTCTATTTAGAAGACTGTAGAGAGTGTTAAGTTACTGAAGATTTGAAAGCAAGAAGTAATTAAGGGTTGGTTATATACCAAGCAAGTATGAATACATTAATTTAGGAAAACTCTATTTTCTGAGAAACTAAAGGGATAGATATTATCACTCAAGTTGTTAGGAAGCTGTACTTGTAAAAATCCTGAGCGTTATTTTAAATTAAGTTTTAAAACCAAGAAACATATTAAGCAGCAACTTTGCGCTCAATTCTGTGCTGACAGCTAATATGAGAAAGAAATGAGTTTCCTGTCTGAGAGTACTAACAAAGCGTGATATAATGGAAAGCGATACAGACAGAGTCAGAAGCCTTGAATTCCATTAGCTCACTCTGTGACCTAGGTCAAGGGACTTCTCTCTAAGCCTCACATTCCCAGACCATTGTAATAGGATTCAATGAGATAATGTATCAGAGTACTTCAAAACTTATGAAGAGCTAGTAACATGTGGGCAATGACAATATAGGTTCTAATGACTGGAGATAATAATGATGTGGTAAAAAGAGAAGAGACTCTGATAATCAAATAAACCAGGGTTTGAATCTTGCCTTTGTCACAGCTGTGTGGCTTTGGGGGTATTACTTAACCTCTCCAAGCCTTCAGTACCACGCTTAAATTCAGATAATGATAACAACAATAAATACTTACCTCATAATATTATTATCTGTCACATGGTAGATATTTGGTGTATTAGTCCATTTTCACACTGCTGATAAGGACATATCCAAGACTGAGCAATTTACGAAAGAAAGAGGTTTATTGGACTTACAGTTCCACGTGGCTTGGGAGGCTTCACAATCATGGTGGAAGGTGAAAGGCACGCCTCACATGGAAGCAGACAAGAGAACAAAGCTTGTGCGGGGGAACTCCCCTTTATAAAACCACCAGATACTGTGAGACTTCTTCACTATCATGAGAACAGCATGGGAAAGACCCATCCCCATAATTCAATTACTTCCCACTGGGTCCCTCTCACAACACATGGAAATTCAAGATGACATTTGGGTTGGGGCACAGCCAAACCATGTCATTCCACCCGTGGCCTCTCCCAAATCTCATGTCCTCACAATTCAAAACCAATCATGCCTTCCCAACAGTCCCCTAAAGTCTTAATTCATTTCAGCATTAACTCAAAAGTCTGCAGTCCAAAATCTCATTCAAGACAAGGTAAGTCCCTTCCACCTATGAGCTTGTAAAATCAAAAGCAAGTTAGTTACTTCCTAGATACAATGGGGGTACAGGCATTGTTTAAATACAGCCATTTCAAATGGGAGAAGTTGTCCAAAACAAAGGGCTATAGGCCCCATGCAAGTCTGAAATCCAGCGGGGCAGTCAAATCTTAAAGCTCCAAAGTGATCTCCTTTGACTCCGTGTCTCACATCCAGGTCATGCTGATGCAAGAGGTGGTTTCCTATGGTCTTGGGCAACTCATCCCCTGTGGCTTTGCAGGGTATAGCCTCCCTTCTGGTTGCTTTCCCAGGCTGGCATTGAGTGTCTGTGGCTTTTCCAGGTGCACGGTGCAAGCTGTCAATGGATCTACCATTCTGAGATCTGGAGGACAGTGGCCCTCTTCTCACAGCTCCACTAGGCACTGCCCTAGTAGGGACTCTGTGTGGGGGCTCTGACCCCACATTTCCCTTCTGCACTGCCCTAGCAGAGGTTCTTCATGAGGGCCCACCCCTGCAGCAAGCTTCTGCCTGGACATCCAGCCTTTTCCATACATCTTCTGAAATCTAGGCTGAGGTTCTCTAGTTACAGCTGAAGTGGCTGGGATGCAGTGCGCTAAGCCCCTAGACTGCACACAGCAGAGGGACACTGGGCCCAGCCCACAAAACAATTTTATCCTCCCAAACCTCTGGGCCTGTGATGGGAGGGGCTGCCACAAAGGTCTCTGACATGCCCTGGAGATATTTTCCCCATTGTCTTGGTGATTAATATTCAGCTCCTTGTTACTTATGCAAATTTCTGCAGCCAGCTTGAATTTCTCCTTAAAAAATGGGATTTTCTTTTCTATTGCACTGTCAGGCTGCAAATTTTCCAAACTTTTATGCTCTGTTTCCCTTTTAAAACTGAATGCCTTTAACAACACCCAAGTCATCTCTTGAATGCTTTGCTGCTTAGAAATTTCTTCTACCAGATACCCTAACTCATCTCTCTCAAGTTCAAAGTTCCACAAATCTCTAGGGCAGGAGCAAAATGCTGCCAGTATCTTTGCTAAAACATAGCAAGAGTAACCCTCACTCCAGTTCCCAACAAGTTCCTCATCTCCATCTGAGATCACCTCAGCCTGGATTTCATTGTCCATATCACTATCAGCATTTTTGTCAAAGCCATTCAACAAGTCTCTAGGAAGTTCCAAACTTTCCCACATTTTCCTGTCTTCTTCTGAGCCCTCCAAACTGTTCCAACCTCTGCCTGTTATCAAGTTCCAAAGTCATTTCCACATTTTCGGGTATCTTTTCAGCAGCACTGCACTCTACTGGTACCAATTTACTGTATTAGTCCGTTTTCATGCTGCTGATAAAGGCATACCCAAGATTGTGCAATTTACAAAAGAAAGAGTTTTATTGGACTTACAGTTCCACATGGCTGAGGAGGCCTCACAATCATGGTGGAAGGTGAAAGGTACATCTCACATGGTGGCAGACAAGAGAAGAGAGCTTGTGCAGGGGAACTCCCCTTTTTAAAACCATCAGATCTTGTGAGACTTATTCACTATCATGAGAAGAGCCTGAGAAAGACTTGCCCCCATGATTCAGTGATCTCCCACTGGGTCCCTCCGACAACACATGGAAATTCAAGATGAGATTTGGGTGGGGACAGAGCCAAACCTATCATTTGGTAATGGTAGCCTTTATTACAAAATAAATACACTTCAGTAGGCAACTATGTTATAAACTATAAAGGTAATGAGAGCTCAAAAAACCCATCTCAAAATATATGGTGAACAAAACTACCATGATAACAGAGGCAACTGAGAATGTCCCTGTTTAGGAACTTTATATGACGAAAATAGGCTTTTGAGGCAGGAGAATCACTTGAACCTAGGAGGCAGATGTTGCAGTGAGCCAAGGTTATGCCACTGCACTCCCGCCTGGGTGACAGAGTGAGACTTCATCTAAAAAAAAAAAAAGGGAACTATTACATGCTTTAAGAAATGATATGAGCACTGGTGATAGATATGAGTTGTTGAGGAAGTAAAATCTATAAGAATTGATGACTCATTGTGGAGTCACAACATGGCAAATGAGGGAGGATAACTCCCAAGTTTCTAGATTGGGTGATCGCAAGGATTATGGTGTCGTGTAGTCATTCAACACAAATTTATTGAGTGCCTACTATGTGCCAGGTTCTGGAAATAGGATAGTAAGCCAAACAGACATAGTTTACATTTAGTGGACAAGTCTAGTGGGGGAAACAGAATATAAATAAAATCAATAAATATAGTTCTAAACTGTGATAAGTATTAGGAAAGAAAAGTATAGAGTACTAGGTTAAACTATGCCAACGGAGACATAATAGTGCATACAAAAGGATGACAAGGGGCCAGCCATGGTGGCTCAGGCCTGTAATCCCAGCACTTTGGGAGGCCAAGGCGGGTGGATCACCTGAGGTCGGGAGTTCAAAACAAGCCTGACCAACATGGAGAAACCCCATCTCTACTAAAAATACAAAATTAGCCAGGCGTGGTGGCGCATGCCTGTAATCCCAGCTACTCAGGAGGCCGAGGCAGGAGAATTGCTTGAACCTGGGAGGCATAGGTTGCAGTGAGCCAAGATCGTGCCATTGCACTCCAGCCTGGGCAACAAGAGCAAAACTCCATCTCAAAAAATAAAAAAGAATGACAAGGTTTTGAATGAAAAACAAAATGCTGACTTCATTTTTTTTAATTTTAATTTTTTGGTATTATTTTAAATTGACTTGTAATAATTGTACATATTTATGGGGTATATAGTGATGTTTCAATACATATACTGTATAGTGATCAGATCAGGATCTGATCAGTATATAGCATATCTATCACCTCAAACATTTATTATTTGTTTGTGTTGGAAGCATTCAATTTCCTCCTTCTAACTATTTGAAACTATACATCATTGTTAACTACAGTCATCTTACAGTGCTGTAGAAAGAACACTAGAACTTATTCCTCCTATCTAGCTGTAATTTTGTAACCTTTAACAAATCTCTGCCTATTCCCCCTTTTCCCCAACCCTTCTCAGCATCTAGTAGTCTCTGTTCTACTTTTTACTTCTGTGAGCTCAACTTTTCTTAGCTTCCACATACGAGTGAGAATATGCGATGTTTTACTTTGTGTTTCTGGCTTACTTTACTTAACAGAATGTCCTCCAGTTCCCTCCACGTTGCTGCAAATGACAGGATTTCATTCTTTTTATAACTGAATAGTATTCCATGATGTATACCACATTTGCTTTATCCATTCATCTGTTGTTGGACACATATTGATTCCATATCTTGGCTATTGTGAATAGTGCTGCAATAAATATGGAGGTGCAGGTGTCTCTTTGATATACTGCTTTCCTTTCCTTTGGATAAATTCCCAGTAGTGGGGTTGCTAGATCATATGGTAGTTCTATTTTTAGTTTTTTGGGGAACCTCCATACTATTCTCCATAGTGGCTATACTAATTTACATTTCCACTAATAGTGTATAAAAGATTCCCTTACTCTGCATCCTTGCCAGCATTTGTTATTTTTGTCTTTTTGATAATGGTCATCCTAAAGAGGGTGAGACACTACCTTATTATGGTTTTGTTTGAATTTTCCTGATGATGAGTGAGGTCGAACGTTTTTTCATTTATTTATCGGCCATTTGTGTGTCTTCTTTTGAGAAATGTCTGCTCAGATCATTTGCCCATTTTAAAATCAGATTGTTCATATTTTTGCTGTTGAGATGTTTGCATTCCTTGTATGGGCTCGATATTAATATCCTATCTGATGAATAGTCTATGAATATTTTCTGCTGTTCTGTAGGTTGTCTTTTCACTCTCTTGTTTCTTTTGCTGTGCAGAGATTTTAGTTTGATATAATCCCATTGGTTCATATTTGCTTTTGTTGCCTATGCTTTTTAGGTCTTATACATAAAGTCATTTTCCAGACTAATGTCCTGAAGCATTTCTCCTATTTTTTTTTCTAGTAGCTTACAGTGTCAAGTCTTACATTTAGGTCTTTGATCCATTTTGAGTTGATTTTTGTATAGGGTAAGAGGTGGAAGTCTAGTTTCATTCTTCTGCATGTGGATATTTAGTTTTCCCAGTGTCATTTATTAAAGAGACTCTCCTTTCATCACTGAGTGTTCTTAACGACTTTGTAAAAATCAATTGGCTGAAGATATGTGAATAAATTTCTGGTTTCTTTATTCTGTTTTGTTTGTCTGTTTGTGTGGTTTTATGCCAGTACCATGCTGTTTTTGGTTACTATAGCTTTGTAGTATATTTGGAAGTCTGGTAGTGTAGTGCCTTCAGTTTTGTTCTTTAAGTTCAGGATTGCTTTGGCTATTTGGGGTTCTTTTGTGGCTCCATACAAATTTAAAATATTTTTTCCTATTCTGTGAAGAATGTCATTGGCATTTTGATAGGGATTGCCTTGAATCTGTAGATTGCTTTGGGTATTATGGTCATTTTAGCAATATTAATTATTTCAATCCATTAGCATGGGATGTCTTTCCATTTGCTTGTATTCTCTTCAACTCCTTTCAACAGTGTTTCATAGTTTTCCTTGTAGAGGTTTCTCACCACCCTGGTTAAATTTATTCTTAGGTATTTTATTTTTTGGCATCTATTGTAAATGGGATTGCCTTTTGATTTCTCTCTCTCTCTCTTTTTTTTTTTGAGACAGAATCTTGCTCTGTTGCCCAGGCTACAGTGCAGTGGTGCAATCTTGGCTCACTGCAACTTCCACCTCCTGGGTTCAAGCAATTCTCCTATCTCAGCCTCCCGAGTAGATGGCATTACAGGTGCATGCCACCACACCTGGCTAATTTTTGTATTTTAGTTTCACCATGTTGGCCAGGCTGGTTTTGAACTCCTGACCTTGTGATCCGACTGCCTTGGCCTCCCAAAGTGCTGGGATTACAGGCATGTGCCACGGTGCCCGGCCTTGATTTCTTTTCTTTTCAGGATCCAATATCTCTGTCTCATTAAAAAAATTTCAACTTTTGGCCGGGCGCGGTGGCTCACGCCTGTAATCCCAGCACTTTGGGAGGCCGAAGCGGGCAGATCACAAGGTCAGGAGATCGAGACCATCCCGGCTAAAACGGTGAAACCCCGTCTCTACTAAAAATACAAAAAATTAGCCGGGCGTAGTGGCGGGCGCCTGTAGTCCCAGCTACTCGGGAGGCTGAGGCAGGAGAATGGCGTGAACCCGGGAGGCGGAGCTTGCAGTGAGCCGAGATCCCGCCACTGCACTCCAGCCTGGGCGACAGAGCGAGACTCCGTCTCAAAAAAAAAAAAAAAAAAAAAAATTTCAACTTTTATTTTAGATATAGAGGGTACATGTGCAGGTTTGTTACATGGGTATATTATAGTGAGTCTAGTGCCCATTAGGAAGTTTTTCAATCCACTCTCCCTCACCCCCTCCCACCTCTAGTAGTCCACAGGGTCTATTGTTCCCATTTTTATATCTATGTGTGCTCAATCTTTAGCTCTTACTTGCGAGAACATGTGGTATTTGGTTTTCTGTTCCTGTGTTAATTCTCTTGGGATTATGGCATCCAGTTCCATCCATGTTGCTGCAAAGGACATGATTTCATTCTTTTTATGGCTGCATAGTATTCCATGGTGTATTTGTACCACATTTTCTTTATCAAATATACCATTTATGGGCACATAGGTGATTCCATGTCTTTTCTATTTTTTTTTTTTTTGAGACGGAGTCTCGCTCTGTTGCCCAGGCTGGAGTGCAGTGGCATGATCTTGGCTCACTACAACATCCACCTCCTCAGTTCAAGTGATTCTCCTGCCTCAGTCTCCCCAGTAGCTGGAATTACAGGTGTCCACCACCATCTCCGGCTAATTTTTGTATTTTTAGTAGAGATGAGATTTCGCCACGTTGGCCAGGCTTGTCTCAAACTCCTGACCTCAGGCAATCCGCCCGCCTTGGCCTCCCAAAGTGCTGGGATTACAGGCGTGATCCATAGTGCTCAGCCTGCAATTTTGAATATAGTACTGCAATGAACATATGGGTGCATGTGTCTTTTTGGTAGAATGATTTATTTCCCTTTGGATATACACCCAGTATCGGGATTGCTGGGTCAAATGATAGTTTAATTCTTAGTTCTTTGAGAAATCTCCAAACTGCTCTCTACAGTGGCTGAATTAATTTTCATTTCCACCAACAGTATATTAGTGTTCCCTTTTCTCTGCAGCCTCACTAGCATCTGTTGCTTTTCAACTTTTTCTAATAGTCATTCTGACTTGTGTGAGATGCTATATTGTTGTGGTTTTGCTTTGCATTTCTCTAATAATCAGTGATATTGAGCTTTTTCCCTATGCTTATTGGCTGTATGTATGTGTTCTTTTGAGAATTGTCTGTTCATGTCCTTTGCCCATTTTTTCCATCAACTTTTATTTTAAGTTCCAGGGTACATGTGCAGGATGTGCAGGTTTGTTACATAGGTAAATGTGTGCCATGGTGGTTTGCTGCACAAATCAACCCATCACCTAGGTATTAAGCCCAGCATCCATTAGCTATTCTTCCTGATGCACTCCAACCCTCCACCCTCCAAAAGGCCCCAATGTGTGTTGTTCCCCTTTATGTGTCCATGTGTTCTCACCATTTAGCTCACACTTATAAACAAGAACTTCTGGTATTTTGTTTTCTGTTCCTGCATTAGTTTGCTGAGGATAATGGCTTCCAGTCCATCCATGTCCCTGCAAAGGACATGCTCTTTTTTACTTTTTATGGCTGCATAGTATTCCATGGTATATATGTACCACATTTTCTTTATCCAGTCTATCATTGATAGGCATTTAGGTTGACTCCATATCTTTGCTATTGTGAATAGCGCTTCAATCAACATACGCATACAGTTATCTTTATAATGGAATGATTTATATTCCTTTGGGTATATACTCAGTAATGGGATTGCTGGGTCAAATGGTGTTTCTGTCTTTATCTCTTTGAGGAATCACTACGTTATCTTCCACAATGGTTGAACTAATTTACATTCCCGCCAACAGTGTAAAACTGTTCCTTTTCCTTCACAACCTTGCCAGCATCTGTTGTTTCTTGACTTTTTAATAATTGCCATTCTGATTGGTGTGATACGGTATCTCATTGTGATTTTGATTACACCTTATACAAAAATTAACTCAAGATGGATTAAAGACTTAAGTGTAAAGCCTCAAACTGTAAAAACCCTAGAAGAAAATCTAGGCAGTACCACTCAGGACATAGGCACGAGCAAAGATTTCATGATGAAACCACCAAAAGCAATTGCAGCAAAAGCAAAAACTGACAAATGAGATCTAATTAAACTGAAGAGCATTTGCACAGCAGAAGAAACTATAATCAAAGTGAACAGAAAACCTACAGAATGGGAGAAAATTTTTGCAATCCAGTTATCTGACAAAGGTCTAATATCTAGAGTCTACAAGGCACTTAAACAAATTTACAAGAAAAACAAACAACCCCATGAAAAAGTGGGCAAAGGACATGAACAGACACGTTCCAAAAGAAGACATTCATGCAGCCAACAAATATATGAGAAAAGCTCAATATCACTGATTATTAGAGAAATGCTCATTAAAAATGGATGTTTTGCTGTGATTGTTCAATTCCTGTATATTCTGGATATTAGACCTTTTTTGGATATATAGTCTGTGAATATTTTCTCCCATTCTGTAGATTGTCTGTTTACTCTGTTGATGATTTCTTTTGCTGTGCAGAATCTGTTTATTAATTAGGTCCCATTTTTCAATTTTTTGTTTTTGTTGCAATTGCTTTTGGGCACTTAGCCATTGTATTAGTCTGTTCTCATGCTGCTGATAAAGACATACCTAAGACTGGGTAATTTATAAATGAAAGAGGTTTAATTGACTCATAGTCCCACATGGCTGGGGAGGCCTCACAATCATGGTGGAAGGTGAATGAGGAGCAAAGTCACATCTTACATAGTAGCAGGCAAGAGAGCTTGTGCAAGGGAACTCCCAATTATAAAACCATCAGATCTCCTGAGACTTATTCACTATCATGAGAACAGTATTGGGGAAACTGCACCCATGATTCAATTATCTCCACCTGGCCCCACCCTTGACACATGGGGGTTATTACAAATCAAGGTGAGATTTGGGTGGGGACACAGCCAAACCATATCATTCCACTCCTGGTCCCTCCAAAACCTCATATCTTCACAATTCGAAACCAATCATGCTTTCCCAACAGCCCTCAAAGTCTTAACTCATTTCAGCATCAACTCAAAAGTCCACAGTCCAAAGTCTCATTTGAGACAAGTCAAGTCCCTTCCACCTATGAGCCTATAAAATCAAAAGCAAGTTAGTTACATCCTGGATATAATGGAGGTATGGGCATTGTGTAAATACCCATTCCAAATGGGAGAAATTGGCCAGAACGAAGGGGCTACAGGCCCCATGCAAGTCCAAAATCCAATGGGGAAGTCAAATCTCAGAGCCCTGAAATGATCACTCTTGACTCCATGTCTCACATCCAGGTCATGCTGATGCAAGAGATGGGCTCCCACAGCCTTGGGCAGTTCTGCCCCTGTGGCTTTGCAGGGTACAGCCTCCCTCCCAGCTGCTTTCATGGACTCGCATTGAGTGTCTGCAGCTTTTCCAGGCACCTGGTGCAAGCTGTCGGTGAATCTACCATTCTGGGGTCTGGAGGATGGTGGCCCTCTTCTCACAGTTCTACTAGGCAGTGCCCCAGTGGAAACTCTGTGTTGGGGGCTCCACCCCTACATTTCCCTCCCACACTGCCCTAACAGAGGTTCTCTATGAGGGCTCTGTCCCTCCAGCAGACTTCTGCTTGGACTTCCAGATGTTTCCATACATCCTCTAAAATCTAGGTAGGGGTTCCCAAACCTCTATACTTGACTTTTGTTCACCCACAGGCCCAACACCACATGGAAGCCACCAAGACTTGGGGCTTGCATCCTCTGAAGCAATGGCCTAAGCTCTACATTGGCCCCTTTTAGCCATGGCTGGGATGCAGGGCACCAAGTCCCGAGACTGCACAAAGCAGCAAGGCCCTGGGCCCTGCCCATTAAATCATTTTTTCTCCTAGGTCTCCAGGCCTGTGATGGGAGGGACTGCTGTGAAGACCTCCGATATGCCCTGGAGACATTTTCCCCACTGTGTTGGTGATTAACATTTGGCTCCTTGTTATGTATGCAAATTTCTGCAGCTGGCTTGAATTTCTCCTCAGAAAATGTGTTTTTCTTTTCTATCGGATCTTCTAGCTGCAAATTTTCCAAACTTTTATGCTCTGCTTCCCCTTTAAACCTATGTTCCTATTCCAAACCGTATCTTTGTGAATGCATAAAACTGAATGCTTTTAACAGCACCCAAGTCACCTCTTGAATGCTTTGCTGCTTAGAAATTTCTTCCACCAGATACCCTAAATCATCTCATTCAGGTTGAAAGTTCCACAGATCTCTAGGGCAGGGACAAAGTGCCGCCAAGCTCTTTGCTAAAACATAGCAAGAATCACCTTTGCTCCAGTTCCCAATGAGTTCCTCGTCTCCATCTGAGACCACCTCAGCCTGGGCTTTATTGTCCATATCACTATCAGCATTTTGGTCAGAGCCATTCAACAAGTCTCTAGGAAGTTGCAAACTTTCCTACATCTTTCTGCCTTCTTCTGAGCCCTCCCAGTCTCTAGGAAGTTATAAACTTGCCCACATTTTTCTACCTTATTCTGAGCCTTCCAAACTGTTCCAATCTCTGCCTGTCACCTGGTTCCAAAGTCACTTTCACGTTTTCATGTATCTTTACAGCTGCATTCCACTCTACCAGTACCAATTTACTGTATCAGTCTATTCTCATGCTAATAAAGACATACCTGAGACTAGGTAATTTATAAAGGAAATAGGTTTAATTTACTCACAATTCTACATGGCTAGGGAGGCCTCACAATCATGGCAGAAGGTGAATGAAGAGCAAAGTCACATCTTACATGGCGGCAGGCAAGATAGCTTGTGCAGGGGAATTCCCATTTATAAAAGCATCAGATCTTGTGAGACTTATTCACTACCACAAGGACAGTATAGAGGAAACTTCCCCATGATTCAATTATTTCCACCTGGCCCTGCCTTTGACATGTGGGGATTATTATAATTCAAGGTGAGATTTGGGTGGGGACATGGCTGAACCATATCAGCCATAAATTCTTTGCCAAGGCAGATGTTGAGAAGGGTATTTCCTAGGTTTTCTAGGATTTTTATACTTTGAGGTCTTACATTTAAATCTTTAATCCCTTGAGTTATTTTTTGAATATGATGAAAAGTAAGGGTATAGTTTTCATTCTTCTGTAGATGGATAGCCTGTTATCCCAGCACCATTTATTTAATAGGGAGCCCTTTCTCCATTGCTTATTTTTGTTGGCCTTTTTGAAGATCTGGTGGTTGTAGGTGTGTGGCTTTATTTATGAGTTTTCTGTTCTGCTCCATTGTTTTATGTGTCTGTTTTTGAGCCAGTACCATGGTGTTTTGGTTACTGTAGCCCTGTAGCATAAAGTTGGGTAGTGTGCTGTTCTTTTTGCTTCAGATTGCTTTGGCTATCCATGCTCTTTTTTAGTTCCATATAAATTTTAGAATAGTTTTTTCCCCTAATTCTGTGAATAATGATGTCAATAGTTTGATAGGAATAGTGTTGAATCTGTAAATTGCTTTGGGCAGTATGGTCATTTTAACAATATTGATTCTTCCAATCCATGAGCATGGAATGTTTTTACACTTATTTGTGTCATTTCTGATTTATTTCGGCAGTGGTTTGTAGTTCTCCTTGTAAAGATCTTTCACCTCCTTGGTTAGCTGTATTCCTTGGTATTTCATTTTATTTGTGGGTGTTGTAAATGGGATTGTGCTTTTGGTTTTACTGTCAGCCTGGGCGTTATTGGTTTATAGAAATGCTACTGAGTTTGCACATTTATTTTGTATTCTGAAACCTTGCTAAAATCATGTATCAGTTCTAGTAGCTTTTTGGCAAAGTCTTTACGGTTTTCTAAGTATAGAATCATATTGTCAGTGAAGAGAGATAATTTGACTCCTTTTCTTATTTGGATGCCTTTGATTTCTTTCTCTTGCCTAATTGCTCTGGCTAAGATTTTCAGAACTATGTTGAATAGAAGTGGTGAGAGTGGACATCCTTGTCTTGTTCCACTTCTCAAGGGGAATAGTTCCTGCTTTTGACTGTTTAGCATGATATTGGCTGTGGGTTTGTCATATATGGCTCTTATTAATTTGAAGTATGTTTTTTAAATGCCTAGCCTGTTGAGGTTTTTTTTTTCTTAAATCATGAAGGGATGTTGGATTTTATCAAAAACTTTCTGTGTCTATTGAGATGATCATATGGCTTTGGCTTTTAACTCTATTTACATAGTGAATCACATTTATTGATTTGCATATGTTGAGCCAACCTTGCATCCCAGGAACAAAGCCTAATCAATCATGATGAATTAACTTTTTGATGTGCTGCTGAATTTGGTTTGCTAGTGCTTTGTTGAAGATTTTTGCATCTGTTTTCATCAGGGATGTTGGCCTGAAGATTTCTTTCTTCAACATGTCTGCCAGATTTTGGTATTAGGCTGATGCTGACCTCGTAGAGTGAGTTAGGGAGATATCTCTCTTCCTCTATTTTTTTGGAACAGTTTCAGTAGTATTGATACCAGTTCTTCTTTACATATCTGGTAGAATTTGGCTGTGAATCCATTTGGTCCAGGGCTTTTATTGGTTGATAGGTTTTTATTACTGATTCAATTTCCAAGTTTGATATTGGTCTATTCAGGGTTTTAATAACTTCCTAATTCAACCTTGGAAGACTGTGTGTTTCCAGGAATTTATCCATTTCCTCTAGATTTTCTAATTTGAGTACATAGAGTTGTTCATAGTATTCTCTGAGGATCTTGTGTATTTCTGTGAGATCAGATGTAACGTCATCTTTGTCATTTCTGATTGTATTTATGTGAATTTTCTTTTTTCTTTATTAATCTAGCTAGCAATCTATCAATCTTATTTATTGTTTCGAGCCAATTATTTGTTTTATTGATTTTTTGTATGGATTTTTGCATCTCAGTTTAAGTTCTCTAATTTATTTCTTTTCTTCTGCTAGCTTTGGGGTTTATTTGTTCTTTTTTTGTCTTAGTTTCTTTAGGTATCAAATTAGATTGTTAATTTGAGATCTGACATAGTTTGAACATGTGTCCTCACCAAATCTCATGTTGAATTGTAATTTCCAATGTTGGAGTTGGGGCATGGTGGGAGGTGTTTGGGTAATGGGGATGGATCTCTCATGGCTTGGGGCTGTCCTCACAATAGTGAATGAATTCTCATGAGATGTAGCACCTCCTCACTCACTCCATCTCTTGCTTCTACTCCCACCATGTGACTTGCCTGCTCCCCCTTTCCCTTCCACCATGATTGGAAGTTTCCTGAGGCTTCCCCAGAAGCAGATTCCAGTTCTATACTTCTTATACAGCCTGCAAAACTGTGAGCTACTTAGACCTGTTTTCTTATAAATTACCCAGTCTCGGGTATTCCTTTATAGCAATGCAAGAACAGCCTAACACAAGATCATTCTAACTCCTTCTCCTTCTCCTCCTCCTCCTCCTCCTCCTCCTCCTTCTTCTCCTTCTTCTTTTTTTTTTTTTTTTTTTTTTGAGATGGAGTCTGGCTCTGTTGCCCAGGCTAGAGGGCAGTGGCACCATCTCTGCTCACTGCTACCTCCACCCACTGGATTCAAGCAATTCTCCTGCCTCAGCCTGCCTGGTAGTTGGGATTACAGGCGTGCGCTACCACGCATGGCTAATTTTTGTATTTTTAGCAGAGACTGGGTTTCAACATGTTGGTCAGGCTGGTCTCCAACTCCTGACCTCAAGTGATCCGCCCACTCGGCCTCCCAAAGTGCTGGGATTACAGGCGTGAGCCACCACACCTGGCCCATCCTAACTTCTTGATGAAGGCGTTTAGGGCTATAACATTTTCTCTTAACATAGCTTTAGCCGCATGCCAGAGATTTTGGTAAGTTATGTCCCTATTTTCATTAATTTCAAAGAATTTTTTGCCTTAATTTTGATGTTCACTCAGGAGCCATTCAGGAGCAAGTTGTTTAATTTTCATGCATTTGTGTAGTTTTTAGAGATCTGCTTTATATTGATTTCTATTTTTATTGCACTGTGGTCTGAGAGTGTGCTTGGTACAATTTTATTTTTTTTAATTTATTGAGACTTGCTTTATGACTGAACATGTGGTTGATCTTAGAATACGTTCTGTGTGCAGATGAGAAGAATGTATATTCTGTGGTTATTGGGTGGAGTGTTCTGTAGATATCTATTAGTCCCAATTAGTCAAGGGTTGAGTTTAAGTCCAGTTTCTTTGTTAGTTTTCTGCATTGGTGATCTGTCTAACACTGTCAGGGGGGTGTTGAACCCACTATGATTGTGTGGTTGTCTAAGTCTTTTCATAGGCCAAGAAGAACTTGTTTTATGAATATGGGTGCTCAATGCTGGGTGCATATATATTTAGAATAGTTAAATCTTCTTCTTGTATTGCATCCTTTATTATTATGTAATACTGTGTTAGGCTGTTCTTGCATTGCCATAAAGAAACACTTGAGACTGGGTAATTTATAAAGAAAAGAGGTTTAGGCTTTCACTGGTGACATTAGCTGGCACTTGCTCTACTCTCTCTAATGGGGAAGCAGTGGAATACAAGAGACTGAACTGTATCTGCCTTTATTTCCGACGGACTCACATTGAACTTTCAATCACAAAATTATAGCAAAGAAAGGAACCCGAACTTTAGTAACACAGCTAGAACAAGCTGCAGCAGCAGTGGCAGCAGCAGGAGAAAAGCTTTAATTTAGTTGATTTTCTGTGGCTATTTGTTGTTTGCTAGTCTCATGGTGATGGAAGCTGCAAAATTTTTTGAAGGGACCAAGAAGCTGCTGAAGGTTTGGTTCTCCTGGTAGCAGCCTGATACAAACGAAGGATGTGGGGATCTTAGCAGTATTCCAAGATCTGAGTGGGACATATTTTTGAAGGATGTGTAATGTTCAATCATATGTGTGACAAAAACTGACAAGCAGGAAGCTTATGTACTCAGTGAGAGTAGCATATTTGTCTCCAAGAGACGTTTCATTTTGAAGACATGTGGTACCACCCTCTTGCTGAAAGCACTGGTTCCCCTGCCGAAGCTTGCTGGGGATTACAGTGGGTTTGACTCGATTCAAAGCCTCTTTTATTCTCATAAGAATTTCATTAAGCCTTTTCACCAAGGGTACCCTAACCAGAATTTCCAGGAAGACATAGAGTTTCTTAATGCAGTTTTCCCAAATGGAGCAGCATATTGTATGGGATATATGAATTCTGACTGTTAGTACTTATATACTCTGGAGTTCCCAGAGAGTTGGGTAACCAGTCAGCCAGATCAAACCCTGGAAATTCTGATGAAGTGAACTTGACCCAGCAGTTACGGACCAGTTCTACATGAAAGATGGTGTTACTGCAAAGAATGTCACTCATGAGAGTGGAATTTGTGACCTGATTCCAGGTTCTGTCACTGATGACACAATATTTAATCCTTTTGAGCATTTGATGAATGGAATGAAATCAGACAAAACTTATTATTCACATCGCTCCAGAACCAGAATCCTCTTATGTTAGCTTTGAAACAAACTTAAGTCAGACCTCCTATGATGACCTGATCAGAAAAGTTGTGGAACTCTTTAAGCGAGGAAAATTTGTGACGACCTTGTATGTTATTTAGAGTTCTAAATGTTGCACAGTGCTTTCTTTGCCCCAGAAGATTTAAGGTTTTAAGTGTCTTGATTGTCAGAGGGCTATGTTCAATGATTACAATTTTGTTTTTACCTGTTTTGCTAAAAATTTGCAACAGCAAAGTTAAAAAAAATGAAGAAAAAATACAAAAAGAGAACACACATAGAGGGTGGTGGATGCTTTCTAGTTGTTGATACTGGGGGCAGTGCTTTCCATAACCACCACCTTGTACTTACAGAAAGCCCTAGATGTAATGATAGTGTAATCATTTTGAACTGTATGCATTATATCAAGGAGTTAGATGTCTTGAATGAATGCTTTCTTCTGTGTTTAGGTATTCTCTGCCACTCTTGCTGTGAAATTCAAATGCATGTAGAAAAAAACTTTATTAAATGAAACTTTACAACACTCATGAAAGCAATTCAATTTGGTTTATGCACAGCATAATATTTCTCCAGGTATCATCCAAAATTCCCCACAGACAAGGCTTTCGTCCTCTTTAGGTATTAGCCTCAGCTAACCATCTGGGACTGTTCTATTAAATTGCTGTGAGAATTTTACATTCAGTTACCTCCACTTTCTAGAATGCATTTTTTTTTTTTTTTGAGACAGAGTCTCGCCCTGTCACCCAGGCTGGAGTGCAGTGGTGCGATCTTGGCTCACTGCAACCTCCACCTCCCATGTTCAAATGATTCTCATGCCTCAGCCTCCGAAGTAGCTGAGATTACAGGTGTGCACCACCATGCCCAGCTAATTTTTATATTTTAGTAGAGAGGAGGTTTTGCCATGTTGTCCAGGCTAGTCTCAAACTCCTGGGCTCAAGCAATCCACCTGCCTCGGCCTCTCAAAGTGCTGGGATTACAGTGTATTATCTTTTTGATGTATTGTTGGATTCAGTTTATTAGTATTCTGTGGAGGATTTAAAAATCTATGTTCATCGAGGATATTGGCCTGTAGTTTTTTGTTTTTACTGTGTCCTTGTCTGGTTTTTGGTTACACTGGCCTTGTAGAATGAGTTAGAAAGAGTGTCCTCTATTTCAATTTTTAGAATACTTTGAAAGAATTGGTATTAATTCTTCTTTAAAGATTTGGTGCAATTCAGTGGTGAAGTCATTCGCTTCTGAATTTTTCTTTGTTGAGAGGCTTATTACTGATTCAATCTCATAACTTGTTATTGGTCTGTTCAGGTTTTCTATTTCTTCTTGATTCACATCCTTGTAGGTTGTATGTACCCAAGAATAATCAATCAATTTTCTTCTAGGTTTTCCTATTTCTTAGCCTAGTAGTAGTAGTTCGTAGTAGTAGTTCATAGTAGTCTATGATGATCTTTTGTATTTCTGTGTTATGCGTTATTTATTTGGGTCTTCTCTCTTTTTTTCTTAGTCAGGCTAATGTTTTGTTGATTTTGTTTCTCTCTTTAAAAAAACCTTTTCATTTTGTTGATATTTTGTATTGTTTTTTAGTCTCAGTTTTGTTTATTTATAATCTGATCTTTATTGTTTCTTTCCTTTTACTAATTTTGAGTTTTTTTGTTTTGATTTTCTTGTTCCTTGAGATACATTGCTAAGTTGTTTTTAGTTTTTTGAGGTAGGTTATTATTGCTATAAATGTGCATCTTAAAACTGTTTTTGCTGTCCATTGGTTTTGGTATGTGTTTCTAATTTCATTTGTTTCAAGGAATTTTAAATTTTTATTCTTAATTTCTTCCTCCTCCCATTGGTTGTTCAAGAGCCTGTTGTTTAATTTCCATGTGTTTGTATATTTTCAAATGTTCCTCTTGTTATTGATTTCATTTTATTACATGTGGTCAGACAAGATACTTGGTATAATTTTGATTAAAAATTTTTTTCTCATACTTGTTTTTTGTCCTAACATATCTTCAAGCCTGGGGAATGTTCCATATGCTAACAAAACAATGTGAATTCTGCAGTTGTTGAAAGAAATGCTCTGTAAATGCTTGTTACGTCCATTTGATATATGGTCCAGTTTAAATCCTATTATTCTTTGTTGATTTTCAGTCTAGATAATCTGTCCAATGTTGAGAGTGGGGTGTATTATTATATTGGAATCTATCTCTTCCTTTAGATCTAGTAAGGTATGCTTTATATATCTGGGTGGTCCAGTGTTTGGTGCATATATGTTTAGTTGTTATATTCTCTTGCTAAATTGATAGGCTTATGATCTAATGTTCTTCTTTGTCTCTTTTTCATCTTTGACTTGATATTTACTTGTCTGATAAAAGTATAGCTACTACTGCTTGCTTTTCATTTTCATTTATGTGAAATATCTTTTTTATTAAAATGTTTACATTTTAGTTATTTTTGGTATAATAGACATAAATATTCATGGGGTACATGTGACGTTCTGAAATAGGCATATAATGTATAATAATCATACCAGGGTAGTTGGAATATCCATCACCCGAAGCACTGATCATTTATTTGTGTTAGGAACATTCCAATCTCACTCTTTTTATTATTTTAAAATACAGAGTAAATTATTTTTGACTATAATCACCCTGTTGAGCTATCAAATGTTAGATGTTATTCATTCTATCTATTTTTGTGCACCCATTAACCATCCTCATTTCCCCTCCACTACCCTTCCCAGCCTCTGATAATCATTATTCTACTCTCTGTGTCTACGAGTTCAATTGTTTTAATTTTTAGCTACATGTGAGTGAGAACTTGTGAAATTAGTCTTTCTGTGCCTGGCTTATTTCACTTAACATAATGTCTTCCAGTTCCATACATGTTGTTGCAAATGACAGGATTTTATTCTTTTTCACAGCTGAATAATATTCTATTTTGCATATATGTACTACACTTTCTTTGTCCATTTTATTCATATATGTACACTTAGGTTGATTCCAAATCTTACCTATTGCGAATAGGGCTGCAATGAATATGGGAGTGTAGATATCTCTTCAATATCCTGATTACCTCTTTTTAGATATATACTTAGCAGTGGAAATGCTGTATCATATGGTAGTTCTATTTTAAGTTTTTCTGAGAAACCTCCATATTGTTCTCAATAGTGGCTGTCCTAATTTACATCCCTGCCAACAGTGTATGTGGGTTTCACTTTCTTCACATCCTTGCCAACATTTGTTACTGCCTGTCTTTTGGAAAAAAGACATTTTAACTGGGTGAGATGATATCTCATTGTGGTTTTGATTAGGATTTCTCTGATTATTGACGAAATTGAGCATTTTTTTCATATACTTCTTAGCCATTTGTATACCTTCTTTTGAGACTTGTCTATTCAGATCGTTTGCCCATTTTGAAGCTGGATTATTAGATTTTTTGCTATTGAGTTGTTTGAGCTCTTTATGTAGTCTAGTTATTACTCCTTTGTCAGATAGGTTACTTGCAAATACTTTCTCCCATTCTGTGGGTTTCTCTTCACTTTGTTGACTGTTTCCTTGGCTGTGAAGAAGCATTTTCGCTTGATGTAATCCCACTTGTCTATTTTTGCTTTGGTTGCCTGTGCTTCTAAGGTATTACTCAAGAAATCTTTGCCCAGATCTATGTCCTGGTAGGTTTCCTCAATGTTTTCTTTTACTAGTTTCATAATTGCAGGGCTTAGATTTAAGTCTTTAGTCCATTTTGATTTGATTTTTATACGTGGCAAAAGATAAGGGTCTAGTTTCTTTCTTCTACATAGAGATATCTAGTTTTCCCAGCACCATTTGTTCAAGAGACTGTCTTTCCCCCAATATATGTTCTTGACACTTTTGTTAAAACGGAGTTTACTGTAAATGTGTGGATTAAGTTGCTGGGTTCTGCATTCTGTTCCATTGGACTATGTATCTGCTTTTATGCCAGCACCATGTTGTTTTGGTAACTAAATCTCTGTAGTATAATTTGAAGTCTGGTAATGTGATTTCTCCAGTTTTGCTCTTTTTCCTTAGGATGATTTTGGCTAGTCTAGGTCTTTTGTGGCTCCATATAAATTTTAGAATTTTTTTTCTATTTCTGTGAAGAATGTCGTTGGTATTTTCATAGGGATTGCCTTGAATTTGTAGATTGCTTTGGGTAGTATGGACATTTTAACAATATTGATTTTTCTAATCTATGAGCATGGGATATATTACAATTTTTGTTCTCTTCAATTTCTTTTATCAATGTTTTATAGTTTTAATTGTAGATTTCCTTCACTTCTTTGGTTAAGTATATCCCTAGGTATTTTATCTTATTTTATTTATAGCTATTATAGATGGGATTATTTTCTTGATTTCTTTTGTATATCATTTACAGTTAATATATGGAAATGCTACTGACTTTTTTTTTTTTTTTTTTGACGGAGTTTCTCTCTGTCGCTCAGGCTGGAGTGCAGTGGCGCGATCTCGGCTCACTGAAAGCTCCGCCTCCCGGGTTCACGCCATTCTCCTGCCTCAGCCTTCGGAGTAGCTGGGACTACAGGCGCCCGCCACCAAGCCCGGCTAATTTTTTTGTATTTTTTTAGTAGAGACGGGGTTTCACCGTGTTAGCCAGGATGGTCTCGATCTCCTGAGAGTTTTTATCATGAAGGGATGTTGAATTTTATCAAATACTTTTTCAGCATCAGTTGAAAAGATCATATGGTTTTTGTTCTTCATTCTGTTGATATAATGTATCACACTGATTGATTTGCATATGTGGAACCATTCTTTACCCCTGGGTTGATCCCACTTTGTTATAGTGAATAATCTTTTTAATGTGTTGTTGAATTTGTTTTACTAGGATTTTGTTGAGGACATGTGCATCTGTGTTCATCAGAGATATACTGGCCTGTAGTTTTCTTTATTGGTTGTGTCTTTAGTTTTGGTATCAGGGTAATACCGGCCTCATAGCATGAGTTTGAAAGTAATCTCTCCTCCTCAATTTTTTGGAATAGTTTGATTATGTTTGGTGTTAGTTCTTCTTTAAATGTTTGGTAGAATCCAACAGTTAAGCCATTGGATCCTGAGCTTTTCTTTGATGAGAGATGTTTTATTATGGCTTTGATGTCATTACTTGTTATTGGTCTATTCAGGTTCTGGATTTCTTCATGGTTCCATCTTGCTAGGTTGTATGTGTGTAGGAATTTATCAATTTCTTCTAGGTTTTTCAATTTATTGGCATATAATTGCTCAAAATAGTCTCTAATGATCCTTTGAATTACTACAGTATAAGTTATAATGTCTCCTTTTTAATTTCTTATTTTATTTATTTGAATCTTATCTCTTTTCCTTAATCTGGCTAAAGTTTTGTCAATTTTGTTTATTTTTGTAAAAAAGCCAGCTTTTTGTTTTGTTGATCTTTTGTATTGCTTTTTGGTTTCAATTTCATTTATTTTTGCTCTGATTATTATGATTTCCTTTCTTCTACATATTTTGCATATGATTTGCTCTTGCTTTTATAATTCTTTAAGATGCATTTTAAAATTGGCTATTTGTCGTTTTTCTACTTATTTGATGTAGGACTTATTGCTATAAACTTTCCTTTTAGTACTGCTTTCTCTGTGTCCCATAGATTTTGGTTTGTTATGTTTGCATTTTCATTTGCTTCAATACATTTTAAAATTTCATTACTAACTTCTTCACTGACCCACTGGTAATTTAAGAGCATATTGTTTTATTTCCATGTGTTTGCATGGTTCCTAAAGTTCTTGTTATTGATGTCTAGTTTTATTTTATTGTGGTCAGATACTTGATACTATCTTAGTTTTACTGAGGTTTTTAAGACTTGTTTTGTGGCTTAACATAGGTCTGTCCTTGAGAATGATCCATGTTCTCAGAAGAAAATGTATTCTGCAGCTCTTGGATAAAACGTTGTGTAAAGATTTATGAGATCCTTTTGATTTATTATGCAGATTAAGTTCAATATTTCTTTGCTGATTTTCTATCTGGATGATCTGCCCAATGCTGAAAGCTGTGTGTTAAGGTCTCCAGCTATTATTGTATTGGAGGAGTCTATCTCTCTCTTAAAACTCTAATAAAATTTGCTTTCTGTGTCTGAGTGCTCCAGTGTTGGGTGCATATATATATTTACAGTTATTATATTCTCTTGCTGAAGTGACCTGTTTATCATTATATAATGACCTTTTTAGTCTGTTTTTATAGTTTTTGTCTTGAAATCTATTTTATCTGATAAAAAGTATAGGTATTTGTGCTCCTTTTTTGGTTTTTATTTTCATAGAATATCTTTTTCCAGCCCTTTATTTTCAGTCTGTGTGTATCTATACAGGTAAAATGAGTTTCTTGTAGGTACCATATAGTTGGGTCTTTTAAAAAATTCATTCAAGATTTTAGTTCATTTACATTCAATGTTATTGATAGGCAAAGACTTACTATTGCTATTTTGTTTTTTGTTTTCTGGCTGTTTAGTGTTCCTCTCTCCCTCTCCCCCTCCCTCCATCCCCTCCCTCCCTCCCTCTCTTTTCCTCTTCCTCTTCCCCTTCCCCTCGTTCTCCTTCCCCTTCTCCTTCTCCTTCCCCTTCCCCTTCTCCTTCTCCTTCCCCTTCCCCTTCTCCTTCTCCTTCTTCTGCTTCTCCTCCTCCTTTCTTCCTTCCTTCCTTCTTTGTGTAAAAGAGATTTTCTCTGGTAGTAGGTTTTAATTTCTTGCTTTTTATTTATTGTGTATCTGTAGATTTTTTGGTTTGAGGTACCATGAGTCTTGAAATAACATCTTATAACCAATCATTTTAAACTGATGACAACTAAACTGTGATTACAGAAAAGCACAACAAATAAACAAAGAAGGAAAGTGAACACTAATAAAAACTATACACTTTAACACCATCCCCTCCCAGATTTTTAATTTTTGTTGTTTATAGTTATGACTTTTAATACTATCTCTTAAAACATTGTTGTAGTTATTATTTTTATAGGTTTGTCTTTTAGTCTTCCTACTCAAGATGTGAGTGGTTTACACACCATTACAGTGTTAGATTATTCTATATTTGTCTGCGTACTTACTACTACCGGTGAGTTTTGTATGTTCATATGACTTCTTATTGCTTATTAGGATCCTTTTCTTTAAGATTGAAGAACTCTCTTTAGCATTTTTTTTTGTAGCTCATGTGTGTACTTGATGAATTCCCTTAGTTTTTTTTTGGTCCAAGAAAGTCTTCATTTCTCCTTTATGTTTGAAGGATATTTTTGCTGGATATAATATTCTAGGATAAAAGTTTTTTTCCTTCAGCACTTTGAATATGTCATAGCAGTCTCTTGTAGCCTGCAAGGTTTCCACTGAGACATCTGCTGCCAGACATATTGCTACTTCTTTATGCTATATTTGTTTCTTTTCTATTGTTGCTTTTAGGATTATGTTTTCATCTTTGACCTTTGGGAGCTTAATTACTAAATGCCTAGAGGTTGTCTCATTTAGTTTAACCCTGCCTGGTTTTATGTGACCTTCTTGTACATGAACACTGATATCTTTCTCTAGGTTTGGAATGCTCTTTGTTATTATTTCTTTGAATTAACTTTTTACCCCAGTTTCTCTCTCTACCTCCTCTCTAAGACAAGTATATCTTAAATTTGCCCTTTTGAGGCTATTTTCTACATCTTGTAGCCATGCTTCACTTTTTTTATTGTTTTTTTTTCTTCTCTGTGTTTTCTTATAGCCTCTGTTTGACCTTACTAATTCTTTCTTCTGCTTGATCAATTCTGCTGTGGAGAGACTCTGGTGCATTTTTCAGTGTGTCAATTGAATATTTCTGCTCTAGAACTTTTGCTTGATTTTCAAAAATTATTTCAATCTCTTTGTTAAATTTCTTTGATAGGATTCTGAATTCCTTCTCTGTGTTATCTTGAAATTTGTTGAATTTCCTCAAAACAGTTATTTTGAGCCGGATGCAGTGACTCATGCTTATAATCCCAGTACTATGGGAGGCCAAGATGGGAAGGTTGCCTGAGAACTGGAGTTTGAGGCCAGTCTGGGCAACATAGCAAGACCCTATGTCTACAAAATTTTTAAAAAATGTTAGCCAGGCATGGTGGTGTGTACCTCTAGTCTCAGCTACTCGGGAGGGTGAGGTGGGAGGATCATTTGAGCCCAGGAGTTCGAGACTACAGTGAACTATTATCACACCACTGTACTCCAGCCTAGGCGGCAGAGCAATACACCCCCCCTCCCCTGCCAAAAAAAGCAGCTATTTTGAATCCTTTGCTGAAATGTCACATAGCTCTGTTATTCTGGGATTTGTCACTGGTGCCTTATTTAGTTTGTTTGGTGAGGTCATGTTTTCCTACATGTTCTTGATGCTTGTGAATATTCATCAATTAGGTATTTATTCTAGTCTTCACAGTCTGGGCTTGTATGTACTTGTCCTTCTTGACAAGGCTTTCCAGGAATTCAAAGGGTTGTGATCTAAGTCTTTGGTCATTGCAACCATATCTGCACTAGGGGGCTCCCTAACCCCAGCAATGCTGCAACTTTTGCAGGCTCTTACTGCCTTGGTGCACTTGGACGAGATCCAGGAGAATTCTCCAGGCAGTCTCTAGTTCTCTTCCTTCACTTTCCCCCAACAGAAGGAGTCTCTCTCTCTCTCTCCATGCTGGTATGCCTGGAGTTGGGGAAAGGGTGATGCAAGCAATACTCTGGCCACCACAGCTGAGACCGCACTGGATCACACCTGAAGTCAACATAGTACTGGGTCTCGCCCAAGGACCATGATGATACTGCCTGTCTAACACTGATGTTTATTCAAGGCCCAAGGGCTCATTATTCCACAGGTGGTGAATCCTGCCAGGACTGGGTCTTTCTCTTCAGTGCAGTAGGTTCCCTTCTGGCCCAGGGTGGGTCTAGAAATGCTATCCAGGAACTAGGGCCTGGAATCAGGGGCTTCAGGAATCTGTTTTGTGCTTTATTTAACTGTGGCTTTCCTGGTACCCATGTTGCAAGACAAAGTCCTCTGTGCTCTTCCCTCTCCTTATGGAAGCAGGAGTCACTCCCTGAGTTGCACTGCCTGGAGTTGGGGGAGGGTTGACACAAGCACTCCCTTGGCTGCCACAGCTAATGTCTCACTGGTTCATATGCACTCCCATTCCACTGGCTCTGAGCACAGTGCAGCACCTGAAATTGCTCAAGGGCTGCAGTTCTTGTAGCCTGACTGCCTTTTAAACCTATTGAGAAGCAAAGGGTACTTTAATTGGCCAGCAGTGGAGCTAGCCAAAACTTGGGTTTTTATCACTGGGGCAGAGAATTCCCTTTTGGCTGGGGCTAGTTTAAATGCTCCCTCCATGGGCACTGGAAGGATTCTGCTCTGTGTTGTGTTCTGCTGTAACAGGGCAGCATTGGAACTCAGTGTGGGAACTCAGTGCCACAATCACTTCTTTCTTGCTTCCCCAAGCACACAAATTCTCTCTTCGTGTGCTGCTGGGGGATGGAGAAGGGGTGGTGTAGGCAATGTAAGACTGTATTTTATATCTTTTGCAGTGCCTCTTTTCTTGATATTATTTTAAAACCAGGTACTATAATTGCTCACCTGATTTTTGGTTCTTATGAAGATGCTTTCTTGCATGGATAGTCATTTAATTTGGTTTTCCGGTAGGAGGATGATTGCTGGAGGGTTATATTTGGCTATCTTGTTCTGCCTTCTCAAGCTGTTTAAAATATATTTTTTCAACTCTTCCCATTTAGTCTGTGTCTTCCTGGTGGTGAGAGTTTCTTTTAGGTAGCATCCAGGTGGGTCTTTAAAAAATTCCTTCAGCCAGTCTATATCTTTTAAGTGGGGAATTTAATCCATTTACATCCAAGGTTATTATTGGTAGATGAGGACTTATGTTATTTTATTGATTTTTTTTCTGGTTGTTTTGTATATCCTTTGTTCTTTACTTCTCTTATTGTTTATTTTTGTGGTTGGGTGGTTTTCTGTAGTTATAAAGTTTGATTGTTTTCTCTGTGTGTCATCTCTACTAGTGAGTTTTGCAGTTTTGCATGTTTTCATAATGGTGGTTATGGTCTTTTGATTTCTAGAAGTCAGATTCCCTTGAGCATTTCTTTTAATACTGGTCTAGTGTTGATGTGTTCCTTTAATTTTTGTTTATCAAAGATTTTATTTCTTCTTCATTTCTGAAGGATAGCTTTGCCGTGTATATTATTCTTTCCTGGCGGTTTCTTTTTCCAGTATTTTGAAAATATCATCCTATCCTCTTCTGGCCTGTAAGATTTTTTGCTGAGAAAGCCACTATTAGTCTAATGAGGGTTCCTTTATATGTGACTTGATGTTCTTCTCTTGCTGTTTTTAGAATTATTGTTTTGTCTTTAACTTTCAACAATTTGAACATTATGTGGCTTGCAGAGAATCTGTTTAGGTTTAATCTGTTTGGCAACCTTTGAGTTTCCTGGTTCAGGATGGCCATCTCCCAAGGCTTGTGAAGTTTTCAGCTATTATTTCATGAAACATATTTATACACCTTTTCCCCCCCCTTCTTTTTATGGAATGTCAATAATTTGAATATTTGTTTGCTTAATACTGTCCCATACATTCTGTATGCTTTCTTTATTCTCTTTTTTTTTTGTCTACCTCTGTTATTTGAAAACACCTGTCTTTAAGTTCAGAAGTTCCTCTGAACTCCTTTCTTCTGCTTGGTCTTATCTGTTGTTGAAGCCCTCAATTGTCTTTTTTTTAAATTTTATTCATTGAATTCTTCACCTCTGGGATTTCTGTTTTGTTCATTTTTATGATATCTATCGCTGTGTTGAATTTGTCATTCAAGACATGAATTATTTTCCTGATTTTTTGTATTGTCTACCTGTATTCTCTTATATCTCATTGAGGTTTCTTAAGATTATTATTTTGAATTTTTTTCTGACATTTTATATATTTCCTTATGATTGGGGTCTGTTACTGGAGAATTATTATGTTCCCTTGGAGGTGTCATGTTTCTATGCTTTTTCATGTTTGATGTGTCCCTATGTCAATTTGTACACATCTGGTGGAAAAGTCACCTCTTCCAATTTTATGGAGTAGGTTTTGTAGGGAAAGATATATTCATATAGATGAGTCTTGAGGTCTTGAATAAGATATAATCTTATTCATATAGATCAGGTCAGTGGGGTGTGTTGGGTTGGTTCTGGGTGGATGCAGTAATATAGTCTCCATGTAGTTTCTTTAGCTGTAATCCACACCGGTGATGTTTGCAAGGGTCTCATTGGTCTAGGCTAAGAGAGTTTGTACTGGCAGTACTGGTGTGGCTTTGCTTTTTTAGAAACAGCTCATCAGGCTGTTTCTCAGGTCAGTGGTGAGGTGTGCACATGGCGGGTCAGCCAACTTAGAGTCTGACTCCCTGGGGATGGAGCTACAGGGTTGTTTCTCCAGCTGGGGGCATGAACCCATGGTTGCTTACCAGCCTCAGACTGGGCATAGCCTATGGGACTGTTTCTCAGGCCCAAAAGATGGCCATACAGTTTACTTCATTTTTGGTCATGTTAAGCTTTTAAATACCAATGAAAAATATAGTTGGAGATATCCAGAAGGCATGTGAGGATAATACGTTTGAACTTCAAGGTAAGATCTGGGTAGCAGTCATTAAAAGAAAATTCACATGGTAGTTGAAGTTATATGATTACATAAAATAATCTAAAAACAACATACAGTGTGGGGGGCTTCAGAGTGTGTGTGTGTGCATGTGTGTGTGTACACACAGTCTTGCTTCTTTGTTTTTAATTGGTTTTGAATGTCTTCGGTTAGGACACACACTATAATTCAAACACAGTCTTTACCATTCCCTATTTTCTTATACCTGGAAAACTTACAGTTATTTTACCTGTTTGACCTCTGGAAATAACTTGTGTTTTCAATTTCTGGTGTAGCAAGAAAAGCAGTGGACTTTTTATCACTTAACATTAAAAATGGATTTTAACCTAAAATATTTTTAATATTATTTTAAATCACCAGAAAAATTGATTTTTAAATATCTTGATGTACAGTTTTATGAATTTTAACACATGTATGGAGACATGTTATCACTACTACATCAGGACATATAATAATTTTAACATAAAACTTCCTCATTCTACCATTCTACCACTTTATAGTCATCCCTCCTCCTACCCATAAATGCTGGCAACCTGTTCTATTTCTATATCTTTTTTTTTTTTTTTTTTTTTGAGACAGAGGAGTCTCACTCTTTCGCCCAGGCTGGAGTGCAGTGGCACGATCTCAGCTCACTGCAAGCTCCACCTCCCGGGTTCACGCCATTCTCCTGCCTCAGCCTCCCGAGTAGCTGGGACTACAGGCGCCCGCCACAATGCCTGGCTAATTTTTTTTGTATTTTTATTAGAGATGGGGTTTCACCATGTTAGCCGGGATGGTCTCAATCTTCTGACCTCGTGATCCACCCGCCTCGGCCTCCCAAAGTGTGTTCTATATCTTTATAGTCTTGCTTTTTCAGAACGTTATATAAATGATATAATGCAGTATGCAGTCTTTTGAGACTGGCTTTTTTATGCAACATAATGTCTTTAAGAGTCATCCAAACTGTTGTGTGTATCAATAGTTTGGGCTTTGTATTCTGAGTAGTATTTCATTGTGTGGTTGTGCCACAGTTTATTCATGTATTCACTTATTGAAGGACATTTGGATTCTTTCTAGTTTGGGGCAATTATGAATAGTGCAGGTATAAGCATTGGTGTTCAGACATAAGTTTTCATTTCTCTAGGACAGAAACTCAGGAATGGAATTGCTGAGTCACATGGTAAGTCTATGTTTAACTTTGTAGGAAACTACCAAACCATTTTGCAGAGTGGATGCACCATTTTTTATTCCCCTAGTAATGTATGACAGACCCAGTTGCCCAGCACTTGATATTGTCAATTTTTTTTAAAAAAATTAAAACATCATATTGTACCCCATAAATGTATAATGTATACTATTATTATTGTTTGTTAATTAAAAATTTTAAGATGTTTCTTTCTTGCTATAAGAGAAAAAGATGCTTTTTTAATAGAAGGAAATATCCCAGAAACAGATAAAATGTAAAGTAAAATCATTCATTCTCTTCCCAACCACGAGGAAATTGCTAATGGTTTCAAGTCTATCCTTCCAGAGTATTAACTCATTCATGAGCATATATAGATGTATACGACTCTCCTTTTGTTACTTTAAAAATTCAAGTGGTATAAGAGAATACGGTTCTGCATATAAATGTGCATTGTACATTTTTATTTCTATGGTCTATTTTGAGTTAATTTTTGTATAAGGTATGAGGTTAAGCTTGAGGGCTTTTTGTTTTGTTTTCTCATTTGCATATCGATGTACCATTGTTGCAACATCATTTGTTGTTCCTCCACTAAATTGCTTTTGCATCTTTGCCAAAAATCAATTGACCCCTAATTGTGTGGGCATACTTATGGTCTCATTTTGCTCCATTGATCTATTTGTCTATCCCTTTGCCAGAACCACACTGTTTTGATTACTGTAGCTTTATAGTAATTTTTTTTTTGAGACAGAGTCTCACTCTGTCTCCCAGGCTGGAGTGCAGTGGTGTAATCTCCGCTCACTGAAACCTCTGCCTCCTGGGTTCAAGCAATTCTCCTGCCTCAGCTTCCCGAGTAGCTGGGACTACAGGCACCCACCACCACGCCCAGCTAATTTTTGTATTTTTAGTAGAGACAGGGTTTCACCATGTTGGCCAGGATGGTCTCGATGTCCTGACTTTGTGATGCGCCCACCTCGGTCTCCCAAAGTGCTGGGATTACAGGTGTGAGCCACCACGCCTGGCCAGTAATTCTTTATTTTTATTTTTATTTATTTTTTTACTTATTATTTTATTATTATACTTTAAGTTCTAGAGTACATGTGCAAAACATGCAGGTTTATTACATATGTATACATGTGCCATGTTGGTTTGCTGCACCTATTAACTCATCATTTACATTAGGTATTTCTCCTAATGCTATCCCTCCCCCATGCTCCCACCCAACGACAGGCCCCGGTGTGTGATGTTCCCCGCCCTGTGTCCAAGTGTTCTGATTGTTCAATTCCCACCTATGAGTGAGAACATGTGGTGTTTGGTTTTCTGTCTTTGCGATAGTTTGCTGAGAATGATGGTTTCCAGCTTCATCCATGTCGCTACAAAGGACATGAACTCATCCTTTTTTATGGCTGCATAGTATTCCGTGGTGTATATGTGCCACATTTTCTTAATCGAGGCTCTCATTGACAGACATTTGGGTTGGTTCCAAGTCTTTGCTATTGCGAATAGTGCCACAATAAACATACGTGTACATGTGTCTTTATAGTAGCATGATTTACAACCTTTTGGGTATATACCCAGTAATGGGATCGCAGGGTCAAATGGTATTTCTAGTCCTAAATCCTTCAGGAATTGCCACACTGTCTTCCACAATGGTTGAACTAGTTTAGGCTCCCACCAACAGTATAAAAGCATTCCTATTTCTCCACATCCTCTCCAGCACCTGTTGTTTCCTGACTTTTTAATGATCGCCATTCTAAATGGTGTGAGATGGTATCTCATTTTGGCTTTGATACACATTTCTCTGATGACCAGTGATGATGAGCATTTTTTCATGTGTCTGTTGGCTGCATAAATGTCTTCTTTTGTGAAGTGTCTGTTCATATCCTTCACCCTCTTTTTGATGGGGTTGTTTGAATTTTTCTTGTAAATTTGTTTAAGTTCCTTGAAGATTCTGGATATTAGCCCTTTGTCAGAGGGGTAGATTGTAAAAATTTTCTCCCATTCTGTAGGTTGCCTGTTCACTCTGATGGTAGTTTCTTTTGCTATGCAGAAGCTCTTTAGTTTAATTAGATCCCATTTGTCAATTTTGGCTTTTGTTGCCATTGCTTTTGGTGTTTTAGTCATGAAGTCCTTGCCCATGCCTATGTCCTGAATGGTATTGCCTAGGTTTTCTTCTAGGGTTGTTATGGTTTTAGGTCTAACATTTAAGTCTTTAATCCATCTTGAATTAATTTTAGTATAAGGTGTAAGGAAGGGATCCAGTTTCAGCTTTCTCCATATGGCTAGCCAGTTTTCCCAGCACCATTTATTAAACAGGGAATCCTTTCCCCATTTCTTGTTTTTGTCAGGTTTGTCAAAGATCAGATGGTTGTAGATGTGTGGTGTTATTTCTGAGGGCTCTGTTCTGTTCCATTGGTCTATATCTCTGTTTTGGTACCAGTACCATGCTGTTTTGGTTACTGTGGCCTTGTAGTACAGTTTGAAGTCAGGTAGCATGATGCCTCCAGCTTTGTTCTTTTGGCTTAGGATTGTGTTGACAATGTGCGCTCTTTTTTGGTTCCATATGAACTTTAAAGTATTTTTTTCCAATTCTGTGAAGAAAGTCATTGGTAGCTTGATGGGGATGGCATTGAATCTCTAAACTACCTTGGGCAGTATGGCCATTTTCACGATATTGATTCTTCCTATCCATGAGCATGGAATGTTCTTCCATTTGTTTGCGTCCTCTTTTATTTCATTGAGCAGTGGTTTATAGTTCTCCTTGAAGAGGTCCTTAACATCCTTTGTAAGTTGGAGTCCTAGGATTCCCAAATTCCTAGTTGGATTTTATTCTCTTTGAAGCAATTGTGAATGGGAGTTCCCTCATGATTTGGCTCTCTGTCTGTTATTGGTGTATAAGAATGCTTGTGATTTTTGCACATTGATTTTGTATCCTGTGACTTTGCTGAAGTTGCTTATGAGCTTAAGGAGATTTTGGGCTGAGACGATGGGGTTTTCTAAATATACAATCATGTCATCTGCAAATAGGGACCATTTGACTTCCTCTTTTTCTAATTGAATACCCTTTATTTCTTTCTCTTGCCTGATTGCCCTGGCCAGCACTTCCAACACTATGTTGAATAGGAGTGGTGAGAGAGGGCATCCCTGTCTTGTGCCAGTTTTCAAAGGGAATACTTCCAGTTTTTGCCCATTCAGTATGATACTGGCTGTGGGTTTGTCATAAATAGCTCTTATTATTTTGAGATACGTTCCATCAATACCTAGTTTATTGAGAGTGTTTAGAATGAAGGGCTGTTGAATTTTGTCAAAGGCCTTTTCTGCATCTATTGAGATTATGATGTGGTTTTTGTCATTGGTTCTGTTTATGTGATGGATTATGTTTATTGATTTGCATATGTTGAACCAGCCTTGCATCCCAGGGATAAAGCCAACTTGATATTGGTGGATAAGCTTTTTGATGTGCTGCTGGATTCAGTTTGCCAGTATTTTATTGAGGATTTTCTCATCAGCGTTCATCAGGGATGTTGGTCTGAAATTCTCTTTTTTTGTTGTGTCTCTGCCAGGCTTTGGTATCAGGATGATGCTGGCCTCATAAAATGAGTTAGGGAGGATTCCCTCTTTTTCTATTGATTGGAATAGTTTCAGAAGGAATGGTACCAGCTCCTCTTTGTACCTCTGGTAGAATTCAGCTGTGAATCCGTCTGGTCCTGGACTTTTTTTGGTTGGTAGGCTATTATTGCCTCAATTTCAGAGCCTGTTATTGGTCTATTCAGGGATTCAACTTCTTCCTGGTTTAGTCTTGGGAGCGTGTATGTGTCGAGGAATTTATCCATTTCTTCTAGATTTTCTAGTTTATTTGTGTAGAGGTGTTTGTAGTATTCTCTGATGTTTGTTTGTATTTCTGTGGGATGGGTGGTGATATCCCCTTTATCATTTTTTATTGCATGTATTTGATTCTTCTCTCTTTTCTTCTTTATTAGTCTTGCTAGCAGTCTATCAATTTTGTTGATCTTTTAAAAAAACCAGCTCCTGGATTCACTGATTTTTTGAAGGGTTTTTTTTGTGTCTCTATCTCCTTCAGTTCTGCTCTGATCTTAGTTATTTCTTGCTTTCTGCTAGCTTTTGAGTTTCTTTGCTCTTGCTTCTCTAGTTTTTTTTAATTGTGATGTTAGGTGTCGATTTTAGATCTTTCCTGCTTTCTCTTGTAGGTATTTAGTGCTATAAATTTCCCTCTACACACTGTTTAAATGTGTCCCAGAGATTCTGGTATGTTGTGTCTTTGTTCTCATTGGTTTCAAAGAACATCTTTATTTCTGCCTTCATTTCATTATGTACACAGTAGTCATTCAGGATCAGGTTGTTCAGTTTCCATGTAGTTGTGCAGTTTTGAGTGAGTTTCTTAATCCTGAGTTCTAATTTGATTCCACTGTGGTCTGAAAGACAGTTTGTTGTGATTTCTGTTCTTTTACATTTGCTGAGGAGAGCTTTACTTCCAACTATGTGGTCAATTTTGGAATAAGTGTGATGTGGTGCTGAGAAGAATGTATATTCTGTTGATTTGGGGTGGAGAGTTCTGTAGATGTCTATTAGGTCCACTTGGTGCAGAGCTGAGTTCAAGTCCTGGATATCCTTTTTAACCTTCTGTCTTGTTGATCTGTCTAATGTTGACAGTGGGATGTTAAAGTCTCCCATTATTATTGTGTGGGAGTCTAAGTATCTTTGTAGGTCTCTAAGGACTTGCTTTATGAGTCCGGGTGCTCCTGTATTGGGTGCATATATGTTTAGAATAGTTAGCTCTTCTTGTTGAATTGATCCCTTTACCATTATGTAATGGCCTTCTTTGTCTCTTTTGATCTTTGTTGGTTTAAAGTCTGTTTTATCAGAGACTAGGATTGCAGGCCTTGCTTTTTTTTTTTTTTTTTTTTTTTGGTTTCCATTTGCTTGGTAGATCTTCTTCCATCCCTTTATTTTGAGCCTATGTTTGTCTCTGCACATGAGATGGGTCTCCTGAATACAGCACACTGATGGGTCTTGACTCTTTATCCAGTTTGCCAGTCTGTGTTGTTTAATTGGAGCATTTAGCCCATTTACATTTAAGGTTAATATTGTTATGTGTGAATTTGATCCTGTCATTATGATGTTAGCTGGTTATTTTGCCCATTAGTTGATGCAGTTTCTTCCTAGCATCGATGATCTTTAGAATTTGGCATGCTTTTGCAGTGGCTGGTACTGATTGTTCCTTTCCATGTTTAGTGTTTCCTTCAGGAGCTCCTGTAAGGCAGGCCTGGTGGTGACAAAATCTCTCAACATTTGCTTGTCTGTAAAGGATTTTATTTCTCCTTCACTTATGAAGCTTAGTTTGGCTGGACATGCAATTCTGGGTTGAAAATTCTTTAAAAATGTTGAATATTGGCCCCCCACTCTCTTCTGGCTTGTAGAGTTTCTGCCAAGAGATCTGCTGTTAGTCTGATGGGCTTCCCTTTGTGGATAACCCGACCTTTCTCTCTGGCTGCCCTTAACGTTTTTTCTTTCATGTCAACCTTGGTGAATCTGACAATTACATGTCTTGGAGTTGCTCTTCTTGAGGAGTATCTTTGTGGTGTTCTCTGTTATTTCCTGAATTTGAATGTTGGCCTGCATTGCTAGGTTGGGGAAGTTCTCCTGGATAATACCCTGAAGAGTGTTTTCCAGCTTGGTTCCATTCTCCCCGTCACTTTCAGGTATACCAATCAAACGTAGATTTGGTCTTTTCACGTAGTCCCATATTTCTTGGAGGCTTTGTTTGTTTCTTTTTACTCTTTTTTCTCTATACTTCTCTTCTCACTTTATTTCATTAATTTGATCTTCAATCACTGATACCCTTTCTTCCACTTGATTGAATCGGCTACTTAAGCTTGTGTATGCATCATGTAGTTCTTGTGTCATGGTTTTCACCTCCATCAGATCATTTAAGGTCTTCTCTACACTGTTTTTTCTAGTTAGCCATTCGTCTAATCTTTTTTCAACGTTTTTAGCTTCTTTGCGATGGGTTCGAACATCCTCCTTTAGCTCGGAGAAGTTTGTTATTACCGACTTTCTGAAGCCTAGTTCTGTCAGCTCATCAAAGTCATTCTTCGTCCAACTTTGTTCCATTGCTGGTGAGTAGCTGTGATCCTTTGGAGGAGATGGGGAATTCTCATTTTTAGAATTTTCCACTTTTCTGCTCTGGTTTCTCCCCATCTTTGTGGTTTTGTCTACCTTTGGTCTTTGATGATGGTGACCTACAGATGGGGTTTTGGTGTGGATGTCCTTTTTGTTGATGTTATTCCTTTCTGTTTGTTAGTTTTCCTTCTAACAGTCAAGTCCCTCAGCTGCAGGTCTGTTGGAGTTTGCTGGAGATCCACTCCAGACTCTGTTTGCCTGTGTATCACCAGTAGAGGCTGCAGAACAGCAAATATTGCAGAACAGCAAATATTGCTGCCTGATCCTTCCTCTGGAAGCTTCGTCTCAGAGGGGCACCCGGCTGTGTGAAGTGTCAGTTGGCCCCTACTGGGAGGTATCTCCAAGTTAGGCTACGTGGGGTTCAGGGACCCACTTGAGGAGGCAGTCTGTCCATTTTCAGAGCTCAAAACCATGCTAGGAGAACCACTGCTCTCTTCAGAGCTGTCAGACAGGGACGTTTAAGTCTGCAGAAGTTTCTGCTGCCTTTTGTTCAGATATGCCCTGCCCCAACAGGTGGAGTTTACAGAGGCACGCACGCCTCCTAGAGCTGAGGTGGGCTCCACCCAGTTCAAGCTTCCTGGCCGCTTTGTTTACCTACTCAAGCCTCAGCAACAGTGGACGTTCCTCCCCCAGCCAGGCTTGCCACCTTGCAGTTTGATCTCAGACTAGCGGTGAGCAAGGCTCCGTGGGAGTGGGACCCACTGAGCCAGGCGTGGGATATAATCTCCTGGTGTGCCATTTGCTAAGACTGTTGGAAAAGCTTGGTGTTTAGGTGACAGTGTCCCAATTTTCCCAGTACAGTCTGTCACGGCTTCCCTTGGCTAGGAGAGGTAAATCCCCCGACCCCTTGCGCTTCCTGGGTGAGGCAATGCCCCGCCCTGCTTTTGCTCACCCTCCATGGGCTGTCCCCACTGTCCTACTAGTCCCAATGAAATGAACCAGGTACCTCAGTTGGAAATGCAGAAATCACCCGTCTTCTGCATCAATCATGCTGGGAGCTGCAGACCAGAGCTGTTCCTATTTGGCCATCCTGGAACGGACCCCAGTAATTCTTAAAATCAGGTAGTATGCATTGAGATGCTTCACAGAACTAGAAAAAACTATTTTAAAATTCACATGAAACCAAAAATAGCCCGATTAGTCAAGGCAATCCTAAGCAAAAGGAACAAAGCTGGAGACATCATGCTATCCATCTTCAAATTATACCACAGGGATAGAGTAACCAACACAGCATGGTACTGGTACAAAAACAGACACATAGACCAACAGAACCGAAGACAGAACTCAGAAATAAGACAAGATACCTACAATTATCTGATCTTTGACAAAGCTGACAAAAACAAGCAATGGAGAAAGGATGCCCTATTCAATAAATGGCGCTGGAATAACTGTCTAGCTATATGAAGAAGATTAAAACTGCACCCCTTCCTTATGCTATATACACAAATTGACTCGAGATGGATTAAAGACTTAAATGTAAAACCCCAGACTATAAAAACCCTGGAAGACAACCTAGGCAATACCATTCAGGGCATAGGCATGGGCAAAGATTTTATGACGAAAACACCAAAAGCAATTGCAACAACAACAAAAATTGACAAATGGGATATAATTAAACTAAAGAGCTTCTGCACAGCAAAAGAAACTATCAACAGAGTAAACAGACAACCTACAGAAAGGGAGAACATTTTTGCAAACTATGCATCTGACAAAGGTCTAATATCCAGCATCTATAAGGAACTTAAGCAAATTTACAAGAAAAAAACAACTTCATAAAAAGTGGGCAAAGGACACTAACACTTTTCAAAAGAAGACATGCATGTGGCCAGCAATCACATTAAAAAAAAGCTCAATATCACTGATCATTAGAGAAATGCAAATTAAAACTACAATGAGATACCATCTAATACCAGTCAGAATGGCCATTATTAAAAGACATAAAATAACAGAGGCTGGCAAGGTTATAGAGAAAAAAGAACGCTTATACAAATGTATGTAGGAGTGTAAATTATTTCAACCATTGTGGAAGATAATGTAGTCATTCCTCAAAGAGCTAAGGACAGAAATACCATTTGACCCAGCAATACCATTACTGGGTATATACCCAAAGGAATATAAATTGTTCTGTTATAAAGACACATGCATGCATATATTTATTGAAGCACCATTCAGAATAGCAAAGACATGGAATCAACCTAAATGCCCATCAATGATAGACTAAAGAAAGAAAATGTGGTGCATATATACCATGGAATGTTATGCAGCCATAAAAAGAATGAGATTATGTCCTTTGCTAGGACATGGATGGAGCTGGAAGCCATTGTCCTTAGCAAACTGACATTTGTGATGGGCCCTGAGCATCCTTTCAACTTCTTGCTAGGTATGCCAAAAATGCAAAGTCCTGAATACTTTTTTTTTTTTTTTTGAGATGGAGTTTCGTTCTTGTTGCCCAGGCTGGAGTGCAATGGCGTGATCGTGGCTCACCACAACCTCCACGTCCTGGGTTCAAGCAATTCTCCTGCCTCAGCCTCCTGAGTAGCTGGGATTACAGGCACGCACCACCATGCCTGGTTAATTTTGTATTTTTAGTAGAGACAGGGTTTCTCCATGTCGGTCAGGCTGGTCTCAAACTCTTGACCTCAGGTGATCCACCTGCCTTGGCTTCCCAAAGTGCTGGGATTACACGCATGAGCCACTGCGCTTGACCAGTCCTGAATACTTTTTACCTTTGTTGTTTCTCAGGGTTGTGTTTGCAGTGAGCAACCCAAAGTGATGACATTATGTCTCTCCTTTGGACAAAATGCAGGGGTTCACTGTAGAAATGAATACCCCAGTTGTAGTGTTTCTCTCCTATAATGCAACCCATTACATGTGCAAGTATCAATCGAGGAGCCTCATATTTTCTGCCAGCATCCATTGAACAGTAATAGGCTATCTCATTACCTTGTAAGTAGGGTAAAATTGTAGATCCTTCACAGTTCTTGACAGTTTTGAAAATGAGTATAGGTGCAGGCTGTGTTAGTCGATATGAGAAGACTGCTCGGAATCTAATAGTGAACGGTTTCTACCCAGTGATGGACAGACCAGGGTGGGAATAAGGGTCCTCCACTTCTCTAGCTGTTAATGAGGCTAAGAATTGAAAAAAAAAATCCCAATGGTGCTTTGATTATTGTTCATTTACTTCTGGGTGGGAGGATGAAGGCATGTCATGATGGCAATGGGGTGGCAAGCCCTGGGGTTCCAGCCAAAAGGCAAGGTATGGTGTGAATGCTGAATCAAAGAACCGACAATACTAAAATACCATCAGCAGTGAGGATATAGAGCTTTGAGCAGAGCAAAACATTAGAAGTTAATTTGTTAGGCTTGAGCAGTTGTTCACTGGAAACCCAAAGTAAATATAAAGCTTTGGTGCAGAACTTAGTTCTCACTGCACTTCCTGATTATTCTCTTCCCCTCTACTCTGATCTTAAGTATTTTAAGAAAAAAATGAAATATGCTGGGAAATTTTGGGAAGAGGAGGGACTAAAAATTTTTATAGCTCTGTTGGATATAAGCAATTCATGATGGGCCCTGAGCATCCTTTCAACTTCTTGCTCGGTATCCCCAAAATGCAGTGTTTCCAAGTCACCATCTTACTTGATCTTGCAGATGTGGCCCAAAACATTGAGGACTGCAGGGTAAAGCTGCAGCAGCATGTGTGGGCACAAAAAGGGTCCCTGGGTCTGGGCCCTTGCTGGTCTCCAGAGGTATATGGGGAAGAGACAGCACCAACTCTGGGTGAAGAAGCCAAAGGAGAAAAAAATAAAAGCCTTCCTGCAACTCAGCCTTACAAAAAGTATGTACAAAAATCTTGCAGTGTACATCATATCTAAGGGTGAAAAAGTGAATGATTTTTCCCTAAGATCGTGAACAAGGTGGGCTGCCTATTCCTACAATTTCTGTTCAACATAGTACTGGAAATCCTAGCCAGTGTGGTGGGGGAAATAAAGAAATAATGGGCATACTGATTGCAAAAGTAGAAATAAAATTGTTCTTATTCACGAATGACATAATCATCTATGTATAAGGTCTTGAGGAATCTACATAAAAAGCTATTTGAGCGAATAAGGTCACAAGATAAAATATTAATTGTATTTCTGTGTACTAAGCAATGAACAATTGGGAATTAAAATTTTAGAATACCATTTACAGAAGCATACAAAATCATTAAACATGGATGGATAAATTAAATATGTGTAAAAGTACAATACTTTGTTGAGAGAAATAAAAGAAGATGTAAATAAATGAAAGATATACCATGGTCATGTATCGGAAGACTGAATATTTTACAGATATTGTGTTAGTTTTCTATTATTCTGTAATAAATTAACAAAAATTTCAGGACAACACAAATTTATTGTTGTATCGTTTCTGTGACTCTGGAGTTGAGGCTAATTTGTTGTTGTTGTTGTTGTTGTTGTTTATTGAGATGGAGAGACTCGCTCTGTTGCCCAGGCTGGAGTGCAATGGCAAGATCTCGGCTCACCGCAACCTCCGCCTCCCAGGTTCAAGCGATTCTCCTGCCTCAGCCTCCCAAGTAGTGGGGATTACAGGCAAGCGCCACAATGCCCAGCTAATTTTTGTATTTTTAGTAGAGACGAGGTTTCACCATGTTGGCCAGGCTGGTCTGGAACTCGTGACCTCAAGTGATCCGCCCACCTCGGCCTCCCAAAGTGCTGGGATTACAGGCCTGAGCCACAGCGCCCGGCTGCAAATTGGGGGTTTTAAGGGTAATCTGAGAAGCCAATCACATCCAGCTTACTAAAGTAGGACTATGGTAGAAACTTTTGGTTGTAAGATTAATAAGTTTTGGAGAGCTAATGTACAGCATGGTGACTATAGTTAATAATACTTTATTGTTTAGTTGAAAGTCAGTAAAAGAGCAGATTTTTGAGTGCCCTAACTGCACACACACACATGCACATATGTTACATATGGTAACTCTGTGTGGTGATGGATGTATTAATGAATTTGATTGTAGTAATCACTACGCAATGTATACCTATATCAACTCATCACATTGTACACCTTGAATATATGCAATTTGAATTTGTCAATTATACATCAAAATGCTGAGAAAAAGTAGGACCATGAAGTGGAAGCTCATTTAGAGGCCTATGGGAAGCTTTTGTCTCTGTGTATGGTATCACCTCTTTGGGACCTAGCTTTTGATTGTGAATCTAGAGCTGCTTTTGGTCAGCAGGGTCAGCAGTTGGAAAGATGAGCTAAATGCTGAGCAGAGGAAGTGATGACAAATTGGAATCTGTCAGGGACCTTTGCATCTGTTCATCACCATATTTGTGGTATATTTGTATTTTTCAAAGATGGATGCAATAATATATTCCATCTTACATGCTCTTCTGCAATATGACTTGCCACTCCCCCAACAAGAGGTAGAGTGTATTTCTCCATCCCATTGGGCCTGGAACTAACTGTGAATACTTTGACTAGCAGATGATGGTGTAAATGGTACAATACCAGTTCTGGGCACAGCACTTACCTGGCATGAAAATGGATTCCTGCCACTTAGAACACTCACTATTGGAATGCTTCCTCAAAGAATCCAGCTTCCATGCTGTAGAAGCCCTAGCCACATGATGAGGCCACATGTAAGTGCTCTAGTCTATAGCACCAGCTGAATTCCCAGCCAACATCCAACCATGTGCATGAACCATCTTGGAGGCCCAGTCCAGCTGACTATTTAGAGAAATCCAGCCCCCAGACACCATCTGACAAACTGTAAGACCCACTCAGCTGAACCTAGTCAACTCACAGAACCATTAGAGATAATAATAAGTTTATAAGCCACTAAATCTTGGGACAATTTGCTACATAACAATGGATAATCAGCAGTATCTGACCATGAAGACCCTCCAAGAATTATAGCCATTGTTTTACTTTTACCTCCTAATCACACAGTTTCTTCTAATATGAAACCATACAAATAAAGGGATTTCAGTAAATGTAGTTTTTGTTGGGAAAAGCTGAGTGTTGGGAGAGAAGCTGAGGCAGGGCTTGCATGTCTGACATAATGTAACAGAGTCTTGGAACATGTCCGGGGTCCAGGGTCTAAAACCCCTCGTGGCCTTTGGAACACCAAGCTCTGTGCTAAAGGGTGGAAGGCTACCCTGATGCACCATAATCTAAGCCCAGGGCATAAAACCCCTCGTGGCTTGGATAGAATCCAGGGCTCGTGGCTCTGGAATGTGTCTAGACTTGCTGGCTCCTTGCTTCTAGCCCTCTCAGGCTCCTAGATTGATTGTGTCTTAGAATTGGCCATATCAATGCTAAACCATCACAGCTGTAAATCATGTGCTTAATGCAACATATCCTTTCGACCCCCACATTTTCACCACCTGTTTCTTTGTCTGATCACTAATAAATCGTCTGGACTTCCAGAGCTCGGGGACTTTGCAGCCTCCATACTTAGCAATGGCCGCCTGGACCCACTTTCTCAAACTGTCTTTTCTCATTCCTTTGACTCCACTGGACTTCATCACCCCCACAACCTGGTGCTGGGTCCGATCACCCCAACAGTTTTGAGCTCAACACTCTAGTATAAAGGTAGACAATACAACATTCTAGTATATTTGGCTTGGCTGTATAACTTATGTTGTATATTGGAATGTGAGTGGACGTGGTGCAAGCAGAGGCTTTCGATGTACTTGTTTGTTCTTGTACTTCTGTTATCTTCCATGAAAAGAATATGCCCTGGGTAGCCTTCGATGCGATCACACAGTAATAAGATGCACGGGGCAGACTTGAATTCAACCCTTATTCTGGAGCCAAGCCTAGCCAAGCCCAGTAGAGCCCACAGAAACCACAAATGACTAAGAACAAGAAATAAATACTTGTAAGTCACTGAGATTTGGGGGGTTATTTGTTACATCCCATTATTTCAGAAATAACCATCCATTATAATGGGTAAATAAAAAAGAATCAAACATTTATTCTGCCTTTCTTGACGAAAGTACTTCAGGGTAACCAAATAGTTGATATGGAAAAGTTCTTCTTTATAGAGGAATCCCAGTTTATAAATGCAGGAAGGATGACAGGATAGTACCACTTTGCAAACTATAATGAAATGACAGCTATAGGCAAAGATCATCAAAAACTGCTAAAATTATTAGGTGAAAAGTTAATTGGGAAGTTTATAATAGATAGATCAGGGTGACAATACATGAACAAACTAATTAGTGTTAACCTAACAAAAAAAGAGAGACAACCAGACATATGTGCCTCCTGACGTGATGCAGTAGGAAGTATAAAGGACACCACGTATGATTTATTCTTGCTAAAATTTGCATTTGTATCTGATAAACCTCTACACCAACCTATAGGAAATACAGGGTCAGAGGAACTGGTGAGTGGTGATATCAGTTACTGAGTTAAGGAAGACACCTTGGGGAAGGAGCAATTAGCAAAATCCAGAGTGTGGGAAATTTTACAGGACAAACAACTGGTTCTTCCACAAAGACATTAAAAGGAAGGAGAAGAGAAGTGAAACCTATAATTAAAAGATTAAAGAGATATAATAATCGACTCCAATATATCCACCTTCTTTGGATCCTGATTCAAGCAAACAAACTGTAAAAAATGTAGGAGACAACCAGAGAAATTTTGATAGTAAATGGATATTATATGATATTAAGGAATACTTACCCTTAGATACAGTATCTTTAGATATGATTAAGGAATAGTTATCTTTAGATGTGATATTGTGATTATGTTTAAAAATTAGTCCCTATCTTTTAGAGGTACTTGCTGAAATATTTATGGATGAAATGATACATCTTGGTCTTATTTCAAAATGTGGGGTGGTAGGTGGTGGCTGTAGAGGGAGCACTATTGGCTAAAAACCTAGGTTTTTGGCTGGAGCAATTAGGTGCATGGTGATACCAGTTAGTGATATAGGAAAGCCAGAGAAAGAAACAGGTTTTTATCAGGCCAAGGGGAGTGTGGCAGATTACAAGTTCTGTTTTTGATACATTAGATTTGAAATGCCTACTAGACATAGAAGAATAGATACCAAGCAGATGGTTGGACACATAAGTCAGGTATTCAGCTGAGAGGTCAGATTGGAGATATGTTTTTGGATGTCACCAGATTCCATAGTTTACACACTCTCTATGTGATCTTATCTTTAATATGTCTTTAATATGTCATCTTTAATCTATTTCTTCAACACTTCCTAGATTAGGTAGATGCTATTCTGTTTTCTGCAGTTTCGCCCACTCCTAAAAGGAGTGTAAGTTTGTTCAGCTATTTTGGATGACAACTTAGCAATATGCCTTAAAATTAAAATGCACATCCCCAAGTGGCCAAGCAATTCCACTTCTCTGTGTCTACCTTAAGGTAATATTTGCACATGGGCAAAAACAGACATACACAAGGACTCTCCCACAGCCTTGTTTATAACAGCAAAATAATTGAAGCAACCTAAATGTCCATCAACATGGGAATGGCTAAATTAAAAATATTTCCATACTATGAATATTATGCAACAGTTAAAAAGAATGTGGGATAGCTCTATGTACTATAACTAAAAGGTCTTCAAGATATATTGTTGAATAAGGAAAGCAAGTTGCAGAGGAATACTTTTATTTCTATTTTATACCTTTAAAAAACCTGTATATGTGCACATGTGTATGCATATATTTGTATATATGTATAAAAATTTAAAAATACTTCAAATAATATAGAACAATCAGATAACATTGGCTATATTTGGGTAGGATACTGGGTTTGGAGGCTAATCAAGATAACTTTTTAGCTTTATAAGTAATGTTTTAATTTTATAATGAAAAGATATTTACATGTTACTTGTAAAAATCATCTTTTTTTTCTAATTTAGAAGAGTGGGAGTAATTACATGTAACCATCTTGAACCAAGTTATGCCAAACTATAGAGTGAAGTTATTAGTAACACCGGCTAGGGAGCAGGACTTCCTGGGTTTGAATCCTGGCTCTACAATTTAGTCGCTGTCTGTGCTTGAGCAAGATGCATACATTCTTTATCCTTCTGTTTCCTCATTTTTAAGATGAAGCTAACAATATTATTTACTTCAGGGGGTGTGGTAAAGTCATATATGCAAAAGGTTTAAAAGATTACCTGGTACATGGTAAATTATTACTGTCTTAGCTGTTTTTATTGTTATTATTTCCATTTCTTGATAGGCTTCTAGTTTGGTATATTAAATGTATTTGGATACTATTCTTGTGAATAAGATAATGAATGTGGGGCTGAAAAGTATTTTTTTTTTTTTTGAGACGGAGTTTCACTCTTGATGCCCGAGCTGGAGTGCAATGGCATGACCTCGGCTCACTGCAACCTCTTCCTCCTGGGTTCAAGCGATTCTTCTGCTTCAGCCTCCGGAGTAGCTGGGATTACAGGTGCCCACCACCACGCCCAGCTAATTTTTTGTATTTTTAGTAGAGACGGGGTTTCACCATGTTGGCCAGGCTAGTCTCGAACTCAGGTGATCCACCAGCCTCGGCCTCCCAAAGTGCTGAGATTACAGGCGTGAGCCACCGTGCCCAGCTGAATGGTATTTTTAAAGAAAGTCATAGCAGATTAATTCACTAAACACTTTGCATACTTATCATGTGCAATTGTGTCCAAATTGTTTTCCTTCATAGATTGCTAAATGTCTGAAAGGCCATATTGTGTCTTTCAATGGTTTTGTTAATTATTTGAAAGAAAGGAAAAGAAAACTGCGATGACATAAATCTTCAAGGGAATACAAATTCCATTGATGACATGTGGGGTTGAATTCAATAAAATGAAAGAGTATTTTTTCATAAAGTAAAAGAGTCTGAAATTAGATCTTAAAGTTTCTCTCATCCAACAGCTATTCAATGCTGTAATAAGCTCACCAGCATCCCAAGTAAGAATCATTCTATATCTTCTTAAGTGTTGTTTGAATGGGAGCCCATTACTTAATGAGGCAGACTATTCAATTGTTGGACAACTAGAACTGTACCTTATGTTGATGTTAAATAATCAGCTTCACAACTTCAACTGGTTCCTTTTGCCACTAAAGATACACAAATCAATTGTCTCTCATCTTTTACATGGCAACTTTTTGAATATTTGTAGACAATGGTCCTGCTACCCTGGAATCATTTCTTTCTTCAGGCTAAAAACTCCTGCACCTATTTGATTTCCCATCCTATCACTTTCCTTATATTCTGGACCAATTCCAGTTTAGTGGTGTTCTACTTAAACTGTAGGGTTTAGTATTTTTGTTGCTGGGAAAGTACATCTGCTATTGTGGCTCATCACTTTTGCACATACCAGAGAGAGAATCTGGAGCAGTTATTCTTCTAATGACCCCATATAATTAACCCGTGTGGTGTCTAATTAAAAATAAACATATATCAGGGTCCCTATGTTTCCCTGTGCAACTGTTCTAATTCACCTCTGTCCTCTGGCTACCATTTTACATAAGATATCCATAGGGCAGTTAATTTTGGAAACACATATGATAGAAAATGCAGTTCATTTTTTCCTTAATTTACTTTCAATCAGCACTCCTGGTAATCCCTAGGGAAAATTTTCTTGTATCTACTTATTCTTCCACCCCAACCTTAGGTATAGGCAATACTGAAAATTAAACCTATAAAATGACATGACCATTTTGACTTTAACCCCATCCTCAGACCTACCCAATTTATCCCTTTGAGCCTAGGTGACAGATATTCTCCTCCCCTGGAGGAAAACTTAGTCTAGTCTTTCTCAGAAATAGCATCCTCCCCTGGATTACAGAAATCCAACACCTGAGCATGCCTGAGCATATATCTTTAGGCATTTATGAACCCTTCGTTTTATATGGTTCTGACTCCTAGAGAACCTGGGATTTGCTTGTTTGTTAGGGTCACTGAATTTATTCTCTTTTTTCACTCTGGCCCTTTAAGATAAGTTTCAGCTGATTCCCATAAGGCTCACTGAGTAACTTACAAACGTTGGGGTTCCATCCTTGCATCTCTATTCTTCTCTATCTACATTCATTCCCCTCCCTCAATCAGTCTTATAGCTCTAAATACCATCTATATGCTGATAATACAAAATGTATATCTCTTGTTTAAATCTCTCCCTTGAATTCTGCCATCCACAGAGTCAGAATCATTTTAAGAACCGGCTGTCTTTAAAGTCATAGGATGGCTGATGGCACTCATCAGGACTATATTTTTCTTGTTCCTGACCAGTGGAAAATAAACTGCATTGTTTTCCACAGTCAAAATGTTATCATAAACTTTTTCTATAATAAATTATCATGCAGTTTTTTCTTTTAATCTGTTAGTTTAGTCAATTACCTTTATACGCCTTCTAATATTAAGCTACGTTTACATCCCTAACATAAAATGAACCATTAAATTCAGTTAGTAATATTTCATGTAGAACTTGTGCATTTATATTCATAAATAAAGTGGACATGTCATTTTCCTTTCATGTAATATCTTTGGTTTTCATATCATGATTATGCTGCTTTAATAAGTTAGAAGCTTTCCTTCTTTTCTATTGTTAGAAGAGTTTGATTAAAATTTAGATGATCTTCTCAAAATGTAGTTGAACTTGCCTGTACAAAAAAGGTGTTTTCTTTGTAGGACTATTTTAAAATACTGCTTTAATTCATTTTATGTTTCAAAGACTATTCAAACTCTTTATATGTTGGGGGTCAGCATTAGTAAGTTTAAGTCAAACTTCTTAGTTGCGATAAAGATATCTTATATATTCTTCTGAATTTTTTATTGCCTTGACCTAATTGAAAGAGGAGTATTAATATCTCTCTCTATGTAGTATGTTTGTTCATTTATCCCTGCAATTCTATCAATTTTTTGCTTCATATTTTTGAGGCTATTTATTAGGTACTAATATGTTTAAAATTTCTCTAACTTTGCAGTGAATTGAACATTTACCATTAGGTAGTGATCCTCTCTATACCTAATAGTATTTTTGTAGAAAAGTATGTTTTATCTGAAATTAATGTAGGTATACCAGTTTTCTTTTCCTAATATTTGCTTAATATGATTCTTTCCTACCCTTTTGTTGATTAAAACTCTTTTGTTGGGCTAAATTCTGGACATTCGATACTGTTATTGTTGACTATTAACAATTTAAATGTAACCTTCAAGTTAGCATATTTTGATCATTTAACCTTTAATTCTAGATATAAATTAATTCAGAGTAAGGCCAATTCTGCAGTCAGCCCATGACATATGTAGACTCAGCTACACACATTCATTTGGGGAGTGATACGGTTTGGATCTGTGTCCCCACCCACATCTCATATTGAATTGTAATCTCCAATGTTGGAGGTGGGCCTGGTGGGAGGTGATTGGATCATGGGGGTGGTTTTCTCATAAATGGTTTAGTACCATCCCCTTGGTACTGTGATAGTGAGTGAGTTCTCACAAGATCTGGGCATTTAAAAGTGTATGGCACCTCCCCCTTTTTGCTGTTGCTCCTGCTTTCACAGTGTGACGTGCCTGTTCCCCCTTCACCTTACATCACGATTGTAAAGCTTCCTGAGGCCTCCCTAGAAGCCAAACAGATGTCAGCACCACACTTCCTATAAAGTCTGCAGAACCATAGCAAGTTAAACCTCTTTTCTTTATAAATTACCTAGTCCCAGGTATTTCTTTGTAGCAATGCAAGAACTTCCTAATACAGGGAGTCAGTTTACAGTGGTCTCTAATCATTCAAGCCCACTGAGGGCAGTTTGTGTCATCCAACCTCTTTAGTACTACATATTTCTGCATTTAAATTGTGGATCTGAAACAATGACAGCACAGTGATTGTAAAGATTAAGAAAAAAACTTGAGTTATTTCAATTTCATAATTTTGTTTGGTCACTTGGAGTTTTGATATAAATAGACACTTCTCAAAAAAGATATACAAATGGCCAAGAAATGTATGAAAAAAATGCTCAACATAATTAATCATCAAGGAAATGCAAATTAAAACCATAATGAGATACCACCTTACCCCAGCCAGAATAGCAATTATTAAAAAGTCAAAAAACAATAGATGTTAGTGTGGATATGGTGAAAAGAAAAGGCTTAACACTACTGGTAGGAATGTAAATTAGTACAACCTCTATGGAAAACAGTATGGATATTTCTCAAAGAACTAAAAGTAGATCTACCATTCAATCCAACAATCCCACTACTGGGTATCTACTCAAAGGGAAAGAAGTCATTGTATCAAAGACACCTGTACTTGTATGTTTATCACAGCACAATCACAATTACAAAGATATAGAACTAACCTAAGAACCAACCCATCAACTGGTGAATGGATAAAGAAAATGTGGTATATATACACCATGGAATACTACTTAGCCAGAAAAAAAGAGCGAAATAATGTCTTTTGCAGCAACTTGGATGAAGTTGGAGGTCATTATTCTAAGTGAGGTAACTCAGGAATGGGAAACCAAATACCATATATTCACACGTACAAGTGGGAGTTAAGCGATGGGTATGCAAAGGCATACAGAGTGGTAAAATGGACATTGAAGACTCAGAAAGGGGGAGGGGGCAGGCGGATGAGGGATAAAAAAACTACATATTGAGTACAATGTGCACTACTCGGGTGATGAGTGCACTAAAATCTCAGAATTTACCACTATATAATTCATCCATGTACCAAAAACCTGTATATCCCAAAAGCTATTGAAATAAAAAAAAGTAAAAACATTTAAAAATCAAAGCAATAGAACACAGTATGAGCTGTGAGATAGACTATTTTTGCTAGATAAGTGAAATTTTTAGTTCACACATGATATGTTTTACTTCTTGAATATGTTTAAGATTGAAATTTAGTCTTTTAAAATCAATTTTTGGTTTAAAACTAAATAAAAACAAAATAACAATTTTTACAGGTTAGGTACAGATTATGTACATAATTATCATTGAAAATAATTTTCTCATACAAAGAAGGAGCGCATTTAAAAATGACTTGCTCCAGGTGATAATCTGAAGAAAAAAGTTTCTCTCTACTCACATACAGTTGTTTAACATAAAACTTCTGACACCAGATGTGTGTGGGGTTTTCCCTACACACCAAGCAATTCTCCAGTGGACACTAGGCTGGGTGTCCTACAATTTAATTCAGTTCTGATGCTATCTACCTGGAGTTAGCATCAGATCCCACAGGTTAAGGGCTCAGTCTCACAAGACTGCTCTACTTCGGATGCCAATTGCAAGCTCCAAGTTGTGACCCATGACTGATCAGCTATAAATCAGGAGTTCTCATGACACCCTCTCTGGGTTTGAGTAATTTGCTGGAGTGGTTCACAGCACTCAGGATAACACTTACTCTTTTGCTGGTTTATTACAAAGGATATTACAAAGGATACCAATGAAGAGATGCCTAGGGCAAGGTATTGGGGAAGAGGCATGGAGCTTCCTGCCCTCTCTGGGATTGTCATCCTCCAGGAACCTCCAGGTGTTCAGCAATCTAGAAGCTTTCTAAACTCAGTCCTTTTCACTTTTTATGGAGACTTCATTACATAGGCAGGATTTTTACTACTGGGTGCTATTTCATTGTATGGATATGCTACAATTTGTTCATCCATTTATTTGTTTTTTTGGAGACAGTCTCACTCTGTCGCCTAGGCTGGAGTGCAGTGGTGAGATCTCAGCTCACTGCAAGCTCTACCTCCCGGGTTCAAGTGATTCTCCTGCCTCAGCCTCCCAAGTAACTGGGATTACAGGCACCCGCCACCACACCCAGTTAATTTTGTATTTTTAGTAGAGACAGGGTTTCACCATCTTGGCCAGACTGGTCTCGAGCTCCTGATCTTAAGTGATTCACCCTTCTCGGCCTCCCAAAGTGCTGGGATTACAGGCGTGAGCCACCGCACCTGGCCTGTTTATCCATTTTATCTGTTGCTGGAAACTTGGGTTGTTTCCAAGTTAGGGCTAGTATAGATAAAGCTGATATATACAAGTACATATCTTCTTATGGAACTATGTTTGTATTTATCTGGAATAAATACCTAGGAGTGGAATCACAAGGTCATACGAAAAGCATATGTTTAGTTTTTATAACAAACTGCTGGCCGGGTGCAGTAGCTCACACCTGTAATCCCAGCACTTTGGGAGGCTGAGGTGGGTGGATCACCTGAGGTCAGGAGTTCAAGACCAGCCTGGTCAACATGGTGACACCGCATCTGTACTAAAAATATAAAGGTTAGCCGGGTGTGGTGGCGCACACCTGTAATCCCAGCTACTTGGGAGGCTGAGGCAGGAGAATCGTTTGAACCCGGGAGGTGGAGGTTGCAGTCAGCCGAGATCACACCATTGCACTCCAGCCTGAGCAACAAGAGTGAAACTCCATCTCAAAAACGAAAACAAACAAACAAAAAAAAAACCCCACACACAAACTGCTGAAATATTTTCCAAAGTGGTTGTACTATTTAATATTCTCACAGATAAGATGTGAGTTTCAGCTTCTCCACATCCTTAGCAATAGAGGGTATCATTACATCCTTTATTTTATCTATTCTACTGTTTTGTAGAGGGTGTTTTCATGTGCCTATTTGTTACTTGTATATCTTTTTTCTTCTTCCAATGACGGCAATACTGAATGTACATCTTTTATACAAAGAAGAAAATATACAAATGGCAATTATACAGAGGGCCCATTCAAATTTTTAGCTCACCTTTCCTTCTGGCTGTTTTTCTTTTATTCTTATTCCTATTCTTACTGTTATTACTACTATTGAGTTTTGAGAGTTCTTTATATACTTTGGATATAAATCCTTTGTCAGATAACTGTTTTGTAAACATTTTCTCACAATCTGCGACTTGTCTTTTTATTTTGACAGTATGTTTGGAAGAATAAAACTTTGACATTTTGATGAAATCAATTTATCAGTGTTTTTTCTTTTATGGCTTATGCTTTTTGTGTCCTAAGAAATCTACTTACCCAAAGGTTGTCAAGATTTTTCTCTTTTTTTTCTATTTTCCATTTCAAGTTAATTTTTATTTGCATGAAGTAAGTGTCAAGTTGTTAAGCTTCTTTTTTTTTCATATGAACATCTAGTTGTTCCTGCACCACCTGCTGTAAAGATTCTCCTTTTTCCATTTAGTTGCCTTGGCACCTTCATGAAAAATCAATTGACCATGAATATACGGGTCTCTTTCTAGATACCTTATTCTCTGCCATTAACCTATATGACTATCTTTTTGCCAACACCAAACTATCTTGATTTCTGTAGTTTTATAGTCTTTGGAACATATTTTTTTGTTTAGTTTTATTGTAACTTATGATGAGCAAAGAACTATATGCCTTGTAAAGTCCTTGGCTTACATTCATCCATAGTTCATGTCCTTAGACCAAGAAAAACCTTAGACCATATACTAAGTACTAGAACTTACTGAGCATCTCTGTAAATATTAGGTCAAGGAAAACAGGCGAAGGTTGACCAGACATTTTAGAAAGAAACAAATAATTTATTTTAGTTTCCTGATTTTCACCTGCTCATTTCCAGTTTTCCTAGTCCTGGAAACATACAGCAGTGTAAGTTAACACAGAGACAATCCAGGATTCCTTCCTTTCTACTTGATTCATTCTTTCTGTTCTTGCTATCAGAAGTTGGTATTTTTTAAACCTTAGGTCAAATACTTCTGTTCTCATCTCTCTTTATACTTTCCCTTCTCACAGCATCAACTATCTCCTTTATGTGCACGATTTCCAAGTCTATATCTCAAATCCATTCTTTCTATCTATATTTGAAAAGCACTTGTTCTATATTAACAGATTGACACTGTAATGATATAAAATTAAACATTTATAAATGGAATTCATTTTTAAACTAAATCTCTCACTTCTATTTTTTTTCCAATTTCATAATTCTAGTGACTTAAACTCCAACCTCTGAATTACATTTGACTAAATTATCTCTTTTTATATTTACCATGCCTATTTTTTTCTTTATCCTCATATTCACTACTTTGTGTATGGGTTCATGAAAACAATTTTAACTTGTATCCCTGCCTCTTTCAAGTATCATTCTATATATTATAGACAACTAATTTTCTAACAACTTTCATCAGGACATTTAAAATTATCTTCAATTTGGGTCCAATTCATTTTTCTAGTCCAAAAATATATTTTAAACTCTTCACTCCAGATAGAGCATCTCATTTACTTGATCAGTGCATTTTGCCCTCATATGTTTATTTTCATATATACCACTTCCTGTGCAATTATCCTGACACCTTCCTCTGTGTTTAGTAGTAAGTTTTGATCTCAAGTAGTGTATTACCAATTTGTTATTTTAGAAAATTCATTTTGATATCTAGATCCTTAGTATTTCTACATAAATTTTAGTACCAGCTTGTCAGTATCTTTCAAGTTAAATTTATGAATTAATATTGGGAGGATTGACACTACTGAGTCTTCCGAGCTATGAATATGATATATGCCTCCATTTATTTTTCTTCAATTTCTGCAGCAAAGTTTACAGTTTTAAATGTGCAGGTTTTCAATGTATTTTATTAAATATAACCTTAAGTAATCCATGTTTTTTGAATGTTATTTTAAAAGTAATTGCTTTTTATTTCAATATTCAATTGTTATGTGCTAGTTTATGGAAATGCAATTGACTTTTGTATGTTGGTCTTGTATCTTGTGACCTTGCTCACTTACAATTTTAATAGCCCTTTTGGAGATTCATTAGGATATTCCATGTACACAATAATGTCACTTGTGGATATAGTTTTGGTTCTTCCTTTCCAATCTTAATGTCTTTTATTTCTTATATGGACCTTATTGCAATGGCTGGGACTTTCAGTACAATGTTGGCTAGAAATGACAAGAGTGGACATACTTGCCTTGTTCCTAATATATTTTTAATTAAAAAAATTTTTTATGGGTACATAGGTGTATATATTTATGAGGTATATGAGATATTTTGATACACGCATGCAATGTGAAATAAGCACATCATAGAGAATGGGGTATCTGTCCTGTCAAGCATTTATCCTTTGAGTTACTAATAATCCAATTACGTTATTTAAGTTATTTAAAAATATACAATTATTATCGACTGTAATCACCCTATTGTGCCATCAAGTAGTAGGTCTTATTCATTCTTTCTACTTTTTTTGTACCCACTAACTATCCCCGCCTCCTCCCAACCCCCAGCTACCCTTCCCAGCCTCTGGTAGCCATCCTTCTTTCTATGTCCATTTATTCCTAATCTTAAGGGTAAAGCAGTAGGGCTTTTGTTGTAGGTGCCCTTTATCAGGTTGAGGAAGTTCCCCTAGTTTGCTAAGGGCTTTAAAAAAATTATTATTACAAATTGGCCTTGAATTTTTTTTGCAGATGCTATTTCTGCATCTATTAAGATGATCATATGGTTTCCCCCTTTATTCTGATGATATGGTGAATTTCAACAATTTATTTTCAAATGTTAATGTCTTTGTCCCTTGCATTTCCAGGATAAACTTCTCTTGGTAGTGATGCATTATCCTTTATATATCTTGCTGGATCTAATTTGTTAATATTTTGTTAAATACTTTTGTATTTTTGTTCATAAGGGATGTTACTCTGTAGCCTTCTTTTGTTGCAATAACTTAGTCTGCTTTTTAAATCAGAGTAAAACTGGCCTAAAAATTGAGAACTGGCCTAAAAATTGAGAACTGTCTCTTTCTTTTCTAATTTCTGAAATAATTTGTGTAAGATTGATGTTACTTTTTCCTTAAATGTTTTATAGAATTCACCAGTGAAACTATCTGGCTTAATGGTATTTTTAATGGATTATGAATTCAATGTCTTTACAAAATATGCTATTTGGATTTTCTATTTTTTGAATAAATTTTGGTCATTTGGTCTTTCAAGGCAATTGTCAATTTCATTTAAGTTGTAAAATCTCTTGGCTTAAAATTGTTCATAGTATTTCCTTATTACACTTTTAATATATGTAGGACCCATAGTGATGTTCCCTCTTTCATTTCTAATATACGTAATTTGTGTCTTCTCTCTTTTTTTCTTGATCAGATTAGCTATTTCCAAATAGCTCTTGGTTTCACTGATTTTCTCTCTTGTTTTTCTATTTTCAGTTTCATTTATTCTCTTTGTTATTACTTTCTTCCTTCTACACTTTGGGTTGATTTTGCTCTTATATTTCTAATTATTAAAGTAGAAACTTACATTGTTGATTTGAATCCTTTCTTCTTTTCTAATATAAGCACTTAATACCATACATTTCCCTCTAAAGGCACTGCTGTTAGCTACACCTCACAAGTTTTCTTTTTCTGTAAATTTAACCAAAATCTCTCATTTCTAATTTTTTCAAATTTCATACTTCTAGTGACTTAGACTCAAGCCTCTGAGTGATATTTCTCTCATTTCTAATTTTTTGAATTTCATACTTGTAGTGACTTAGACTCAAGCCTCTGAGTGATATTTGACTCAATTATCTCTTTAGATATCTACCCTGCCAATTCCTTTATTTTATCCTCATATTCACTACTTTGTGATTATAACAAAAAAGTACAATTTTGTTAACATGGATACATTGTGTACTGATGAAGTCTGGGTAGCCACTCTCCCACATATTTCTTTTTAAGAGATGGGATTTCACTATATTGCCCAGGCTGGTATTGAACTCCCGAGCTCAGTTGATCCTCCCACCTTGGCCTCTCAAAGTGCTGGGATTACAGGCATGAGCCACTGTGCCCAGTCCTCCCACAAGTTTTGATATACTGTGTTTTCATTTTCATTCCATTCAAAATATTTTCTGAATTAACTAGTGATTTCTTCTTTGACCCATGTGTTATGTACAGATATGTTGTTAATTTTCAAATATTTAGAGATTTTTCAGATATGTTATAGAATCTTAATTCAATTCCATTGTGGCCAGAGAATATACCTTGTATGATTTTGCTCTTTTTAAGTTTATGAGACTTGTTTTGTCATCCAGAATATGGTCTATTTTGGTGAATGTTCCATGTGCGTTTGAAAATAATGTGTATTTTGCTGCTGTTGGGTGGAGTTTTCTATAAATGTCAATTAAGGCATGTTGGTCAATAAGGTTCTCCAAATCTTTCATATTCTTACTGATGTTCTGTCTATTTGTTCTATCAATTACTGAGAAGAGTGTTGAAATATCCAAGTCTAATCACGTTTTGTTTATTTCTGCTTTCTTTTCTGTCAGTTTTTGCTTCATGCATATTCAATCTATTAGGTGTATGCACATTTAGAATTTCCACGTCTTCTTGGAGAATTAACTTATCATTATGAGATGTTCCTCTTTATTCCTGAAAAATATTTCTTATTCAGAAGTCTACTTTATGTGATATTAGTATAGTCACTCTAGCTTTCTTTGGTTTACTTTTTGTATTGTATATCACTTTCCACATATTTCCTTTTAACTTATCTATGTCTTTATAATAAAATTATAAATAAAATTGGGTCTTACTTTTGCATCCAAGAGAGGAGAAGAAAAAATTTTTTTTTGTAATGTAAGGAACTCCCATTTGAAAGTAAAAGTAAATGAAGTCAAGTGAATATGTTTTCCAAGATGAATCAACCCTGCCTAACCCAGCATGATATGACAAAGGTAGGCAGTAAGGAAGAATTAACAGTATTTCTGAGTATTTTGGCATTGACTGAAAAAATGTATGACTTTCAAGTGGTATATAACATAAATTTAAAATTTTCTAGCCAACAGCTTAGGCACATTTTATAATAGGATTGCAATACAGAGTGAAGTATAGGCTTAAGTAATAGACATAATTAAAATACATACATCTCTCAATTTTTAAGTCAGTATAAAGGAGCAATTACATTGATGATTCATAATGAAAAATAATCTGAAACTTATTTTTCTCAGTAGAATACACTGTAGTACATCAATATGTGCTTCCCCCTCAATAACTTTATATGATATGCCAGGTAGTGAACATACAGGAATTAACAACACAATAATTATTCCTGCCCTTATAAAGTTTATATTTTAGCAGAAGACAGAAATAAATCTGTAATTAAATAATTAGTAGTGTAGTCAGAGATAGCACCAAGTGCTATAGAAGTGTATAACGAAGGACATAATCTAGTCTTCAAGGGAGCAAAACAAAAGGTTTTCCTGAGCAAGTGATGGTTAAGAGATGTAAAGAATGAGCAGAGGTAAGCTATGTAAAGGGGTTTGCTCTGATAGACCAATATAGGCAAATTACCTGAAGCAGGATAAAACTTTGTATGTTTAAGAAAATGAAAGAAGGATAGTATACTTGGAATACAGTGAGGAGGAGAAGGTAGAATATGAGGTAGGAGAGAAGTAGGCAGAGGCCTGGCAATATTAAGAAGTTTGATTTAATAATTAGGGAACTACAAATAGCAATAGAGAGTAAGACAATGACATAATAAAATTTACATTTAAAAATATTATTATTTGCTATGTGGAGAAAATATTGGAGTGGGGATAAAAGGTTTTATGAGGAAACTAGTTAAGGAGCTATTGGAGCAATACAATAAGGCATTGTTAATAGCTTTTTGGTTAATTATGATTGTGGAGATGTAGAAAAGCTAATGAATTAGAGAGATTCTCAAGAAAGAAGAATTGACAGCACTTTTTGATTCATTGCATATAGGAGATGAAGAGACTGAAGATAGGAGGATTCACAAGCTTATGGCTTGAGCATTTGAGTAGATAGTAATAACATTTATTGAGTTTGAGAACCATCAAAGATGAGCAGATTTGAGGAACAAAGTTAATTAGTTCAATTTTGAATGTGTTGAACTTGAGGTATCTATAATATATGTAGATATAGACTATGCAATTGGATACAGCACTGAGCTTAGAAAAATGGGGTGTGGCTGAGCGCGGTGGCTCAGGCCTGTAATCCCAGCACTTTGGGAGGCCGAGGCGGGCGGATCACGAGGTCAGGAGATCGAGACCATCCTGGCTAATGCGGTGAAATGCCGTCTCTATTAAAAATACAAAAAAAAAAAAAAAATTAGCCAGGCGTAGTGGCGGGCGCCTGTAGTCCCAGCCACTCGGGAGGCTGAGGCAGGAGAATGGCGTGAACCTGGGAGGCGGAGCTTGCTGTGAGCCGAGATCGCGCCACTGCACTCCAGCCTGGGCAACAGAGCGAGACTCTGTCTCAAAGAGAAAAAAAAAAAAAAAAAACAACCCCATCAAAAAGTGGGCGAAGGACATGAACAGACACTTCTCAAAAGAAGACATTTATGCAGCCAAAAGACACATGAAAAAATGCTCACCATCACTGGCCATCAGAGAAATGCAAATCAAAACCACAATGAGATACCATCTCACACCAGTTAGAATGGCAATCATTAAAAAGTCAGGAAACAACAGGTGCTGGAGAGGATGTGGAGAAATAGGAACACTTTTACACTGTTGGTGGGACTGTAAACTAGTTCAACCATTGAGGAAGTCAGTGTGGCGATTCCTCAGGGATCTAGAACTAGAAATACCATTTGACCCAGCCATCCCATTACTGGGTATATACCCAAAGGACTATAAATCATGCTGCTATAAAGACACATGCACACGTATGTTTATTGTGGCACTATTCACAATAGCAAAGACTTGGAACCAACCCAAATGTCCAATAATGATAGACTGGATTAAGAAAATGTGGCACATATACACCATGGAATACTACGCAGCCATAAAAAATGATGAGTTCATGTCCTTTGTAGGGACATGGATGAAATTGGAAATCCTCATTCTCAGTAAACTATCGCAAGAACAAAAAACCAAACACTGCATATTCTCACTCATAGGTGGGAATTGAACAATGAGAACACATGGACACAGGAAGGGGAACATCACACTCTGGGGACTGTTGTGGGGTGGGGGGAGGGGGGAGGGATAGCACTGGGAGATATACCTAATGCTAGATGACGAGTTAGTGGGTGCAGCACACCAGCATGGCACATGTATACATATGTAACTAACCTGCACATTGTGCACATGTACCCTAAAACTTAAAGTATAATAATAATAAATAAATAAATAAATAAAAAGAAAAAGAAAAAGAAAAAAGAAAAATGGTGTGTGCTAGAGATACAAATGTGGGAGTCATCAGTATAGTTGAAGTCATAAGAGTGTAAATTCCAGAAGTAGAGAAATGAAGAAATGGTTCTTGGGGGCCAGGGAAGAGTTTTGGGATGACATTTCTTGGGAAAAGTGTGTAGACTTGTAAAACAAAAGGGACAGGAAGAGTCCTGAGTACTTCAATATTTAAAGGCCAGATAAAGGAAAAAAAACTAGAAAAAGAGACTGGGAAGTAACCACATAATTAGGAGGGAAAACAGGAAAATGTAGCTTAATTGAAGCCAGGAAAGGAAAGAACTTAAAGGAGGGAAGGGTCAATTATGTTGAAAGCTGCTGATAGATCTAGTAAAAATTTTAACAATGCATGTTTAATTTCCATGCACACATTCTAAATTGATATAATTAGCAAACAAGGTGATATTGCAGAGTGCAGAGAACATGGTGTTTGAGACAAACCTGGTTTTAAATCCTAGGACTTCTTTTCACTTGTTAGTTTCATTGCCTTATGCAAGTAACTTTCCAAAGCCCCTGTTTCCACATCCATTGTCAATAGTGATAAAATTTCTATATCATAAAGTTGTCATGAGGATTAAATGTTAATTTTATGCCTGAAACATAGTAGGAACTCAATAATTGTTATCTCTTATATTCATATGGTAGTTGTTTCCAAATGTATTCTTCTAGAAGTATTTTTTACAGTAAAGAGACCCAGTGAACTTGCCTTTCTTATATAATTGGCATTCTTGCTAGCATAACTGTATGGTTTCTCTAATCATGATAGGTATCACTTTAGAGGAAAGATTCTGCTGGTGTTTTGCTTTTCTCCAGTTTATACTTTCTGCCAGAGAGAGATATCACACATTTCCAATTTCAACCAACACTTCCTATGAAGATGGTACTCAAATCTTCATCTCTCTGGAGTCTAGGCTGCATTGGGAATGAAATGAAGCCATATATGGGAGAATGAACAGTCTCCACTGGAGAGTACTGAAGGGGAAGCATTGTAATCCCAGTTAATTCCAAAAATGGAGAAATGAAAGAAGTAGAGTTTCCAGGGGCAAGAGAAGAGTTTTGGGAAGGAACAGACTGGAGCAGTACATACAGCAATGTCTGTCTGGCACATAAGAGACATTTGATCAATATTTGCTGACTTTAAGAAAGACCATTCCAATTTAAACTCCCACATATTAACTTATTTATTCAACAGTAACATATAATATAATCAGGTAGTAAGAATTCCTATGAAGGAAAATGAACCAAAACAGGAGGATAAAATGATGAGCAATGCTGATTTAGGGTATTCAGGGAAAGCCTCCTTGAGGAAGTGACATTTGAGTGAACTCCTGAATTAAGTGAGAGAGCTGGCCATGTAAATAGCAGGGGAAGAGTATGTAGGGCCTTATAGTCATAACTAGATGAGTCTGGTTCTAAGTTAATTGGAAGATCACTGGAAGATTTTATGCAGAAGAATGACAAGATCTGGCTGGCCTTCATCTTCAGAACAATCATCGCAGTTTCTCTGTTGGGATTAGACTTTGGGATTAGTGGAATCAGAGAGCTGCTGCAATTATCGAGGGAGGAGATAATGGTAGATCAGAACAGGTAGTAGCAGTAATGATACTGAGAAATAGTCAAATTCTGGATCTATTTTGAGGGTAGAGCCAACAGGATTTCTTGACCGATTGACATGAGAAAAAGATAGAAGTGAAGGATACCTCCAAATGGTCAGCTTGAGTCTCTGAAGAATAGAATCATCATTTACTGAGGTGAGGGAAAACTCAATGACATAGAAATCAAGATTTATCTGTTAAACATGTTGTTTTATATTATTATTAAGCTCGTAGGTAGAGATTTTAAGTGAGCATTCTGGAATTCAGGGGAGAGATTGGGCTAGAGCTATAAATTTTGGAGTTGTGAGTACATAAATGGTGTTTAAATCAAGGATACTAGATGAGATCACCACAAGAGTGAGTGTAGATGGAGAAGAGGACTAAGAACTGAAACTTCAGGCACACTAATATTTACAGTTCAGGAAAATGAGGAAGAACTATCAAAGGGCTTGGAGAGGGAGCGATCAATGAGGTGAGAGGAGAATCAGCAGAGTGTGGTGTGCTGTAAGCCAAATAAAGAATATATTTCAATATGGACCGCCTTTTTGTTCAGGCCATGCTGCAGTAACTACATGTAGGTGTAGCTTGATGCTACCTCATTCAGCTTTATCTCATACTATTGCTTCCTGCTGTGGGGCTTCTCTGCCACCACCATGTGGATCACCTGAAGGACCCTGCTCAGTGAGTCCAAATCATGTGCCAACTTGCAAGTGCCAGTGAGTAAACACCCTCTAGGATTACACTTAATTAATGGGAGATGAGATTTGATAGAAAAACACTCTCCTCTTCTATGTCTGATGGAAAATTCTGGGGCGCATTCTACATGGCTCCTTAGAGAGTCCTCAGTGGGAATAATCTTCAGTGGAAATAATCCTCAGTTGCCTATAGTAGTAAACAGATCAATAACATGCCCTTGGACTGATGTTCCTTCCTTTCCTGGCTCACCTTTCTCAGTCCCTTCTCCTGTTTTCTGAATCACTTCCCTCAAATAAACTAACTGCATGCGGCTCATTGTCTCAGGTGGGGGTAGCTGTTAATGTAGACGGCACGATGGACTGGTACAAATGCTAGTGATAAACTGAATAAGATGACTGAGAATTGACCATTGGATTTAGCAAAGGTAGGATCATTGGTGACATTGAAAAGAGCTATTTTGGTGAGCATTGGTTTAAAAGCTTGGCTAGAGTGAGTTCAAAAGAAAGGCTATTTTCCAGTGATATATTGCAAGGTCATAGGATGGGAGTGAGGCATGGAGAGGTGGGGTATTGAGGTGTGATGAGAGAGAAGTGTGAAGCAGTCCTTTTAAAGAGTTGATTTGAAAATAAACTGAAGAGAGAAATAAATAATACCCGGTGGTACTAAGGGCACGCTTGAATGTACCGTTTTGTGTTTTTCTCCAATCACATTCAGCTGTTTAGATGAAAATGTGGAACAAGTGATTATACTTAAGGTTCAGATTTTGTCAGGCAAGTATGCTAGAGGGAGAGAGGGAATGTAATCTGGGTAACAAGGGAGGTTCAGAGTTTGGGGGTATGATGGATAATAAACAATTGGGGATTAAACATCATATTAAAAATTATATACAAGTCATGTCAAGATACGCTCTCAGAGTGTAAGGAGGCACTATTAATAAATATTTTAGAAACAGGTATTAGCTGAGACAGTCCTGGGCAAATCGGGATGCATTATAATCCTATTAATGTAGCCATTTTTGTACTGAAAAGAAGATTGCAGTAGTTAAGAGCACAAAATCTTTAGAGTCATGGTTCCTGGGTTCAAAACTAGGCACAGAAAAGCTAACTTGCTAAAGGTGGAGCTACAATCCTTTAGATGAAACCCATCAAGCATGGCTCCCTGCATTGCACACTCTCTTGTATATTATCTATATCTTCTGATTCTAAATTCAGTGCTGCTTTTGGACTTCAGGTATGCTCTAGCCTCTTATGCAGTAATTACTGTTTATTCTCCTTCTTGGCTCCAGTCTCCATCCTGTTTATCTGAAGTGCTCTTGAAATAGATTTCAGTTTCTTCAACTATTAACACCTACCACAACCAAATTTGACCCTTCCTTCAGAACTACAGATTGAGTCTGATTTTTCATTCTGTTCACCTGCACTTTATGCAGCTCATACCTACGCTCTTGTGCTAATTGTTGTGAGGCAAAGTATACGAACTTCTTCGGCGGTGTAATTACCAGCAAGGAGCTCTTTGGGTCTATATTTTCTAGGAAATCATAGGCCCCTACATGGCCTCTAAACAACCCAATTTTTCCTGAACATAGGTCATCACCTCTTAATTACCTGAAAAGAAACCCCTGCCTGAGATGAATCTGAATTATAAATATTTGTCATTATACTTTTAGGCCTCTTGATTTACAGTAATTCATTGTCTCTCTACCCTCCCCTTAAAAGGGAGGTATTTCAAGATGAAATGAGAATATATTTACCAAATAGATTTTTAAAACTTACTTGTAATGTGATATATAGAATTACCTAGTTTAATCATGGCATGTTTTACATTTTTTAGTATGGTTCAAATAAGAAGATAAAGAAGTGCTTTATTAAATACATATATTTTTGTATTTAAAAATAACTTTCAAATAAATACTTAAAAATCATTGGCAAAAATGAATGATGAATTAGGAATGTATATTATAATTTCAAAATAAGGAAGACATAAGAGGCCCATTTTATAAATGGTACAGAATTTTATTTTTAACAAATAAGTAGCCAGATGTATGACTCCTAGGGGGGTAGAAGTGGCCCTCTCTGGAAATTCATAACATCCAGGATGGATACGATGGGATTGGATATGGATATCCTGTTCTGGGGCGCTGGAGTTCAAGAAATGTGTTTCTTGTGGTTACAGATTATTCTGGGAGTACTAGATCCTCAAATAATCTATTTCCTCAGATGCTCCAAGTCAGAAAGCCCCTTTCCTCCATTCTGGCTTCTACAAAAGAAGCTCCTCCTAGTGGGCAACCCTCCCCCTTGGCTTTCCATGGGTAATGCCTTTCAGAAGACACGTCCTTTTTTGACCTTCTCCCTTCAACCAGGACCAGCCTTGGGAATGAGATCTACGAGTTCCATTGAAACCCTGGGCTAGTTCAGTACTAAGGCCATGTTGTGGTTGACTGAGTATAAGAAATCCAGATATCCCACTGCTTTTATATTCCTCTTGATCCCTATTCCAGCAAGGGCAAGAGAAAAATGTATGACCTTTTTCCTCAACTGCTAATTTTGATTGTCACTGAGGCCAACCTCAGATTAAAGGCACATACGACCTACACAAGTGTTCAATCTTGTTACATGCTATCAGGTAGACACAATACCTAAAAGATTGACTAAAATAAAAACAACTTTTATTATGTTGTTTTAGAGACTTAGCCCCACATATATGTTATACATTAATTCCCTTGCATTTGTATAGAACCTTGTACATTAAGAAAAATGCTTCTGCTTTAATGATTCTCATACACTCTCTAGGCTTTATTATCGTCATTTTACAGATGAGAAAAGCAAAGGCTCAGAGGGGGAATAGGGTAGAGATAGAAGCAGTGTAGTATAAAGACAAGAATTCTGGCCTAGGAGTCAGCAGACCTGGATTCTTATCCTGACTTGGTCACTAACTCACGGTGTGGTTATGAGTAAGTCACTTTCCCTCTCTTAGCCTCACTATCTGCATTTATGGAATAAAGTGATTCAATTTTCTCAAATCTGTTTGCATATTATAATCATCTGGGAACTTTAAAAATCCATTCCTCAACACCTCCAAAGATTCTGACTTAATTGGTCTCAGGGTACTGTGATTTCTACAACACCACTTTGACTCAGAAAAAACCAATCCAGGGAAACCACAAATCCAGTCTGGTATTTCTCTCTGAAGGAGAGAAACCTTGTCATTTGATATAAGATCTAAGTACTATGGAGCATGTCCTAGAAGGGAGTTTGAAAGGCAGATAGTGTTAGTGGCATATTCTAACTTTGAACCTCTAGGAGAGAGGCCAAGTCTCCACCCATCTCTCTCTCTCTCTCTATCTTTCTCTCTCTTTCTTTCTTCTGCTGTCTCCCTTTCTCCTCCCCCGACCCCCCACCCCATAGAATCATTCCAGATGGAGAGCTATAGGAGTTTGGAAAAGAAGAGTGTTGATATAAGTCAAGGACAAAATAGAGTTAAAGGGTACAACTGAACCAAGTAGTTAGTAAATGGTGTTTTAGGTGAGAGAAACACACTGATTATAGAGCTTTTTTTCTTTCACATACATCATTTTCTTAACCTTTGTTTTTCTTTCTGGATCCACATTTACTATTACTTCCCATTACTTTTTTCTTTCTTTCTTTCAATATGGTTTATATATTAAGAAAGGCCTGGGGCCTTCTCCTCTTTGGGAGGTCTTCACCTCCATTAAGAAAAAAATTCACGAGTAAAGTTGTTTAAGCCAACTAATCTCTAGAGTAAAAATGAGTATTCCCCAAACTAATTCTGTTAAGCCTTGGTGTGTGAATCCCCATCCAAGGACACATGATTTTCTATCCAAGACTATAAAGCTGAATATCAGAGTCTTTTGGAAACTTCATATAAATACTTTTCTATATAAAGAAATGCATATATGAATAACTAAATAATTGGTAGATATTAAAAAAAATGACTGTCCCTTTCCTTGCAGTTTCTTTGTAGTGTTTCTTTTTGTTATCAGAGTGGTAAGACTTTGAAGATGAGGATTAAAGTACTCTAGGCCTTAGGACACAGGTTCAAAATGACTCTTCAGGGTTCACATATGGTCAACCCCATCTTGTTACAAGAGAACATACCTGTGGCTTGCCTACATTACCACTTCTGTGTTCAGCAGTTTAGTTAGTTCTTCAAGGACCTGGGAGCTTCCAGAGCCTTGACATCTCTGTCTTTTACCATCAGAGGGATGACTATTACCTGGTATGGTCAAAAGGATTGCCAGGTTAGTTTGGGAATGACAATGTGTGGGTTAGAATTACCTTCTTCTTTTTCAGGAGATTGGCCAACAAATACATATGGGAGCAAACATATATAACTTGGATTGTAATGACAGCAAGATTCCTAACATTAGTCAGTGTCATTCCCAAAATGCCTTTCCTTATCTTGTCCATCCTGGCCTTTAACAGCAGCAACACTGGTAGTGTCATGATCTTATCTTTGAGAGTGAAAATAAGGATATGGGCCTAAACTAGGATAAAGGGACCAAGAATTTCAGTCCTACAAAATCTTATCAAACCTTCGGCCAAAGGTCCAAATGGGGCACTAATGCTTTTGCTTTATGTGACAATGATCTATAGGACACAGGGAACTATTGTATATGTGAATAAAAGGTAGCATAATTCTTATAATGTGTCTGTGTCATAATTAGTGGCTGAAATATTTTTTAAAAAGCCAGCCAACCAACTCATTGCTTTATTTTCATGTTACAGAATACCTTGTTTAGCCATTTTTTCCCCAGCATTTATTGACTTAACCAGTTTTCCTGCTATTATGCTCATGGAACCTAAAAGAACATATGTGCCTTCACATACATATTTTGACTTACACATGCTTTTTGAGGAGTTCAATAATATGAAATTCCTTTTTATATTAAGAAGAAAGATATTTTGAGAGTTTGTTACTCCTTTAATTGAACAGGGAATTAATTTCCATATAAAAAAGAAGCCCTTTAAAGCAAGCTAGAGAATAAATAGGTTCAGGAAGGCAAACATAGTACAGTTCTAAGAGCCACAATAAAGCTTTATTTACTTTAAAGGTGGTAGGTTATCTCTAACTTACTTCGAAGGAATGTGATTAAAGACATAAGGTAAAAGCACCACCCTAGTGTAGCACTTTAAATTTAATCTCCCTATATTCATATACTTGCCTTACTGTTTATAGTGGAGCCACAATCCTTCCCATTATTGCTGAAGCATGAAATGCCAAGGTACATATTTAAGTGCCCATCACGCACTACCCAAAAATGTAGAAGGGTAAATATCACATGGGGAAGAATTTGACTAATGAGATGAGAGCTAGCAGATGAATTCACCTCCTTTCCTCCACCACGTGGGCTGTATGGAGATGTAGTAGTTTTATATGGTCTGTCACAAAAAATTGCGAAATTAGCTTGCCAAGGAACAGACTGTGGCCAACTCAGTGACATGCTTTTTATTTGTTCTTCTTTCTTCCCTCCCTCATTAACCCTTTCCTTACTCATACTACCCTGGATCGTACATAGCTTTTGCTTCAAACTCTATTTTTTAAGAAACTGAGGCTAAGATACCTGGAAATTAGGAACTCTGGTATAAAGTCATAATTCCACTCAATTTTCAGAACTGTGTGACTTTGGACAGGTTATTTTCCCTCTCTGTGCATCCCTTTCTCCAGCTATAAAATGTTGACATTGGACTAGATGTTCTTTAAGGGTCCTTTGGCCAAGTTAAAGGATTCAGTGTGAAGGAGCTGTTGGTAAAATGTGTTATACGGACCAGTGGTCATCAGTGGTTTGCTTACATTTGAATCAGAAGAGCGCTCTCAATATAATCAATAAGGTTGAATGTTAACAGCTCTAACAAATCTTAAGCTCCAAAAATAGTCTCAGTTATACTTTGTTCAAAAAAAAATTGAATTAGTTTTCCCTGGCCAATAAAGATAAGGCTAATAAACGCTTACCCTCTTTGGCACAAGTGAAAATACTCCCTTAATAGCTCTACATCATAAGCTAAGAAATGGTAACTGGCTGCAAGCATGTTTTCAAAGGGAATAGTGGAAAAGTTTGTAATGTCACCATTTTGGGAGCAAGACAGCTAATATATGATGCCTGTAACTATTGCTTTACTCTTAACATAGCAAGATACTTATTTTAACTCCTAGGTTGCAGGTGGACCAGAGTTAGGGAAAGAATTATTCACCATTTGAGGCTTGTTACTCCAGAATGGTTTACACTGTGCTCCAGCCTTCTATATCTGACTCTGGAGCATGGACCTGGGAGTCAGACACCCTGGGTTCAAATCTTAGCTCTACCATTTACAATTGTTACCTTTTGGCAAGTCACTTAACTTCTCTGTGCTTCAGTTTTCTCATCTGTAAAATAGAGGTTGGAATGATACCTATGTTGTAGAATTGTGAGGAATGAATGAGCTAATATAAATAACATGCTAAAAATAGTGCTTAGCATATAGTAAGCACTATGTAAGTATTCACTATATTTATTATTGCTATTGTGATTAGGGAAGATGGGCTGGAACCACAGGAAAACTCTTGGCTGATATCATATGAAATGTATCAAGGAACCAATATGTGGAAGGCAGTAGAGTTAGGGGCTAACAGATGATTTAACTGCAAAAAAATGCTAAGCAGGAAACACCCTCTAAATATTCCTGTTTATACAGGACATGACACAAAGTAGAAAAATAATGAAAACAGAGCCTCCCTGCAGGATTTAGAGTTCTTTCGTATATATTTTAAATATACATGTGCAATACATTAAAATATATAGAGATGTGTGAATATATATAATCACAGAAGGGATACATACGCACACTCACTCACACGTCCATGCGCATATCCCAACAGGACCCATCTATACGTAAAGCAGATGCAGTCCATATCAGGCCAACTTGGACACAAGTGAAAGCCCTGACTCAACAGCAGATTGCAGATTGCAACTGTATTTGAGTAACCCTTCAATTTCTTCTACCAAGTGTAAGGCCATTTAGAAACACACTGAGAAAGGCTCCTCTGGGTATATGGCAGAACCCAGGGCCCCTCTGGCAGTGCACAATTTGCCTGAGTTAGGACTGCAAGATTGGGATATCAAGGAGCTATCAAGGAGGAGGGGCTCGTGTTATTTTGGGGCCTGAAACTAATAAGCAAACATCCATAGAATAATTTAGCTCCAGGAACAATGCACTAGTGTCAGAGAATCCTTAGATAACTGAGCTCTAAGCACATTTCAGGCAGAAGCAGAGAAGTGTGTGTTGCTACTCATCACCATCCAGCTTGACCCAGAGAACTGGGCAGAGCTTTTCAGGGTAGATAAGTGTAAAGTACAATCAAGCAGACTTGTAAGATTAAAAAGTTACTTAAAATTGAAGGATCTGAAAGCAACATAAGAGGTTACAGGTATTGGTTTGGGTTTATAAATGTTCCAAGAAGCCTAACCTTATATATGGCACCATTTGCAGCAATATCATTAACATTATTAATAATCATCATAACATATTTATATATACAAAAATAGAGCAAAGCAATTCTAGAAGAGGAGGTGTAAGTGAAGGTGTGGGGCTCTGTGCAGCCCAAATGTCAGTACACTTCAGGAAGATTCAGAACCAACAAAAAGTGAGTGGCACATATTTCTGTAATATGTATCCAACAAAGGGACATGGAGGTCCCCTCTTCCCCCCGTGTACTACTATACACTTCTCCCCACTTCTCCACCCTGCAACACACATCCATGCACACTCTAGAAGAGATGATCTATAAAGTTAGAGTCTGGAGGTCTTAAACTAAGTTGGAGCACCTTGATTTCAAGCAAGTGCCCTCAATCTCTGAATTCGTCAGTGAATTTTGGATTCACTTATAGAGGGAAACTGTATAATTCTTGTGTCTTTTAGCAGCAGTCTTTAGGAGCCTGCCATCACCACTGCAGCTTTTTCCCATTGAAGGGGGTTCACAGCACAGGCTCTCTGTACTTTTTAAGAGAGAAGTCAGTTCTCTACATTATACATCTTTCATCTCAGTTTTTCACTGTTGCTGAAATTTAAGTTCTCAGGCAGCTGCCATTGCAGACAAAGCCAGGAGCAAGCACAGTGTGTGCAGCAAAGAGTAGATGCAATGGCGAAGATACAGCTTGGTTAGGGCTTCTTTAAGCTTTTCTTTTCCACACTTGAGCTTCTACAAGGTGACAGAGCCAAAGGTGATGTCCACTGGGGGCAGCCTCAACACCTGATAGTTAATTAGCTACCCACCATGCACTGGAGAAAGACCACCACACTAACTAGGCATGGTTCCTGAAAAGTAATTGAATGGGAATGGCTTTCTGTCACTGTTAATAGAGCCCTAGGAAAAAGTCCCATGACTCAATGTGGTACAGGGGTAAGAATACTGAACTAGGAGTCAGAAGGCCTATATTCCAGTCTCAATTCTGCTGTTAACTCAGTGTGCGGCCTTGGGGGCAAGTCCCTTCCTACCTCCAGGCCTCAGTTTTCCCATCTGTAAAATAAGGGCATTGAACTAGATTAATAGTTAAGATTCCTTCCAGCTCTAACGTTTTATGACTTTTTATGTCCATTATTAACGCCTGAGCCATGCAGTCTCAGGGAAGTTAGCTTCTAAGAGAGAACATACCTCTGTATCCTTTGCTTTGTTCATTTAGCTATAAAGCACGTCTGCCTTTGGCACTTGGGTCAGACATACAAAGTTATGAGCATCCTGATTTACTATCCTACTCAGCATGCTAGTGGAATCTGTCAGCACTATAAGTTGATTATTGAGAAAGGGAGAAAAACTCCAACTAGTTAAACCTGGAAATATAAGATAACTTCGCCTCATGCGCTCACGAACAGGTGAGAGTGGTTGTGAGCACACACACACATCGGGATACACACTATTGCTAGTGATCAGTTCATTACAGTAATCCATTTCCCTTAATAAAAATTAGTAAATAGTATAGCATAGCAAAGTTTGGCATCTAAGGAAACATCTATGGAAAAACAGCACTTTTGGACATGTTAGAGAAAAAGGGACAGGTAGAGAGAGACAAATATAGATCAAATGAGATAGAAATACAGGCAGAGAAAGGATCAGTCTGAAAAAGAAGGAGGGGAGAAGGAGAAAGGGAGGAAGAAAGAGAAAAAGTAAAAGCAGACAGGGTGAGAATGAAGGGGAAAGGAATACAGAACAGAATAATGAAAGAGGAGAGAGGAATAAAGAAGAGAAGGGCAGTAACAGGGAGAAGGGGTCGTATTCCCTGGAAGGTTGAACGCTGTTCCACATGTACCTGTGAAAACCATCTTAGAAGAAAGCTTCCAAAGGCACAGCAGAAAACAGAGTGACGATCAGAGCCTGCATCGAGAGGTATTACATTGGGGAGCCCCTAAACCTCCACGTTGCTGGCCCTGTCAGTCCTCAGTGTTCAAACCTCATACCCATATATCACCTGAATTTGCCATGACAACCATAAAGGCTGAGCTGGCAGGGTGTAAAGACTGAAGAGGAGTGGGATAGATACTGTGAGAAAGAACAAGGCATCCTGCACCAGGATGTACTTGGTCATTCCCCTGACACTGCAGGAACAAAAGAGAGGCCCTAACTTTGGCTAGTTTATCACTCCTCCCCCTCTCCAAAGATGAGGCCTATGCTTTGCTGTTGGGGACTCGAAGGAGAAAAGCTCTGGATCCACCTTGTTGGAAGGTCATACAGACTTTTCCTGGGCCTTGGGGAAGGGTGCACTACCAGAAGAGATCTTTCTGCACACAGTGTTGGTGTGCCTCTTGCAGCGGCAGCCTGGTCGCCGGAGGCTATCATAGCCCTGTTGGCACAGATGGAGGCATCCACGGGTAGGCAGGTAGCAGCACAGGCAGGGTAGGAAGAGGGAGATGAGGCTCATGGCTGCCCAGCGGACAAAGCAAGAACTAGGCCCACAAGAGCAGGGCTCATCAGCACAGTTGTCTTCATCATCAGTGGAGCAGTGGTAGAAGAGGCCCTTGACACAGCAGAGACAAGTGCCATAATCGAGGAGGCTCTCAGCAGAGCAAAGGCAGCGCTGGTTGCACAGCCAGCAGGAGGGGAGAGGGCGAGCTGCTGTGCAGGGGACGCACTTGCAGCGCCCACATTCCTCACAGATGAAGAGGTGCTCACTAGGGTGCCCTGCAGATTGCTCAGCTTCTCCCTTCAGAGCACCATCAGCCTTTGGGTGGACCCCTGCTCCAGGTTGGGTTCGGATGATGGATTGGCCTGAAGGTGAGGGTGTAATGCTGGCCAAGAGCCTTTGATCAGAGGCAGTGGTGCTATGGGACATTGAGCTGGCAATGCTAGATTGGCTCAGATGCTGAGGCAAGGGCTGCAGTTGATGGCACTGGCTGAGACTGCGGGGGAGAGAAGTAGGCATGGTAGCCAGAGACCAATCAGACTTGTGGGTTTGCACAATAAGGGAAGGGCTGGAGAGGGCCTGTTTACAGGGGGCTGGAGGCCGTTCCACGTAGTCATTGCTAGCATGAGTAGAGCGCAGCTGTTCAATAGGCAGAATTTGTTGAAAATCATCTGTCACCGCAGCATCCATTTTGCCTTGATTTTTTAGCTCTGAGTGGTTTTAAGTCAGGGTGGCACTTATGGTGATAAAGAGGAGCCCTTGTAGTTACATGGATTTCAGGGCACATGAGAAAATCCTAGGAGAGAAGGCATAAAAACAGTAAATGAGAACACACAGGCATAAGTACTTTGCAAGAAACCAACAAAGCTCAGGCCCTATCACCACCACTACCTTCAATTACTTTACAGTAATCTTCATGCTACACCTTTATTCTGTAATTAACCTCACTTACTTCTTTATAGGCAAATCTCATCATCCCCTCCAGACTATAAAGAAGTTTGGGAACAAATATCAGATAGTTGATTCTTTTTGTATTCCATCAAATGCCTAGTTTCACAGGAGCAGCTAGCTCATTCAGGTATTTGCTAGCAGAGACATCCAAGCCTTGGGCATCAGAATTCTAATACAAATGGAACCTAATATTAACTGCAAAGGCTATTTTCTGAAGCAATGCTGAAGGAAAAGAGAAAGCCTCAAAAGTCTCCCATGAGAAGTTGCTCATATATATATATATATATATATATATATATATATCCAATCAAAATTATCTTTTCAGTGTGAATTTGTGATAAGCAGAAATAAACAGATAAGAAAGGACATTACTTGATTCAGTGAATACAGGCAAGCAAGGAGAATGCAATAAAGGCAGAGATACAGCAAACACACAGAAGGTAGGAATTAAGCTGTCTGCAGTGTAGTAGGAAAAAAAAAGGCTTCCCAAGAGTATAAGGAAACCAAGACTAATCATCTTGCAGTTCTCTTCACCTTACTGGCTGCTTTAACTTACTAAGGAAGTGATTCTTTTTAAATGGAATGGAGGCTCCAGAATCAAACTTTTGTACACGTGGGAGTAATACTGGGGATCAAGGAACTATAGAAGACAAGTCCTGAATTATTTCAAAAATCATCTGTAATTATACCTATTACTATCCTAAGTCACCTCCATATTGATGAGACTTACCAAGCAGAATCTGCTTGGACTTCTTTTCTCTATCACTACCTTACACAATAAACTGACTTTCTTAAAGGAAAGTGATATTCTTATACCATATTTAAGCTAAGTTGAATGTCTAGAAAGCATATGCTTGCATTTCCATTGTACTACAGTCAGGAAGAGGTGGTTGGTCATTCCCTGAAGGATTTTACCAAGCCTAGAACTGATAATGATGACCATGGGGAAAATACTGTACAAATAGCAGACTGCTGTATTGCACCACCTAGAAGACTGAAGAGTCAAAAAGGTGTACATGAAGAAACCTAAACACAAATCCAGGAAACATCCTGGAGGCATTAGGACGTAGCAAAACACTAGCATGAATAAAGTATATATTTGAGATCCATCAGATTTCAGGCCTTCTCAAAATAGATCAATTACTCACACTACTGTATGTGATGGATAGCTTGAATGAGTAATAGAAATGAACAAGTGAGAGAGGATGGTGCTTGATTACGTTTCCATAAGCAAGCAAACATGACACTGAAATGGGCCCAAAGCTCAATAACAGGAAAAACAAGGATGCAGTTCATAAAGGACTCAGTGGCTAATAATATGACCAGACTCAGTTGACTTTTGAGGCTATATCCTCATGCAAACCTGATAAGCTGAATTTACATCTGCTCATTACTTGAAAAGATTTAATTTGGTTACAAATAACCTTTTTGGCATATCACATCAAAGAACCAGTCTGACAAAAATTTCACTTTTTAACTAGTTGTTTTGGTGTTAAATAAATGCAGCATAAGAGAATGCAAATAAATATTATGGAAACTCTCAGACTCAAATATTTATGTCACTTTTGTCAAATCACTTGCTTTCTTTGGGCCTCAGTTTCACTATCTATGTGAAACTGAAGGATATGTGATGTGAACAAGGTGATCTTGAAGGACCTTGAGCCATTATGGTCTGTATTTCTTTCTATAACTACACAATTTTATAAAATATTTCTTTTCATCCGTATCTTCTACATCTTCAAGTCCTTGAGGGTAAGGTGGGCAATGTGCCCTTACTTATTGGGGCATTCAAAAGCAAAATGTATGTTTCCTTTATTTACTTGCACTCAAAGGCTCATGCAACCTGCCACCTCTACCTTTGCTGTATCTTTATAGATTCATAGTCTCAGCATTGGAAAGGAACTGGCAGCTTTCATGTAGACACCCAAATAAAAAAGGACACATTGTTCATTTGGCTTGGAGGGTATGTAGATGTAGGAACTTGGGACTGGGAGGAGTCTTTTGACAAATTTATGAGAAATAGATTTATGTCCCATTGATCGGCTAAAGAATATGTGGAGCCCTGCAAGTCCTTTGTACTGTAAGAACAATAATATACATGCTGAATGCAGTTTAGACTAATTGATTTCCCAAAGGAAACTAGATTCAAAACATATTGAAAATTCCAGGAAGCAATAATTTAAAGGAAGTTATACAAGGTCTCAAAGTTACAGGAGATAAACAGGTGAGATTCCAAAGACAGGATTCTAGGGATGTCACTAGGAACCTCAGGGACATGCCCAGAAGGTTGAAAGCTAATCTGGGAGGAATCTAGGTCATAATATAAATGACTCAGAAACAATAATGAGAATTATGTTCAAAGGGGATCCTGTCTGGGGAGCAGAAGGGTACATGGTGTTTAGGTTGAAAAGCTGTATTTCAATATTGATTCGATTTCTGCAAGACTGATAAATTGAGATGCTTGGTTGGATGATTAAAAGAAGCTGTGGGCATTATTTCAGTCTGAAATAATGATGCACTGTCTTGCCTACAAGTAAGGGAACTGACAGGATGAACTTAGAAGGTTTCTTCCTGCTCTGTAGAATCTTTTATTCAAATGGACTCTGGGATCTAATGTGGGAGACCTGCAGTAAGTGGACAGTAGGACCTGAATAAAATCAGAGTGTTGAGTAGGATTTAAGGATTGAATGACAATAAATTGTTTGCCATTCTGGACATGCTGAATCTGATCTGGCTAACAGGATGAACTGAAATAGATACTGTACAGGAAGGTAAGAGGGAAAAATATGTTGAGAAAGGAACAGGCAAGACACTGCTGTAGCACATAGGCTAGATGAAAAAGTACCACTACGTGAATGTTTATGATTCAGAAATCCACCCACTAAAGAGCCATTCATTGTGAGCAGCAACAGTTAAGAAACTGTGCAGTTGGCCAATTCCATAGTCTATCAAATGAGAGAGAGAGAGAGAGAGAGAGAGAGAATGTACACATCACATATTATTAAATAAGAGCAAAGGTGATTACAGGTCTTGGCTGCACATTGATGGGATCTAGTGATTTTTGTCACGTAGTGCCTCTGCAGTAATGAATGATGCATTGTAAACCCACTCCCATCACAGTCTCTCTGGCCAGGTGCTCATAGCTTTCTAAACAGTTTTTCTGTAGCCCTGAATTTGCCATGTTCAACCTGAAAAAAATTTCTTTTCTTATGCCAATTTAGGGACTAGAAAGCTAAGCCCATTCAAGAAATGCTAATGTTTGTTAATGAAAGAAAATGTATTTTCTCCCTGGAACCTAAAATCTGCCATGTTGAGAATAAAGTTGAAAACTTTCCTATCTAAAGCCCTTCTATGCTAACACCGCAAGACAGTTCTGATTTCTATGGTAAATCCTTTCCGATACAGTATGACTCAACGTTGATTTCAAAGAAGAGTGGAGTGAGGAAGAGGAGATCCTGGCTCTTGTTTTCTCCCAGTCTCACGGGTTCAATGCTGTTTTGTACCCTACTGTGTAACGGCTCTTAGGTGTGTTGCTTTTTTCTATGCTCTGCTGTTATATACACTCCTACTCAGAATAACTGAAAGCAAACATAGGGGGAATTTCTGCTTTGGCTTTATATGTTTTCTTAGTTCTACTGTTCCAAAGTCTGCTCTCTAAAAATCCCTCTCTGTGCAAAAAGCATTTGCATCTCTATCAAAGCACTCCCCCCTTACAAATACCAAGTTGTATATAGTTTACATTACTAACCTCTCTGCCACTGACTGGGCCTCCCTCCTACCGCATACATCTTGTTGGAGCTGCCAGGTTCTCACCACATTTAACTCTTAACTTGTCACTTTGCTACCCTAGTCCTATTCATTACTTTAATGGTTTCATTAAGACTCATAGCAGTTTATTTCAAACCAGGGAGTCTTGCAGTTTTAAGACCTTGAATGTTAAAAGATATAGGTCTTTTAGTGATGAATGATACAGGGAAAATTTGTAATACCAAATGAATTCACATCTAATCCTGAGGAAAATTGTAAGAAGAAGCTGGTTGTTCATCTAAGAAGTAGGATTTTTTTTTTAAAAACTCAAATCCTTTTATATGACACAAGAAATTTAAGGTCTAGTCCTAATGGTAGCTCTACTTTGCTGCGTGGCTGTAGGCAAATGACCTCCGTTCTGGTCCTCAGTTTCTTCATCTGCAAAATAAAAGGAGGGTTTTTAAAGGCCTTTCTTGTCCAGATGCTCTAAATTTTATGTTGGGTTTGTTGGTTGCATTTCTCTGTTTCAAAAGTCTTTAAGGAAGAATTAGTGTCCTTTCCTTTAGGTTCTTTACTTCCTCACTACTCAACTCCTCAACTCTTAATAAATATCTTCAAATCTAAGTCACTCAGATCACTATCTAGACTGTTTCACAGCTAGAGAGACCTAAAAACAGAACACAAAGAGACAAATATATAGAATGTTATAGTAATGTCTTTGTATATGTTTGTTTAGAGGCAAGGAGAGCAAGACCAATATTTCATTGTGGATAAACGGCTAGCCTGTGCCTTATTTGTATTTATGAATGCAGCCGACTTTTTGGGAACATGATTTAACACCTGGTATATCCAAATTCATGTGATAACACATCATGATACAGTGAGGTTTTAATATTACCAGAAAAGCAACAATAGTTTCCATTTCAAAATAGATTTTCTGCTTAAGAGTTCAAGGTCTGTTTTCTGTTCATCCAACTTGGTTTGCAGCATGCAGAGGTGAAGAATGATAATTATAATTAGCTTCATGGAAGTGAGTGTGCAGTAAACCATTGCCCTAGGTCTTATCAAATGCCTATTGGCTAACTAGACGTGCTCACAGGTTCTCACTTTTGACAGAATCTCCATATGCCACACAGAGACATGTGCACACGTACCCAGGCACGGATACAGAGATTTCTAAATCACTGCTCTGACTCAATGTAAGTGGGGGGTTCTGCCGTGTCAGCTTGCGCCATGTCTACCCAGGGCAAGGTGATGTGATGAAATCTGAACGATGCACAGCCCAGACTTGTGAGCCAATAGCAGAGGCTAGCCCCATGCTGACAGGATGCCCGCTGGGCAGCCAGACTGGCCTTAGCACGGGCTCTCTCTCTGTCCTCAGCTTGGGTGGTTAGGCTGCGTTTTGAGGGGTTTAGGCAAGTACCAAAATGCATTTAAAGGTTAACAGGCTAGAAATTAAATTGACATTCGCCTAGAAAAATATTATTTTGAAGTCCTATTTGGATTTACACATTTCCAATGTGGATAGTTTTCTGCGAGAGCCGATTTATTTAAATATAATTTAAAGGGTTTTCATTTTATTTTATCCATGCGCTTGCGCGCGCGCGCCCAAGCGCGCGGCACACACACGCACACAGAGACAGCACAGGATGGCTGGAATGAATGGCAATCTGTGCATTGCATAGAAAGAATTCTGGGTTTTTAAAGAGCTAATTTCTATGGCTTACCTTGAGGAAATGGTTTATCCATGCTGAGAAAAGCAGAAGAACTAATGCCCCATCTGGCTCAAAGGATCTCTTCTCCTCAGTCTTTAGGTTTCTCCACCTCTCTTCGGAAAGTCTGAATGAAAACTCCTTCACTGGCAGGCAGTGGAGCCAGAAACAGAGATAGTTCTGTCTTGTTCTTTGACACAGCAGAGAAAACACAAAACAAAACAAAACAAAACAAAACAAAACAAAAAAACGGGGGAGGGGGCGAGTCAAACCTGTAGTGGCATATACTTTGTATAGATTTTACAGGCAGATCTAAATCTTGATGGACGTATTTCCCAAAGAAAGCTCAGCAGGGTAAGTTGTTCACCTCCTCCTCTTTCTCCTCCTCCTCCTCTCTCTCCTCCTCCTCCTCTCTCTCCTCCTCCTCCTCTTTCTCCTCCTCCTCTTCTTTCTCCTCCTCCTCCGCCTCTTTCTCCTCCCCCTTCTCCTCCTCCTCCTGTTTCTCTTCCCCCTCCCCCTCCAGTATTTTCCTTCCCCTCCTCTTGCCCTCCCCTTTCCCTCCTCCCCTTCTTCCTCCTTTACCTCCTCCCCCTCCTCTTTCGCCTCCGCCTCCGCCTCCACCTTGGTCTCCCTCTCCTCCAATCTGACAGATGAACCGAAGCAGCAGAAACTGCAGTTGTAGACACAGGGTATCTCAACGGAGCAATAGATACCGCCAGTGTGTGATTATTTATATGGCTCAGGGTGTGTTGGTATATAATCTGCAGTGGGGGCAGGGAGTGAGTTGGCAGTGTGTTCAGCTTAGCTAGCTGGCCGTTTTGTGAATGTAGATGATTTCTGGAGGTCTTGTGAATGGGTTATAGGGGAGGATGGGAAAGAAGGGATTTATTGCTCCTCGTTATAATTTCTTTCTCTCCCCCCTCCCCCCGCGTGTCGTTGGCTTTCCCGGAGCTGTAGCTCTTAATGCTTGGCGAAGTGGCGTCATCCAGATGAAATTGAATCGACCCATTAAAACTCCCCATAGGAATCTCTGTATCCGGTCCCTGGGTAATGACTGAAACAAAATTTAAAGGAACGTGGGGGTGGGGTGGAGAGTAACAATTTTAAGGAGGTCTCATTTAAATATCTTTGCCAATCACATTTCTACCAATCTACTCAGCCTGTGCCGAGTGATTGCAGCTTCAATAAGATGAAGAGAAAGAGCTTCTCCTTTGTTTAAGGGTTCCTCCCACCTCTTCCTCATGTGTTCCCACTTTTTCAGCCCATCCATTGCCACTGGGAAACCATTACCCAACCTACTTTCCCTTTAGCATGGCATGCATTCAACAACAAATATTTATTGAGTACCTTCCTTTGTGCTAGGTGTTGTGGATTCCTGCCTTCATGCAGCCTCCCTGGGACTGAAAATAAAGCAGCCTTGGACATTTTCTCTTAAAGCCAAGGACAAAGCTTTCTGTAAATTACCCTCAGTCCACTATTTAATTCAATAGGAAAGGATCTTTCTTCTGGGCATCCAGACAGAAGAACTTGGATGACAGCAGCTTTATATTTAAAATAAAGGAGATCTGATTTCAAGTCCTATTTCAATGGACAAGTGGCAGGAGCTTGGCCATCAGCATTCTTAGGATGCTTTGGTTACCTCATCTATAAAATTGAGATGGTAAATGGTGACAGTTCAGAGTAAAACAAACTGTGTGAGTCAGGAAACTGAGACTCTTAATCTTATTCTGACTCCTTGTGTGACCTTAGCAATTTTCTTCCCCTCTAGAGTGTCAATTTTTACATTAACATGAGGGGATCTGATTAGGTAATTGCTAACGTCCTTTCTACCTCTGACACTCTGTCATTTACCCTCTCTCAGATGTGTTAAGAAGACAAAAGAAATAATGAGATTTAAAAAAGTACGGCTGTGTGGGTCTGCATGCTCCTGTGTGTATGTATGTGTTTAAGGTGCTCCAAACAGTTGTGATGACATGTATGTAGGTATATGTGTGTGTGCATGCGTGCATGCCTGTGTATGTGCGTGTGTGTAATTTCTAAACAAATCCAGCTCTCTTTTCCCATTTGGAATTTCTAGTCAGGAAATCTCCTGTAAATTCTCTTTTGTGATTCACTGTAGGTTCATCTACACTTATTCAACAAATATTTATTGCACATTAACTATGTGTCAAGCACTGTACTAACTAGATTCAGGTCAAATAGATCAGGGTTCAAATTTTTGCTCCTCAACCTGGGAGCTACCTCCCTTGAGGCAATTCAATTAACCTCTCTGGCATATAGCAAGCACCCCATGAATAGTAGCTATGAATGTTAAGAAATTGTTCTTGCTCTAATGTAACCCATAGGAGAGGCAAGAGATGATTTCAATTTGAAGCCCTTTTATGTTTTAAAGTCTAGCTTTAAAGTTGAATAGCTGGGTTGCCTAATTCCTTTCCCTCCTTTACTCTGTGGGCCTATATTAAGGCAACAATGAAAACAATTGGGATTATTCAGCCTTCTTACCTCTTAGGATGATACCCATGACAAAAAAAGTTAAATTGATGATCATTCATTCATTCAACCATGCCTGCTATGGGCCACTCACTAAAGGCTAGTAATTCAACAGCTAGATTTCCTGCGCTCCTGGAATTGACATTCAAGTGGGCAGGGTGACATGTTTACTCTTTGCCAGGTGCTGTTCTATGAATTTTACATGTTTTAACCTATTTAATTCTCACAACAAACCTATGAGGCATATTAATGAATTATACTGATTTTTAAAATGAGAAACCAAGGTCCAAAGACCTTAAGTAACTTGTCCAAGGTTACACAGTTGGCAGTTTGCAGATCTAGGATTTTAACTCAGGCTGACTCAGGCTGTCTCACTCCAGAGCTTGTACTTTTAACCACTATACCACAGTATCCAACCATCTGCAAATCCCTTCAGGGATTTTTGTTCTAACTTTTAAAAATTATTTGGTAAATGCTATGGTCTGAATATTTGTGTCTCTCCAAAATTCCTGTGTTGAAACCTATCTACCAATATGATAATATTAGGAGGTGGGGCCTTTGGGAGGTGACTAAATAATGTATGTGGAGCCCTCATGAATGGGATTAGTTCTCTTATAAAAGAGGCCCCGAAGACCTGCCTTGGCACTTCCATCATGTGAGGACACAGTGAGAAGGTGCTGTCTATGAGGAAGTCGGACTCCCCCAGACACTGGTAACACCTTAATCTTGGACTTCCCAGCCTTTACAACTGTAAGAAATACATTTCTGTTGTTTATAAGTTATCTAGTCAAAGGTATTTTGTTACAGTAGCCCAATAAGACTAAGATAATATTCCTGAATATCCTATAGGCCTAGCAGTCACTTATTGCAGGAAAAGCCTTGCCTAATCACCTCTCTCTTCAAAAGACCAGTTTAGAACAGATTTGTCCTCTTCTTTGTGCTCCAGAGGCCCCCTTTGTGCTTACCATCATTGCAGAACTTATCACACTTTATTATAATTGTCTGTCTCCCAATTTAGACAGTGATCTCTTTGAGGGCAGATATAATATTTATTATATTTGTCTTCACTGCCACATCCCCAAGGCCTAGCATACTGATCACTAAATTAATACTTATTGAATGAATGGATAACCAATTTTTGGAAATCTACATGAATATCTTTATTTGTTCTTTAAGCTGTTTTGTTTCTAAAAGACAACTCGAAGTTCCGTGATTTTTGATAGGCTATCACTATAGTACAATTATATACAGAAATTTGATGTTGAGACATTACAAAACTCACTATGTATTGCCAGACAACTTCTTTTACAAACTTGTTAGATTGTTGTAGCAGTGCACTTCAGAAAATTTGTTTTCTTAGCTCCTTAGTTAATGGTGTACTCTTCAGAAAACATATTTTGACAGATTCATTGAGTTGTCCAAGATCATACAGCTAGTAAGTGGCAGCATTGGGCCTAGTAGTGAACACAGGTCTCCTGTTTCCCAATCCAATGCCTTCTTTCTCTTTTTAAGGCACCTTGCTGACATTAATTCAATTCCAGTTGAATTTGGATATATTGTCTCAGCACAGATCAACACATCTATTTCTGAAAGCCATTGATTTTCAATAAATAAATAAGTAACCTTGAAGGACACCAGAAAAGTCACCCTGCCTTGGAAATATCTTCTTTACTAAGTCTGTTTTAGAAACCTCTGAGTTATGATTTTGTAATGAATAAAATACACCTTTCCATGCTTTGTAGTAACCGGTTGTTCAGATCATTTCTGATATGACAGTTAACTCAAAAACATATTGAAAGAAGGGAGAGTATATCTAACAGAGCATACTGAAAAAGAGACTAGGGCATGGGTGAAAGTGATGAAGGAGTTACAAATGTTGAAATAAATTAGATAGGTAAGGATTCAAAGAGGAATTGAGATCTGGGCAGAAAATGAATAACCATATATAATTCACATGAAGGAATTCACATGGAAATCTGGATTGGTAGCAATGTGCATGGAGTCTGCAAAGAGTGAAACATTCAAACTGTCTTATGTAAGAGGTATATTGAAGAGAGGATTGGAATATATAGTGCTGGAGAATAACTCGAATGACAGGCAATTTAGACTTAATGCTCTGGGAATTAGAAATAAATTTTAGAACAAAGGAATAAAATATGAAAATAAGCCACATTTAAGAAAGATACACTGGGCATGATATATAGGAGTGGGGAGATACTAGAGTCAGGTCAGCCAAATTGGGGTATTTTGGAGTAATCTAAACAGAAGATGATAAGGGCCTGGTTAGGGAATTGACAGTGAGAATGGGAAGTAAGGATGAGATGTTTTCAGTTGAATATGATACCATTGCATACTGAGAAGTTGGAAGGGGGAGGTCAGTTTAAAGGAATAAATATATGATATTAGAGTTGTAAAGAACTTTGGCTGGGGTATGATTAATCCTGTCACCCAGGTAGTAAGCAGGCTACCCAATTGCCATCTTTATGTCCCTGAGTACCCAATGTTAAGCTCCCACTTATAAGTGAGAACATGAGGGGTTTTTTTTTGTTGTTCCTGTATTATTTCACTTAGGAAAATGGCCTCCAGCTGCATCCATGTTGCAGCGAAGAACATGATTTTGTTCTTTTTTGTGGCTGCATAGTATTCCATGGTGTACCATATTTTCTTTATCCAATCCACTGCTGATGGGCACCCAGGTTGATTGATTCCATGTCTTTGCCATTGTGAATAGTGCTGCAAAGAACATATGAGTGCATGTGTCTTTCTGGTAGAATGATTTATTTTCCTTTGGATATATACCCAATATTAGGATTGCTGGGTTGAATGGTGGTTCTGTTTTAAGTTTTTTTTGAGAAACCTCCAAACTGCTTTCTACAGTGGTTGAACTAATTTATATTTATATTCCCACCAACAGTGTATAAGCATACTCTTTTATCTGCAGCCTTGCCAACATCTGTTGATTTTTGACTTCTTAATAATAGCCATTCGGACTGGTGTGAGACCAACCTCAATTATAAAATTGTATTCAAAACCACAAGCTACCTGCTCATCCTGATTTCTCTTTTATTTGAGATGACATCACAAATGCTTTAGTTACACAAGTTTGAAGCTTTAGCATCTATTTAACCTTTCTCTCTGTTAGCCTCCACTCATAAATGAATCAGGTATTATTGTTTCTGCCTCCAAATAGTCCAAAGACTACATCAAATATTATTTTCTCTACAATATAATTCATTGTCTCATCATCCAGAAATACCTCTGAACTCTCATGACAATGTAGTTATACTTCTCTTACGGTATTTATCACTTTTTAATTTGTACTGTAGTAACTTATGTATATGTCTTATCTTTCCAACTAGAATTAGCTCCTTGAAGATTCATATATGACCCCTTCAAAGTACTGTTTACTGTGATTTTCATAAGATAAACTCTTGTTGAGAAAAACCAGGAAATACCAAGTTAGTGGCAGAGCCAGGAGTAGAATCCAAGTCTCCTGACACTTGGTCTAGTATTCCTTTCACTATACCATAAATAGGGAAGATAATGAGATCTTTGAGTTATTCTTTAGAAGTGTTGAATTTGAGGTAAAGATGAGACATTTTCAAGTAGGAATATTTGGTACAAAGTTAGAGATATGGTACTAGAATTTAAGTGACAAGACAGGAGAGGAACTTGAGGAATTTTAAGGCTTGTTAACACGAAAGAGATCATTGGAGTTTTGAAAATGGATGAAATTGCTGAGGTAGAGGAAAGGGAGAGTGAAAAGGACTGTGTTACCATGTGGAACAGTTAGAGAGCAAAAGGATAAAGAAGAATCATATAGCCAACAAACATATGAAAAAATGCTCCATATCACTAATCAGAAAAATGCAAATCAAAACCACAATGAGATACCATCTCACACCAGTCAGAATGGCTACTATTAAAAAGTAAAAAAAAAAAAAAAATAGGTGCTGGCAAGGCTGCAGAGAAAAGGGAACACTTATGCACTGTTGTTGAGAATGTAAATTAGTTCAACTACTTTGGAAAGCAGTTTGGAGATTTCTCAAAAAGCTTAAAATAGAACTACCATTCGACCCAGCAATCCCACTATTGGGTATATAACCAAAGGAAAATAAATAGTTCTACCAAAAAGACACATGCATGTGCCTGTTCATCACAGTACTATTCACAATAGCAAAGACATGGAATCAACCTAGGTGCCCATCAGTGGTAGACTGGATAAAGAAAATAAGGCACATATACACCATGGAATACTATGCAGCCATGAAAAAGAACAAATTCTGTTTTTTTTGAATCTAAAATGAAATTGAAATTAAAATAAGAAGAATCAGTGAAGAAACAAGAGAAGGAGTAAGCAGATGTTAGAAAGGAATCAGGATACACATTGTCACAGAAGAGCAGAGAGAGTTTCAATAAAGATGGGGTAGTCAAAATGGGCTAATAGTGAAGAGAAATTAGGATAGGTAATTTAAAGTATTCAATGAATTTAGCCCCATAGGGTATTGGTGACTTATTGAAAATGGTTTTGGTGGTGGGGTAAAATGTCAAATCTCAGTATGTTGAGAGGAAACTAAAAAATCATGGCAGAGTTATAAGATTTCAACACAGGATAACCCAGTGGATTTTCAAGTGAAAGGAAGGAGTCAATGGGAAAAAATAAATGAAGAAGGAAGTTTAAAAGCATTCAATATTAGAGACAAATTCCAGGAAAATGTATAAGGATTGACATTTTGGACCAAATCATGGCATGTACTTTAAAGCATGGGTCCCCAGCCCGCAGACCATGGACCGGTAGGGGTCGGCGGCCTGTTAGGAACCAGGCCACACAGCAAGAGGTGAGTGGCCCCTGAGGGAGCATGACTACCTGAGCTCCACCTCCTGTCAAATCAGCAGTGGCATTAGATTTTCATAGGAGCGTGAACCCTATTGTGAGCTGCACAGGAGAGGGGTCTAAGCTGCATGCTCCTTATGAGAATCTAACTAATGCCTGACAATCTGAGGCGGAAAAGTTTCATCTCCAAACCATCCCCTCCTACCACCACCGTGGTGGAAAAATTGTCTTCCACAAAACCGGTCCCTGGTGCCAAAAAGTTTAGGGATCTCTGCTTTAGAGTCAAAGAAAGACACAAACTTTGTCGCTGTTACAGTTTTACCTGGAATTATCTCTGCTGAAAAAGGATCTAAGCACCTGAAACCTGGTTAAGAATCTGCCAACTGAGTCCCCCTAAGTTTAATGTACTTCAAGGTTCAAATAAATAGTAACTATAGAAAACAATTCCAAAGCTAAGCCAATCCTTATGCTAAGGCCTTGGAAGTCAGACCTGGGCTTACAACCAGTTCCATAAATTAGTTTTGTGATACTTGGTTAACTTACTTAAGCCTCTGAGCCTCAGTTTCTTCATTTGTAAAATAGGGACAATAAAGTCTTTGTTGAAAACAGAATGACTTGAGATAATGTAAGTAATAAGTAATATAGGCACTCAACAAATGGTAGGCATTACTATTATTTTCTGAGAGATTACTACTCTATTCCAGTGTGCATCAAAATGGCTCTGCCCTCAAGGGGCTCATTGGCTTGTGGAAAAGTCAAACACATTAAAACCAGTGATTACAATAGATGTAGAACATAATATTCATTATATTTGAAGAAAGCACATAAAGTTTAGGGATACAGATGAGAGATAAAGACAAGAGAAATCAAACTCTATCTGAAGAAGTCAAGGAAGGCTTCCTGGAGGAAGTATTTTTTTCAATTGAGTCATAGAGGATGTACTTAACTGTTGTCAGAGCATGTACTGCACTATATTTAAATGGCTTACTTACTTCTCTGTGTTTCCCAATAGACTTGGGACAGAAGTCCTCTGTGTGTGTTGAATGGAGGAATAAAGGAATTAGTAAATAAATTCACCTGGTAAACATACTTCTATTTTTGCCGTCATCATATGGTAATATAATTTACATGATTCCATGCCTATTTCCTTTACTAAATTAGGAGCTCCTTGATTCATTCAACAATCAGCAAACATATATTGAGGGACAGCTTTGTACCAGGCTCTGGTGATACAGTAATAAATTAAGATACAATAATAAATGAATTTGTTACATGTTATTAATATAGATATATATATAGCGATATGTTATTAGTTAATATATAATTAATAAATGAATCCCTGTTTTCAAGGGGCTCATAATTTAGTAGGAAAGCTAGCCAATAGACAAATGTAACAAAGGGTGACATGTGTTTTGGAAAGGAGCAGAGAGGAAATATACCTAATGCAGTAATTGAGGAGATTATAAAATGCTTACAAGAAAAAGTGATATTTAAATATAAATTTGGCCAGGTGTGATGGTTTATGCCTGTAATCCCAGCATTTTGGGAGGTCGAGGTGGGTGGATCACTTGAGGTCAGGAGTTTGAGACCAGCCTGGCCAACATGGCAAAACCCAGTCTCTACTAAAAATACAAAAATTAGCCGGGCGTGATGGTGGGCGCTTGTAATCCCAGCTACTCGGGAGGCAGAGGTTGCAGTGAGATTGTGCCACTGCACTCCAGCCTGGGCAACAGTGTAAGAGTCAAAAAAAAAAAAAAGAATTAATAAGATCCATTGAGAGCAGAGAAACGGCATGCACAAAGATATAAAGATGTCAAAACAACATGTTTCTAAACCATTCTAAGAGGGTCCCTTACACTCAGCTTGAGCAAATTAGAAGCAGAAATTTTCTCTAGAAGGCTACACATTGCATGACTTATTTATATTCCTAGAATGTACTAAACTTATTTAGGTTTTTACTAAATTGTAGCAAGTGGAAATAGATTAGACATAAAGAACCAACTTTATGTGATAGTCCAATATAGTGTCAAAAGTAATCATTATCAGGAACTTCATCCATAAACCCAATCAATTCTCTCTTATAACTCATTTTGTCATGTTTTGTTTTTATAAAACACATGCTTCCACACAAATTCTGAAAGTCTTTCCTCATTCTCTTTCTCCCAGGACACATCCCAAATCCATTTGAGAGCCTGAAAGTTCCTATAGGAGGCCAGCTCTATCCATATTCTATTGAAGTCAGCAGGAGCTCTTTAGAAGTGCCAGATAAAAAGCTGATCTGTGGACATCCTGATTCAGCAGTGGTGACACCAGCATTGTAAGCAATGCCAAGGGAACATAGATTCTTAACTGAAAAGCCTATGGGGATGGAGATAATTATTTCTTTGCCACAGAAGCTGACAAATAGTTTAGGAGCAATGTTACCAATAATGGAAGTGTGTGAGGGAGGGACAAAGTGGTTCTATGTAGAGAAAACTGGACTTACCTGCTGTGTGGCTTTAGCAAGTCATTCTTCATCTCTAGGCCCTATTTTCCTTATCTGTGACACAGTAAGTTTGAATATAAAACAAACATATATGGAGTACATACTTAAGGTAAGGCAATATACTTGATATGTGAGATACGGAAATGAATGTGACATGGTATGCCATGTAGTAGGTTATCAATACATATTGGTTGAACGAATAAATGAATCGTTTCATCCTCTCATTACTCACAGTCTGCTAAAACAAATGGATAGAAGAACAGAGGGGTTAAATAATGATGGGCTAGCCAAAATGGCCTAATACTGAAGAGAAATACAGTTATATAAACACATAAACTGCAATAGAATCTGTCAATAAGTCAAGTCAGAGATGACTGTGGCCTGAATCATTGTAGGGACTGTGTGGATGAAGAAAAGTTGTTCCATTTACTGAGATGTGGAGGAAATATATACTTGTTTATCCAATCCACTGCTGATGGGCACCCATCTCATGTGACCACTCTGTTGGAATTACTAGTAAATTTGGTGGAGGTGCGTGTTTCTTTTTAGAGTGTGATTCTCAGGCAGGGCTGCACATCAGAATTATATATGGAACTTTATCAAGCTACATACTCCTAAACCTTGCCTCCAGAGATTTTTTGTTCAGAGATCTTGAGTGAGACCCAGAGAAGCTGCATTTTCAAAAAGTCCCAAATGATCCTTGGATGTATCATGCAGAAAGCATGATACATCCATCACCTCCAGACCATTACAAGCATTATTCTCCTTGCCTGGGGTGATGGAAAATACCAAATCTACATCTCTGGCTCAGACCTCTAGCTGAACTCTAGACCCACATATCCAACTACCTATCAGACAGCTGTACTCGTTATCTTCCTTTCTCCATCAAACATGACAAAGGGTGAGGAGAATTGCTATTTTATATATGATGGTTATGGAAAGTCTCCCTCACTAAGTGACATTTGAGGTGAGTCTCAAAGTGAGGGAGCAAGCCATCCAGCTATATGGGGAAGGCTTCTCCCACAGAGAGGAAACAGTAAATGCAAATCCCTGAGGCCAGAATGTACTTGATGTGTTCTAGGAGGAGCAAAGAGATCAGCACGCCTATGCCTAGAGTGGGAAGGGTGAGGGAAGATTAGTAGTAAATGAAACCAGAGAGGTATCAGAGGGTTACATCACGTGGAGTCTTGCAGACCATGTTAAATATTTTGCATTTTACTCAGGGTGAGCTGAGAAGATATTGTAGGGTTTTGTGCAGAGGAATGACAGAATATGACTTGTGATTTTAAAAAGATCTCTCTGGCTGCCCTGTAGAGTATATATTCAGAAGAGGGGTTTATGTTGGAAGCAGGAAAACAATTAGGGAGCTATCGCAACTGTCTAGATGAGAGAGTGGTAATAGTGGAAGTGATGAATTAAAGTTAGAAGTTAGAATTCTAGTTATATTTTGTTCCATCAAAATACCCATTTTCTAGTTTTTTTTTCTCATTCAGTGAAAGGCATCACCTATATTTTCCCAACACAACATATGTTGTTTGTATTTGTGTGTGTATGTATCTAAATGTACCTGTAAGTCTCTGTGTCTTGTAAAGGAGCAGTAGATGGCATTGTACCTATGAACACAATTATATTTATTCCTGTTGGAAAAGGAAAACTTTCTCCTCATTTCCATCCTCCTCCACATGCATTCTGTTTTTGATGGCTCAAATCATGAATTCTCTGTCTTTTCCTAATGTATCCTAACCTGAGCCTATCTGCATGCCCTATGTGAGTTCCCTAAGTCACACAAGCATGACATCTGCATAGAGAACTTACCTCTATGACACCTATCGGATGCTTCAAATATATCTTTATATATGGCCTGTCATACTTCTGACTAGGTCCCTGTGTCTACAGTGGTATGCCAGATGTGTACCATGGATGTGGTGAATATTGCATTAAGCACCTGGCCACATGGTGTTTAGATTCCTGTATTAACTTAGCAGGATACTTCCCTGCTCCACATACACACCAACATATACTTCACTTTTCTCAGCTGTATAAATTATTTTCTCATTAATCAGAAGTTTTAAAACTTAGGAATGGGACAAGGAGACAAAGTGGGGCAAGTCCTTGTGAATGTCAGAAACTCTGAGGTAGCTGATATGACCATTTTCCACTCTCCTCTATAAGGGAGGCCAGCATGCTGCAGGTGACAACAGTGCAGAGGATTGCTTTCAGTTCTGGGAGCAGTTTATTTTCAGAACTGACATCCTACCCAGTACTAAATATAGCCAATCTCTTCCTTTCAAACAAGGGTTTCTTTTCTGTTAAACTTCAATAAAGTTCTTAGCTCTGTATTACAAGGTCTCCCCCAACCATCCTACCTTCATGAACTTTATTCTTGTTATACTTTCTCTCCCCAGCCACCTACTTTCCTCTCCCTGGCCTCTTTGGTTTCTCCTCCTTCTAACTTTCTTCTCCTTTCTATTTGTCTTCTCTGCTTTCTTGGAGTCTTTCACTGTCTCCCTCTGGCACTTTCTTCTTCATGCCCCCAACTTTTAAAAAGGGAATCCCTTAGGAACACTCTCTCCAACAAGCCAAGGAAAAGCAGATGCCCAAAGGCTAAAAATAAGATGCTTTGTTTGCTTATTTTAAAATCTTCCCAGGCTGGAGACAGATCTCCTTATATGCCAACTGGTTGACATGTAATATTAATGACATCCTTGCATTTATTGAGCATTTACAGTGTATTGTTTCAGGTATTTTATATACATAATCTCACAAAAATCCTCTAAGGAAGGTGCCAAAATAACCCACATTTTAGAATAGGGCAACTGAGGCCAAGAGAGGTAAAGGTATGTTTTAGGCAAAACAGCAAATATATAGCATAAATGAGATTTGAACCCAAGCAGTTTAACTCCAGAGCCCATACCCTCAACTCCCATGCCACACTACTTCTCTACATTAGGGTTAATGTCTATTGTATGCCTTCTAAATAAAGAGGGAGTAGTTACAGGGGAAGGAAGACTGAAGATTGGGAAGCATCTAAAATAGCTCTGAGCTGATAAAGAAGATTAACTTTTGCTTTTAATAAAGTAAAATGCGAAGCAATTTAAAGACATTGGGGTAAAAGATTAAACTGGGATGTGTTCACTTTCACTTTTTACTGCAAGTTTTGACTAAGAATTCTGAGATTTAGGCACTAGTAATCTCATTACTCTCCAGTTAGACTTTTTACTTATTTTTTCCACTGCTGTTACCCAACAGCCTACAGGGTGTGTGTGTGTGTGTGCACGCACGTGTGAGTATGCACACAAAATTATTTTTGCAATTATATATATCTATTTGTAACAAACTTCCATAGCAAATTCCCTATTTAAAATACACACACACACACACAAGTTCAGCTACATGGCAATATACAAGATTAATCAATATACAAAAGTAAGTTGTATATCTATACACTAGCAATGAACAACCTGAAAATGCAATTAAGAAAACAACTCCATTTACAATAGCATCTAAAAGAATAAAATAAGAATACATTTAACAAAAAAATACAAGACATACACTGAAAACCACAGAACATTGTTGAAAGAAGTTAAAGCAGACCTATATAAATGGAAAGACACTCCATATTCGTAGATTGAAAGATTTAATATTGTTAAGATAGAAATACTCTCCAAAGTGATCTACAGAAAACATAATCCCTATCAAAGTCCCAGCCAGATTTTTTTGCAAAAATTCATGAATGAACCCTAAAATTCATATGGAAATGCAAGGGGTACAGAATAGTCAAAACAATCTTGAAAAGGAAGAACAAAATAAAAGTATTAAATCTTTCTGACTTCAAAGCTTACTACAATACTACAGTAATCAAGATGGTATAGTACTGGAATAAGGATATACATATAGTCAAATGTAATATAATTGAGAGTCCAGAAATAAAACCTTACGTTTATGATCCATTGATTTTCTACAAGGGAGTCAGCACAATTTAATGGAGAAAGAATAATCTCTTCAACAAATGGTGCTGCAACAACTGAATAGCCACATGCAAAAGAATGAAGTTGGACTCCTACTTCAAATCATATGCTGTACAAAAAATTAACTCAAAATCATAGACATAAATGTATGAGCCAAAACTACAAAACTCTTAGAATAAAACATAGGAGTAAATATTTGTGACCTTGGATTAGGCATAGTATTCCTAGACGCAACAAGAAAAGCACAAGTGACAAAAGAAGAAATAGATAAATTACGTTTCTTCAAAATCAAAACCTTTTTTTCCTGCCAAAAATATAATCAATAATGTGAAAATGCAACCCACAGAATAGGAGAAAATGTTTACCAGTCATATATCTGATAAGGAACTTGTATCCACAATAGATAAAGATCTTCAACTCAACAACTAAAACAAAGAAACAAATGGAAAAATGCGCAAAGGATTTGAATAGACATCTCTTCAAAGACACACAAATGGCCAATATGTGCATGAAAACATGCTCAATAACATCAGTCATTAGGGGAATGCAAAGCAGAAACAAAATTAGATACAACTTAATACCCACTAGAATGGCCAAAATCAAAACAACAGACAATCACACGTGGTAGTGAGGATGTGAAGAAATTGGAAGCCTCATACACTGCTGGTGAGATTGTAAATCTCACAGCACTTTGTGAGTGGTGCAGCCACTTTGGAAGACAGTTTGGAATTTTCTTGAAATGTTAAACATGAAGTTATCATATGATCTAGTAATTCCATTCCTAGATATATAACCAAAAAAGTTGAAAACATGTGTCTATACAAAAACATGTACATGAATGTTCAATAGGATTATTCAGAATAATTGTTGAAAGATTGTTCAGTAGGACAGGCTAAACAAAACGTGACCTATCCATACAATGGAATATTTTCTAGACACAAAAGGACGAAGCACTGATACATCCTACAATATGAATGAACCTTGAAAACATCACAATAAATGAAAGAAGCCAGACACAAAAGGTCATATATTATAATATTCATTTATGTGAATGTCCAGAAAATGCAAATCCACAAAGAAAAGTCAATTTGTGGTTTCAGGGACTGAGGGAAAGGAGAAATTGTGAGTGACTTCTAATGGGTACAGGGTTTCTTTTTGGGTTGATGAAAACATTATGGTATAAGATAGTGGTGATAGTTGTACAACGTTGAGAATATACTAAAAACTATTAAATTGTGCACATTACATGGGTGACTTATTGCATGTGAATTATGTTTCAATAAAGCTGTTTTTTAAAGAATACATTTGGGAGACTGTTTAGTCCTCATGCAAACAGACTCCTGTTATATTTGACTCTTCTCTTTGCCAGAAGTACCTGTCTCTAACTAATAAATATTTAGATTGTTTTCAGACTTTTGGTATTACAAAAATGCTGCAATAAATATCTTTTACATGTATTTTGGATATTTGTGCTAATATATCTATAGCACAAATTTCTAAAGAGAAAATGCTGGGACAAATACATGTTTTGAAATGTTGATTAATATTGCCAAATTGCTCTCCAAAAAGCTTACTGGTAAGGAGTTTAGGAGAATGCTCATTTTCTCACACTCTTGCCAACCAAGTATATTATCAAATTTCTCAACCTTTTTCTATCTGAGAAGTAAAAAATGATATCTTGAGTTTTAAAAAATTTGAGTGAGATTCAATACTTTTAAATATAAATATTGGCTATTTATATGTCTCATTTTGAGAACTGTATTTTCTTGTTCTTTGTCCATTTTTTCTATTTTTTCTTATTATGGATCTGTAAGAACTTAATAGATACATTTAAATATCAATAGTTATATATATATATATCAAGACATTAAACCTATAGCATAAACATTACTTTTTTATCACTTTGCCATTGGTCTTTTTAATTAACTTATAATACTCCATGCTTTGCAAATGTTTTAAATTGTTATGCAGTCAAACTCATCGATCATGTTTTCCATTATGGAATTATAGCATCTAGGTTTTGTGCCTTATCTCCTTGTGCTTTTTTTTTTAGTATTTCTTATCTTTTGATGATTTCATATTTTTTGATAGCTCTTTGATCCATTTGAGTTAATTTTGGTGAAGGGGTGAGTTAGCGATCCAATAGAGCTACCCCATAGGGATATGTAGCTTATGTGCTACACCAAGGTGCCTGGAAGAGGATATTCACTTTGACTTTATAGTTTAAAATTTTTACCAGAATCTGTCTAGACATGTGTCATTCTTCCCATTGTTGCTACTTGAGACTTGGTGGGCTCTTTCAATCTGAACACTTAAGTCCTTTTTCAATTTAAGGAAATTTTAGTCCATTATTTGATTTCTTCATCCCCTCCTTTCCTTTTCCTTTCCTTTATTTTATTTTATTTTATTTTATTTTATTTTATTTTATTTTATTTTATTTTATTTTATTTCCCTTCCCTTGCTTTCCTTTTCTTTCCAACTCTCATTAAACAGATATTGGGATTCTCATAAATATCTATATGTCTCTTACTTTTTTCATACAATTTCCTTTTTTTATATTGCATCCTGGCAGAATCACTATGTCCAATCTTCAACAAAGTAATTCTGTTTTCAGTTGTGTACATACCACTAGTCACCCCTTTAGTAAGGGGAAATATTTTGGCAATTGTATTTTTAATTTTAAAAATCTATATAGTAAACATTTGTCATATTTGTGTCTGACCAACATATCATGTATAGCCTTTCTATATTTGGAAAAAATTCTTACATTATAATATTTACCTCTTAAATGTAGAAGTCACAACTCAAACGTCTGTGTTGAAACTACAATGTAGGAATATGACTTATGTTCTACCAGTAAGATGCCCTGACATGAGACTGATTCAGAATTGAAGCCATGCAGAAGGTAGAACTGTATGGTTTCCATTGTTGGAATAGGTAGTAGCAAAGGGACTTGACTTTGGGGGATGGCAGAGATTGCAGGGTCAAGTTCTTAATAAAGTAGTGGCATCAGTGCTGGCAGCAGTAGCTGCTGCAGTAAAGCCAATTTCTTGGCATCTAATTGTAGGAGCAACAGTTTTTCTTATCAGGGCAGTGCTGTGGCAATGGTCCTGGACATTATTTCTGGAAGCTGAACCTCAAGCTTGGTTTTCCAGCCTTCTTTTAATAAATAGCTATACTACTTACACAATCTCAATTTCAGCATCCCCTTTTCAAGCCATCTTTTCCTGTCTTTTCTGCTCACTCCTTCTAATGCCCCAATTCCAACATTTTCTTGAACCTACTGGGACCTCAAATTCATTGACCCCTATTACTTTTTACTGCCATTCACTCTACACATGTTCTCACTTCTCTTCTTACCTGACTTTAGATTTCATGGTTCATCATTACAATTACACTTCCAAGCATATACCATTAACTTCTTTTCCCTTCTTTCAATTCATCATAGTCACCTCTGAAAAAATCCAAACATGCCTAAATCCAACTTTCCACCTTTTCTGTTTCCATGTTAACTGGTTTGGTATTCATTTAATGTTAGGCTCTTTAAATTCATGACCATTAACCTCAAGTGGACTTTTCGAGCTGCTTGGCAATGCTGTGACATTTTTATAACCCACCAGCCGTCTATTTTATACCATCTGCTCTCTCCTTAAACCTCCAAAATCTAGTACTCCATTCTCACTCTTAACTGATGACATTGTTTTACAAGCTACCCTTGCTGACATTACCAATGATCTCCATATTGCTAAATTCAAAGGTTAATTATCAGTGTTCATCTTACTTAACCTGTTGGTATCATTTACATGGTTGATTATTCTCTCCTTCTTGAAACACTTTCTTTACTTGGCTTTCAGGTAGCCTCTTTATACTTTTCCTATCTCACTATTTATTTCATCTCAATGTCCTCTGGTGATATTTTTAAATTCATTTTTTTAAATGATTTCAACTTTTAGGTTCAGAGGGTATATGTGCAGGTTTGTTACATGAGTATATTGCGTGATGCTGAGGTTTGGGGTACAACTGATCCCGTCACCCAGGTAGTGAGCATAGTACCCAACAGTTAGTTTTTCAACCCTTACACTCTTCCCTTCCCCCCGCACTAGTCTCCAGTGCCTATTGTTGCCATCTTTATGTTCATGTGTACCCAATGTTTAGCTCCCACTTGTAAGTGAGAACATGTGGTATTTGGTTTTCTGTTCCTGCATTAGTTTGCTTGGGATAATGGCTTCTAGCTGCATCCATGTTGCTGCAAAGGACATGATTTCACTCTTTTTTATGACTGTGTAGTATTCTATGGTGTATATGTATTCTGGTGATATTTTAATTCCCAACTGCAAAATACTGAAGTAATGTAAGACTCAATCCTTGGTCCTCTTCTATTGTTTATCTACATTCATTCCTTAGCTGATCTCATGCAGTCTCATGACTTTAAATAACTCTCAAATTAATATCTATAGACTCGATCCCTCCTCTGAACTCCAGAATAATGTATCCCACTGGGTATTCAAAATCTCCAATTGAATATTTAAAACACATCTCCTAGTTAACATGTCCAAAACTTCAGCTCTTCATTCTCCAACAAAAATTAACTGATTCTCCTATAATTTTCTCCATTATAATAAACAGTACCTTAGTTATTCTAGTTCCCCAGGCAAAAATCATAGTGAAAGCCAAAATACAATAGTCTACAAGGTCCTATATAATTTGGCCTATTCTTATTGCCCTCACCTCAATTTCTATCACTCTTTCTCACACAGCCCACTGAAGCCAAACTGGTGTCCTTGCTATTAGTCAAAACCCCCAGATACTTCCACCTCAAATTTTTTTTATTTTGTGTTCCTTTTGCTCAGAATATTTTTCTCTTGCTCTTGATTCACCTCATCACTTCCTTTGATTCCTAGCTCAAATGTTACTTTATCAGAGAGGCCTTCTCTTCCCACTCTATCTATATAATACGTACATGCATACACAGACACACTTACACACACCCCTGTCACTTGCTGTCTCCCTTACTCTGCCATCACTACCTCAATCATATGTTTATTTCCTTATAATCTCTAGCCTCTGACTGGAATATAAGCTCTTTAAGGACAGGGAATGTCTATTTTACTCACTGCTGTATCCCCAGTGCCTAAAAGAATAACCAACACATAGTTACCACTCATTAGGTATTTGTTTACTTTTAGAAAAGCCCAAGTGGATTATATTGCTTATAGCTAAGAACTCTGATTACTTCCTTTTTTGTAAAAGCTTATTTTTATTTTATGGATCCAAGGTATTTAATTATGTATTGGGCATTGTGTGATTGAGTGTGAAAAATCTTTCTCTAAATCCTATTTATCCATATAGTTCACTTCTGTTTTCTCCACATACTATTTCTTTAACCATTAGTTATTGTGTTGGTTGAGTCTGGTGGATCTAATGTTTTTGGTTTTCACTCAATTTGATGATTCTCGGTTGCCTGTTTACATTTACATATGAAGACCTAGATTAGAAAATGTTTTTAGCTGGAATTCATATTTTCTGTACATGTGAAAAATCCTTGTTCCCTTGGCAATTAATGCAGAATCTGATTGCCCTATCTCTTGTTTATTGTACGTGGAAAGAGAGAAAAGCCAGTATTTCCCCTTCATGGTGGATGGTTAGCTTGTCTTCTGATTCCATGTAGCAGTCAGACATTCCATGAGGTATTGCCCTGTTCTTTGGCCCTGATTCCCAATATGATAGCCTTCAGTGTCAGAATTCTTCCTTTAGAAGTCTTCGTCTTGGAGCAAACATCATTTATAGAGGAAGAATTCATGTAACTATTCCTCATTCCTTTAATGAAATATACTATCTATCATCCTATTGTCAAGTCCCTTTCCCTCCTTACTACCTCTGACCTTGGGGTTATTCCAGGTTTCTGCTGACAAAATTACTCTCTTGGAAGTCCTCTCTTTTGCCTGCTTGGTAGAGTCACTCCCTAAACTCTATTCTTGGTAATTACATAACTGTGAGAAAATGCTTTTTGATACCACCTACTTCTGGGCAAACATACTTTTCCCCATATTCATATGATTAGCCAAGATTTCATCATTAAACTACTTTAAACATGGTTTATAAATGGCAATTGTTTTCATCGATACTATCTTTATAGCCAAGTGTTTACTATCTTGTTAAGCAGGGCCACCAATCTTATGTTTAACATACACACATCTCTGGTACTTACCAGCAGCAGGAATAGTTCCTTTCTAGCATGTCACTTGAACCATACTAAAAGAATAGGATGGCAAATGTAATTCTCATCCTTTCTCCCTCTCTGGAACAGTGCTATTCAGCATGTGTTCCACACACCAGTTCCAAAACTGTTTGTTACCAGTCCCTTATGAGATAAGTATAATAAGTATATAAATCGTATAAGTATATAATTATACTGATCAAGTATACAAATGGTAAGTATTTAGACATTTTTAGAGCATTTCACATTGCTGCTTTATCCAAGTGCATCATTTCGTATTTTACAAAAGTCCATGGCCGATTGGAAATTAAAAAAAAAAAGTTCCTTCACCACAAAGAGTTGAGAAGCACTGCTCTAGAGTGTCTCAATAACGTTTTTGGTCAGGTGGCATAGTTTCCCTTCTTGTATTACCTTTGTCTTCCTCAGAGTTGGCCTTTAAGCCAAGGACCTGGCTGCCTTCCAGGCAGTCATTTCCTCATAGTTTAATAGCTATAGCCAGTGAACTGAAAGTGCATTTCCTGCCACCATACTGTAAAATTATTATTAATGTAATAGGAGAATGCACTTCTGGTTTTGGCACTGATATTTGGGATACTGCATAGGGCTGGTAGCTTAAAAGAGTGGGCAATATTTTGGAGTATGGATTAATGGAGATAGAACCACTAGGAATACTTCCTGTTAAAATATGCTATATTTGCCATTTAGAGATAATTTAATAATATGATATTTTAAATGAAAATAGGAAAATCTTTTCTTTTGTGGGGCCATGAAGCTTTGCTCAAAGGAAGTTTTAAGGAGGTGGGTCTTAGCTCATTTTAAGAGCTAAGTACTAATGGAATAGTTTCTAACTACTGATGGAATAGTTTTATCAGGTAAATGCTCAAAGACTGATTTACAAACTATCATTGGTTCTCTAATAATGAATCCTGCAATTAGTTGAAAATTAGATTAAGCTCTAGGGCCCCTTCCAAAGCAGAATTCTATAATTATGTGCTGAAGTAGATTTAGGCATCAAAGGAAGGAAAATTAATTTTGAATCAGCAGTCATTAAGTGTGACGTCCTGTGATTCTCCTTTAATTTAGAGAAAAATTCTGCGATACTTCAGGAAGGATGTAATACTGAGGTCATTTGAGGGCTGAAAGTTTACTTGGAGTCGCATGTGGTCCCAGATCCACAGTTTGGAGCCAAGAGGAGACAATAAAAGATTTAAAGAAAGAGTAAATGGAAATACAGACAGAAATAGAAACATATAGTACCTGGAAACCTTATGTGTGGAGTGAACACTCTCAGTAGCCTTCTTACATAGAAAAGTCCTGACCATTCCATCATTCATCCTTCAACAACTATTTACTGCTTGTAGTCTAGACTAGTTGCAGATTATGCAGGAGTTCATTTATTGGGGTCATGCACAGCTGTCCATTATAGATCAGCCAGGTTAGTCCTTCCAGAATTTGAGTACCCAATGTGCAGTTATTAATGTCCGAGAACTTAAGACTCAAACACAACCAAGGTAAAGGAAAGACTGAAAAGGAACTGGTCACTATTGAAACAATCTTAAGACTTGACATATACATAAACAAAAATGTTTTCTCCCCTTTACACTCATGAATAGAGGGTTAACAGCTATTTAGGTTACTGTTGAAAATTTAAATCTTGGAGAATAGAAAATTTAATTGAGGGCAAGATGATTTTCTAATTGTTTACAAGGTCTTTGTATTGCCTTTTGTTCATTAAAATGAAAAAATTGTATTAACAATATCAGAAAGTTAATATGTTGCTGATGAGGTTCTCCTCTACTGGAATAATTTCTAAAAATCAAAGAAATAGGAAAAAATTAATGTTAAATTAGCTACAGTGTCTGAATCAATTTATTTCTGCAAATTATTTCTGACCAAATGTCTCAGAAACAAATCAATGTAAAAGATTATTAATATTTACTTGCTTACAGGTATAAAAGAAAGTAACATGAAACTTTTTTGAAGAAAAGAGAAGAATTTTCTTATGAGCCAATTCACACTGCTACAAATATTTTGGATCCAAGACCAAAAGCTAGAAATGTAAATAATGATAGCACTGCTGCTGCTGCCCTAGATTGAATTACAAAACAAGCAGCACATTTAGAAATTTATGCTGGAAAAATCCTTTCAAATGTGTCTGAATACAGAGCAGTTACAGTGTTTGTGCAGTCATGCAGTTTGGACTTGAGCCAAGTGTAACGCTCGCTCTTATTCCTGGTCCCACCCTTCTGATGAGGAATCTGAAGGCCAGGTTACAATTCAAGTTCTCTGTAGCTAGCTCAAGCTCCTACCCAGTGTTTCTGAGCTTTTATCACTACTAGGTTTGCTCATGAAAATAACAATATTAATAACTAATGTATATTCGGTGCTTACTATATGCCAAGCATTATGCAAGGTAAATTACATATTTTATCTTAAGCTTCACAATAAACCTATGAGGTAAATACTTTTATGTGCAGATGGGGAATTTGATTCTGTATGAGGTTAAAGAAATTGCTCCAGGTCACATCATTATATCTGTTCCATTATAAATCTATTGAGAAATCAGTAGTCTTTCTGCATGTCAAGGATGATTTTTTGTTTGGAAGACAAGGCCAGGTATCTTAGAACAATAAGGTCTCCCAAGCCTCAACATCTACCTGCTGCTCTCACAGGTGACTTCCCTCAACACAAGATTTTGTCTCTTATATTCTTGCTAGCTGCTTTCAGCCACACCTCTAAGAAGTTGTCAGTAGCTCTCAATAGCTGCACTTCATGATGATCCTTGTACCGGCCCCAGCCTTATGGGCTCCTCAATAGTGATATAATTTAATATTACAACAGGGTCTCTGATGCACCCTTAAATGACAGAAACAATTAAGAATAAATCAAAGCTCTTTACCCTGCTTCAAGGAAAGCATCTATGGAACACCAACTAGCTGACCCCCTCTAGTTGCCTATTTTTAATTTAAACAAAATTTGGGGAAAGAAAGTTGGTCTGGGATAAGTTTCTCAAGCTTGGGGAAAGATAGTTTTCTCTAGAGCAATTCCTGAGACTTGCATAGGATCTCTATTCTCCCTAAGGAACATTTGAATGGTGAGAAAATGAGACTAGGAATTGAAAGATGCTTCTATGTTCCTTAGACATGAGTTCAGATATTATTGGAAGTTAGTAAAGAGGCTTTGCACTCAGTAGCTTAGCATCCTATTCTTCCTCAATTCTAAGTATTCCTAAAATACAATCTGAATCAGACACACACCAGAAAGAACCCCTGAAGCCCAATCCAATGAACTGGGGGAGCATGAAAAATCTAAGCATTACCTGGAAAATCTGCTACAAAACAATCCACAGGTAAAGTGGCCCCAGGTCAAACAAAAGGAGTTTGCTAAGAGTGGTGCAGCAGGTTTCTATTGAAGACTTTGTTTCCTTCCAGTAATGCTTTACACAATGTGAGCAATGGTTGTGCGAGGCTGTGGTTCTGTCTCTCTGACTTTAGTGTCCTGGGTCTGCACTCATGTTGTATTTTTTTCCTTCTGTTTTTGTGACTAATTTTCTCTGTGGGATTAGTATTTTTCTGTACAGCATGACACTGAAAGAAACACTTTAAACTGCGTTTGCCAGGAAAAGTCCCTTCCCGTTTGGAATCCGAAGTGAAACCGACACCACACTTTAAGATTCTAGGATTGTTGCAGGGAAATGTCACCCAACAGCTCCAGGAAGCAGGAGCCCTACTGTTGCTGTTTAACCACTTCTTTCCCACTTTGGTGGCAAGTTGCCTCCTTTTACACAAACTGCCTCAGGAGATCCTAAGGATATCATGGTGTCTGTCTGTCCTTGCAAGAGCATGCATTATGGTAGGACATTGCCTTCATTCTGTTCATTTTTCTCCAAGACTCTTGCTTATTCTCACCATTTGGCTGGACTTTCTACTGTAGGATTACCTCGGAATCCACACAAAACCCACAGAGTTTCAGAACTGCCTTGAATTACATGTTTTCCCAAACATCCACCCAGTTCATAGGTGGCCTCACCTCTGAAGTCTCAGAGTCGCAAGATGCCTTGAGTCTTAGACTGTCTTCCATCTTCTTTCTCCCTTCTGTACCCCCTCCAGCCAAAGTTGCCCAGCCACACTAAATTGCATTCCTTGCAGTGTTGCATGCTTCCTTTGGGCAGCTTGCCTTTTATGAATAGATGAGGAGAAAATTGGGATATGAAAACACATTTATCTCTTAATATAAATATATAAATGGAATTATTTAAAATTGTCCTTTTATGTCTAGCTTCTTAGCATAATGTTTTCAAGGTTCATTCATGTTGATGTATCATGATTTTATTCCTTTTTTGTTTTTCAAGTTATCAACACTTATTTACATATTTGATAAATTTGTTGGAAATTTGAATTGTTTTATGTTCCAGGAGGAGTATATTTGCCTCATTTCAGGAACTATTTGTACATTTGTTTGTTGAGGATTATTTGGTGTTTAAAATTTACCCCCCAAAATATACTGAATTGCACAAAAGGAAAGGTTCTCGATAACTTTCTGGTTTGCTCAAAAACTCTCAGGTCTTTACATTTCTAAGGCATTTTTATATGTATATTTTACCCTCACAGTGTTACTAAGAAAGCAGGTGCTGCCATCCCCATTTCAAACATAAAGAAACTGTGGCCCAGGAAGAACAAGTAACATGCCCAGGTTGTCCACGTATCTCCATGCCTTATCTGGTATTAAGTCCAGGGGCCCTTATTCAGCATCATTTATACCTCTAGTCTAACAGAAGCTCTTGGAGGAGAGACACTTGGCATGACCATGTGCACATCCCCAGAACTAATTCAGAGTACTGCCATGGGGAGCCAATTCCCCTAGATCTCTGACACACTGGTTAGGCTTCTTCCTGGTTCAGTCTTGGGAGGGTGTATGTGTCCAGGGATTTATCCATTTCTTCTAGATTTTCTAGTTTATTTGCACAGAGGTGTTTATAGCATTTTCCGATGGTTGTTTGTATTTCTATGGGGTCAGTGGTGATATCCCCCTTACCATTTCTGATTGTGTCTATTTGATTCTTCTCTCTTTTCTTCTTTATTGGTCTAGCTAGCAGTCTATTTTATTAATTTTTTCAAAAAACCAGCTCCTGGTTTTGTTGATTTTTGAAGGGTTTTTTGTTTCTCTGTCTCCTTCAATTCTACTCTGATGCTGGTTATTTCTTGTCTTCTGCTAGCTTTGGGGTTCTTTTAGTTCTTTTAGTTGTGATGTTAGGTTGTTGATTTGAGATCTTTCTAGCTTTTTGATGTGGGCATTTAATGCTGTGAATATCCCTCTTAACACTGCTTTAGCTGTGTCCCAGGGATTCTGGCACATTGCCTCTTTGTTCTCATTAGTTTCAAAGAACATCTTGATTTCCACCTTAATTTCATTATTCACTCAGAAGTCATTCAGGAGCAGGTTGTTCAATTTCCTTGTGGTTGTGTGATTTTGAGTGAGTTTCTTAATCTTGAGGTCCAATTTGTGCTGTGGTCTGAGAGACTGTTACGATTTCAGCTCTTGTGCATTTGCTGAGGAGTGTTTTACTTACAATTATGTGATCAATTTTAGAGTAAGTGCCATGTGGCATTGAAAGGGATGCACATTCTATTGTTTTTGGGTGAAGAGTTCAGTAGATATCTGTCAGGTCTGCTTGATCCAGAGCAGGGTTCAGGTCCTGTATATCTTTCTTAATTTTCCATCTTAATGATCTGTCTAATATTGACAGTGGAGTGATAAAGTCTCCTAGTATTATTGTGTGGGAGTCTAAGTCTCTTCATAGGTCTCTAAGAACTTGCTTTATGAATCTGGGTGCTTCTGTATTGGGTGCATATATATTTAGAATAGTTAGCTCTTCTTGATGAATTGAACTCTTTACCATTATGTAATGCCCTTTGTCTTTTTTGATCTTTGTTGGTCTAAAATCTATTTTGTCAGACTCTATAATTGTGACCCCTGCTTTTTTCTGCTTTCCATTTGCTTGGTAAATTTTCCTCCATCCCTTTATTTCGTGCCTACATGTGTCTTTGTACATGAGATGGGTCTCTTGAAGATAGCATACTGATGGGTCTTCACTCTTTATCCAGCTTGCCATTCTGTGTCTTTTAATTGGGGCATTTAGCTAATTTACATTTAAGGTTAATATTGTTATGCGTGAATTTGATCCTGTCATCATGATGCTAGCTGGTTATTTTGCAGACTTATTGATATAGTTGCTTCATAGTGTCACTGGTCTCTGTATTTCAGTGTGTTTTAGTAGTGGCTGGCAAAGATTTTTCCTTTCCATATTTAGTGCTTCCTTCAGGAGCTCTTGCAAGGGAGGCCTGGTGGTGATAAATTCCCTCAGCATTTGTTTTTCTGAAAAGGATCTTATTTCTCTTTTGCTTATGAAGCTCAGTTTGGCCAGATGTTCTGGGTTGGAAATTCTTTTTTTAAGAACGTTGAATACTGGCTCCCAATCTCTGGCTTGTAGGGTTTCTGCTGAGAGGCCTGCTGTTAGTCTGATGAGCTTCCCTTTGTAGGTGACCTGGCCTTTCTCTCTGGCTGTCCTTTACATTTTTTCTCTCATTTTGACCTTGGAGAATCTGATGATTATGTGTCTTGGGGTTTGATCTTCTCATGGAGCATCTTACTGGGGTTCTCTGGATTTCCTGAATTTGAATGTTGGCCTGTCTTGCTAGGTTGGGGAATTTCTTCTGGATGATATTGTGAAGTATGTTTTCCAACTTGTTTCTGTTCTCCGCATCTCTTTCAGGTACCCCAATCAGTCATAGGTTCAGTCTTTTTACATAATCCCATAGTTCTTGGAGGTTTTGTTTGTTCCCTTTCATTCTTTTTTCTCTTTTCTTGTCCACCTGTCTTATTTCAGAAAGATAGCCTTCAAGCTCTGAGAGTCTTTCCTTCACTTAGTGTATTCTGCCATTGATACTTGTGATTGCTTTGTGAAGTTCTCCTGTTGTGTTTTTCAGCTCCATCACGTCATTTATGCTCCTCTCTTAACTGGCTATCCTGGTTATCAGCTCCTGTATCATTGTTTTCATGATTCTTAGCTTTTTTGCATTGGGTTAAAACATGCTCCTTTAGCTTAGTGAAGTTCATTATTATCGGGGAAACCCACCCCCAATATTTCAACATAGGTTCTTTCTATTTTCCATAAGTGTCGGCCGGCTGAGAAATAAAGAGAAAGAGTACAAACAGAGGAATTTTACAGCTGGGCCTCCGGGGTGACATCACATATCGGTAGGACCGTGATGCCCACCTGAGCCACAAAACCAGCAGGTTTTTATTAAGGGTTTCAAAAGGGGAGGGGGTGTATGAACAGGGAGTAGGTCACAAAGATCACATGATTCAAGGGGCAAAAAGGAGAACAAAGATCACATGTTTCTGAGGAAACAGGACAAAAGGCAAAACATAACTACTGATAAGGGTCTATGTTCAGCTGTGCACGTATTATTGTCTTGATAAACATCTTAAACAACAGAAAACAGGGTTCGAGAGCAGAGAACCGGTCTGACCTTGAATTCACCAGGGTGGGGTTTTTCCCCACCGTAGTAAGCCTGAGGGTACTGCAGGAGACCAGGGCGTATTTCAGTCCTTATCTCAACCACATAAGACAGACACTCCCAGAGCGGCTGTCTATAGACCTCCACCCAGGAATGCATTCCTTTCCCAGGGTCTTAATTATTAATATTCCTTGCTAGGAAAAGAATTTAGCAATATCTTCCCTACTTGCACGTCCGTTTATAGGCTCTCTGCAAGAAGAAAAATATGGCTCTATTCTGCCTGACCCCGCAGGCAGTCAGACCTTATGGTTGTCTTCCCTTGCTCCCTAAAATTGCTGTTATTCTGTTCTTTTTCAAGGTGCACTGATTTCATATTGTTCAAACACAAATGTTTTACAATCAATTTGTACAGTTAACACAATAGTGGTCCTGAGGTGACATACATCCTCAGCTTATGAAGATAATAGGATTAAGAGATTAAAGCAAGACAGGCGTAAGAAATTATAAAAGTATTAATTTTGGGAACTGATATATGTCCATATTAAAGTGAAATCTTCATAATTTATGTTCCTCTGCTGCAGCTCCAGCTGGTCCCTCTGTTCGGAGTCCCTGACTTCCCACAACACATTATTACTTGCCTTATGAAGCCCACTTCTGTCAATCTAGCCATCTCAGCCTCAGCCCAGTTCTGTGCCCTTGTTGGAAAGGTGGTGTAGTCACTTGGAGGAGAAGAGGCACTCTGGCATTTTGAGTTTTCAGTGTTTTTGCATTGATTCTTTCTCATCTTTGTGGGTTTATCTTCAATCTTTGAGGTTGCTGGCCTTTGAATGGGGGTTTTTGTGGGGTCTTTTTTGTTGTTGTTGCTGTTGCTTCCTGTTTGTTTGTTTCTCTTTTAACAGTCAGGCCACTCTTCCACAGGACTGCTGCAGTTTGCTGGGGGTCCACTCCAGACCCTAGTCACCTTGGTCCCTCCCTCACCTGGATGTAACACCAGTGAAGGCTGCAAAACAGCAAAGATGGCAGCCGGCTCCTTCTTCTGAAAGCTCCATCCCAGTGGTCACCGACCTGATGCTGGTCTGAACACTCCTCTAGGAGGTATCTGGAGACCCCTGTTGGGAGATCTCACCCAGTCAGGAGGAATGGGATCAGGGGCCAGCTTCAAGAAGCAGTCTGGCTGCCCTTTGGCTGAGCAGATGTGCTGCACTAGGGGGAATCCTTCCACCTCGTCCAAACCACCCAGACTCTCCAGAGCCAGCAGGTGAAAATGCTGTCAGCTGAACTGCAGAGACAGTGGTTGCCCCTCCCCCTGGGGGCTCCATCTCAGGGAGAGATCAGAGTTATGTCCATATAACCCTGGTCGGAATTGCTGAAATTCCCACAGGGAGCCCCTCCCCACACATCCCAGTGAGGAGAGATGGGTTGGGATCTCACTTAAAGAAGTAGTCTGGCCATGATCCGGCACAGCAGCAGCTGTGCTTCCTTATGGAGAACTCCTGCTGGTCTGTACCACCTGGACTCTCTGGAGCCAGCAGGCTAGAATGGCTGACTTGAACCATAGAGATGGCATCTGCCCCTCCCCCCAGGAACTCAATCCATCTCAGGCTGTCTCCAGCCTGCTGCCTCTGGCCATCTCCAGCCTGCTGCCTCTGGCCAGCTGGAATTCTAACCCAGTGGGTTGTGACTTGTGAGGTTCCATGGAAGTGGGGCCCACAGAACAATGCCAGTTGGCTCCCTTTATTCAGCCCCCTTCCTAGGGGAATGTACAAATGATATCCCACCTCAACTGGAATTTCCAGGGTGGAGTATGCAAAGCTCCTGTGTCTCTGTGTGTGCCTGATCAGCTACTTTGCTGAGACTCTATACAGCCCTGTGCTTCAGACCCAAGGCCCTGGTGGTGTGGGCTCACAAGGGGATCTCCTGATCTGCAGGTTGCAAAGATCTGTGGGAAAAGCGTGGTTTCCCAGGAAGAATTGCATGATCACTCACCAACTCCCTTGGCTGGGGGTGGGGCTGTCCTGGCTCTGTACCACTTCTGGGTGGGCCATCACCCCACCCTGCTTTCCTTGCTGTCCATGGGTCGAGCCATCTGCCTAGTCAGTCCCAATGTGAGAACCTGGATCCCTCAGTTGAAGGTGCAGAATTCACTCACCATTTTCATTCCTCTCCATGAAAGCCATGGACTGAAGCTGCTTCTAATCGACCATCTTGGCCTGTCCTATTTGTTTTCTTTAGTTCAATGTCTGTTCATGTTTTTGACCACTTTCTAATTGGATTGTTTGATTTTTTTTTTACTGTTGAGTTCCAAGCACACTTTATATATATTGTGGAAACAAATTATCTATTGCAGTTGTGACTTGCAAGCATTTTTTTTTCCCAGTCTGCACCTTGTTTTTTCATCCTCTTAACATCTTTTTCCCAGTGCATTTTTTTCATTTTGATAAAGTCTAATTTAGCAATTGTTTTCTTTTAAAGATTTGTGCTTTTGGTCTCAGGTATAAGAACTCTTTATCCACCTGTAGTTCCCCAAAATTTTATCCTATGTTTACTTCCAAAAATGTTTTACAGTTTACATTTAAATCCATGATCTATTTTGCATGGATTTTTATACAAGGTGTGAGAATTAGGTCCTAATTATTTTTTAAAGGTGAGTGCATTCAAATATACTTGGGTAACTCAAATTTAATTAAAAATAGAAATCAGAGGTGGTAATAATATAAGGTTAAATACACTCTTATATTCCCACATTCCAATTCATACCCCATTTTGAAGGTAGAGAATCTTCCTAAAGTACAATTCATATTGTATCACTCACTTGCTTAAATTCTTTCAACACCTCCTCACTTACCTCAGGATAAATTCTAAACTCCTTACTATGAGCAAAAGGCTTCACATGATTTGGGTCCTCTCCAGTCTTATTTTTGCCACCCTGTTCTCTATCCCCCAGTCACATTCACAATCCAGCCACAGTGAACTTCTTCAGTTTCCTAACTATCACATCCAGGTCTTCAAACATGTTTGGAACATTTTTTATTCATTCTTTATTTGGTTAGCTCCTATTTATCCTTTAGGTCTCACCTTGATCATAACTTCTTCCTAGAAAGCCTTCCCTAACTCCCCATCTGCGTTATATTGCCCTTTCTATGTTCTTACATAGTACTCTGTATGATCCTCATTATGGCATTTTTTACATTGTATTATAGTTGTCTGTTTACTTGTCTGCATCTTACCTCTAGATTATGAGTCTCATAATGACAAGGATTATTTCTATTGTGCTCACCATTGTTTCACAGATAACTAGCACCCTGCCTGAATCATACTGATGTTCAACAAATATTTGCTAGCAAACACATGGAATCAATCTAGATGCCCATCAATGGTGGATTGGATAACCAAAGAACAAAAAAACAACCAGTCTGAAGAGACAAGGTAAGCATCACAGCCACACTTGGATGCAGCAGAAATTTAGGAATTATAAGACCAGAAATTTAAAATAGGTATAACTAATATGTTAAGGGCTGTAATGGAAAAAGTGAACAACATTCAAAAATAGACAGATAATACAAGCAGATAGATGAAAATTCTAAGAAAGAATCAAAAGCAAATAAGCAAATGCTAGAAACAAAAAAACACTATTACATACATAATGTCTTTGATGGGCTCACCAGTAGACTAGACATGGTCCAGGAAAAGATCAGTGAAACTGAAGATATGGCAATATTAGCTTCCCAAGCTGAAAATCGAAGAGAAAAATTAGTGAAAAAATAGAATATTCAAGAACTGTGTGACAACTACAGAAGATGTGATATACATGTAATAGGAATCCCAGAAGAAGAAAGAGAGAAAGAAACAAAATAAATATTTGAAATAATAATGGCTGAGAATATTCCAAAATTATTAACAGATACCAAACCACAGATGCAAAGAAGCTCAGTGAATACCAAGCAGGAGAAATACCAAAATAAACAAACAAAAAACTACACTTAAGCATATCATATTTAAACTACAGGAAAGCAAAGATAAAGAGAAAATCTTGAAGGAAGCCAGAGGGGGAAAACATCTTATCGTTAGAAGAACAAGGGTAAGAATTTCAGAAACTTATCAGATACCATGAAAGCAAGAAGAAAGTGGAACGAAGTATTTAAAGTGTTGAAAGAAAAAAACCCACCAACCTAGAGTTCTATATCCAATTAAACTGTCCTTCAAAGTGAAGGAGAAATAAAGACTTTCTCATACAAACAAAACTTGAGGAAATGTGTCACCAGTAGGCTTGTCTTGTAAAAAAATGTTAAAAGAAGGCCTTCTCCTTCAGGGAGAAGGAAAATGATATAGGTCAGACACATGGATCTGGATTACAAAGGAAGAGTGTTCAAAAATACATAAATGAAGGTAAAATAAAATATTTTATTTTTCTTATGTTTCAGTGGCCTAACAGGTAAAAGTTTGTTCAAAATAATAAGAGCAATGATATGTTGGATATCGCTTATGAATAAGTGAAATATATGACAGAAATGTTTAAGGGATAGGAGAGAGGAACTAGGAATATTTTTTATAAGGTACCTGCACTTTCTGTGAACCAGTATGGTGTTATTTGAAAGTAGATTTAGATTAGTTGTAAATGCATATTGCAAACTCTAGGACAACCACTTAAAATTTTTCAAAGGAAACAAACAATATGCTAAGAGAAAAGAGAACATTGAATCATATAATATGTTCAACTTAAACCAGGAAAGAAAAAAAAAGAGTGGAAGATAGAAAAAGATAAAGAACCGGTGGAAAAAGAGAACAATTATAAAAAGGTACATATTAATCAAACCACATCAATAATGACTTTAAATGTGAATGGTCTAAATACACCAATTAAAACACAGATTATCACAGTGGATAAAAAACAAAGAACCAACTATATGTTGTCTACAAGAAATCCAATTTAAATATAAAGACCCAGATATATTAAAAGTAAAGGGTTAGAGAAATATATGCCATGCTGTCAGCAATCAAAAGAAAGCTTGAATAGCTGTATCAATATCGCATGAAGCAGATTTCAGAGCAAGAAAAATCTTCAGGGATAAAAATGGCCATTACATAATAAAGGGGTCAATTCTCTAAGAAGAAACAACAATCCTTCATGTATCTGTGCCTAAAAACAGCATTAAAATAGATGAGGCCAAAACTGATAGAACTGCAAGAAATAATCCACTTTTATAGTTGGAAATTTCAACATCCTTCTCTCAAAAAGCAACAGATTCAGCAGGCAGAAAATCAGGATATAATTGGACTGAAAGCACTGTTAATTAACTGGACCTGATTGACATAGAATGTCAATTCTATAAATTCTATAAATGTGGAACATTTATCAAGATAAATCACATCTTGGGCTTTAAAACACACCTTAACAAATTAAAAATAATTAAAATCATACAAAGTATTCTCTTAGACCATATTGGAATTAAACTAGTCATTAGTAACAGAAAAATAGGAAGAAAACCTCCAAAACATTTGGAGATTAAAAAACATACATATAAATAACACATTGTTCAAAAATAAAATCTCAGAAAAAGTTAAATTTTTTTTAATTAAATGAAAATAAAAGTATAATTTATCAAAATTTTCAGAATGTAGCAAAAGCAGTGCTTAGAAGGCTATTAATAGCATTTAATGGACATATTAGAAAGAAAGATATAAAATCAATAATATAAACTTTTACCTGAGGAAACTAGAAAAGAAAGGCAAGTTAAGTCCAAATTAAGTAGAAGAAATAAAATAGTAAAATTAGGGCAGCAATCAAAGAAATTGAAAACAAGAAATTAAGAGAGAAAATCAATGAAACCCAAATCTAGTTCTTTGAAAAGATCAATAAAATTAGTAAACCTCTAGCCAGGCTAACCAAGAAAAAAAGAAGATAGAAATTATTAATACAGGCATACCTCATTTTATTGTGCCTTGGATTAATGTGCTTTGCAGAGATTTTGTTTGTTTGTTTGTGTGTGTGTGTTTTTTTTTCAAATTGAAGATTTGTGGACACTCTATACCGTTTTTCTAACAGCATGTACTCACTTCATGTCTCAGTGTCACATTTGGGTAATTCTTACAGTATTTCAAACTTTTTCATTACTATTATATTTGTTATGGTGATCTATAATCAGTTATCTTTGATGTTACTATTACAGATCTATATTCAATTATCTTTGACGTTACCATTACAGTTCTTTCAGGGTGCCACAAACTGCACTCATATATGACAGCAAAGTTAACTGATCAATGTTGTGTGTGTTCTGACTGCTCCACTGACTGGCCATCCCTCATCTCTTTCCTTCTCCTCAGGGCTCCCTATTCCCTAAAATACAACAGTATGGAAATTAGGCCAATTAATAACCTTACAATGGCCTTTACATGTTCAAATGAAAGGAAAAGTTACATGTCTCTCCTTTAAATCAAAAGCTAGAAATGATAAAGCTTAGTAAAAAAGACATGTCGGAAGGCAGGACAGGCTGAAAGCTAGGCTTTTTGTGCCAACCGGCCAAGTTGTGAATGCAAAGAAAAAGTTCCTGAACAAGATTAAAAGTGCTACTCCAGTAAACAAATAAATGATAAGAAAGTGAAACAGCCTTATTGCTTATCCGGAGAACGTTTTCGTGGTCTAGATAGCTGAAACCAGCCACAATATTCCATTAAGCCAAATCCAGAGCAAGGCCTTTACTCTGTTCAATTCTATGAAGCAAGGAAGCTGCAGAAGAAAAGTCTGAAGCTAGCAGAGGCTGGTTCATGAGATTTAAGGAAAGAAGCCATTTCCATAACAAAAGTGCAAGGTGAAGCAGCAAGTGCTGATGGAGAAGCTGCAGAAGATCTAGCTCAGAAAACTGTTAAAGGTGGCTACACTAAGCAATAGAATTTCAATGTTGATGAAACAGTCTTCTGTTGGAAGAATATGCCATCTAGAACTTTCATAGCTAGAGAGAAGTCAATGCCTGACTTCAAAGCTTCTAAGGACAGGCTGACTCTCTTGTTAAGGGCTAATGCAGCTGGTGATATTAAGTTGAAGCCAATGGTCATTTATCATTCTGAAAGTCCTTGGGCCCTTAAAAATTATGCTACATTTACTCTGCCTATGCTCTAGAAATGGAACATCAAAGCCCAGGATGACAGCAAATCTGTTACCAGTATGTTTTTTTTAATTTTTAATTTTTGTGGGTACATAGTAGGTGGGTATGTGTATATATATATATCTTCAGCATATATATGTATATGTATATATATCAGCATGTATATATACATTATACATATATGTATATATATATCAGCATATATATGTGTATATATATACATACCCACCTACTATGTGTATATATAGTGTGTGTGTATATATATATAGGGTATATGGTATATTTTGATGATACAGGCATACAATGTGTAATAAATTACATCAGGGTAAATGAGATATCTATAATCTCAAACATTTATCCTTTGTGTTACAAACAATCCAAACATACTCTTTTAGTTATCTTAAAATGTACAACTAAATTATTATTAAATATAGTCACCCTATTGTACTATCAAATACTGGAATTTATTCATTCTTTTTACTGTTTTGTACCCATTAACCATTCCCCTTCTCTCTCCCCACTACACTTCTAGGCTCTGGTAACCATCATTCTGCTCTCTATCTCCGTTGAGCCCAGTTGTTTTAATTTTTAGCTCCCATGACTAAGTGAAAATAAAAAATGAAAGCGAAGATTGTCCTTCTGTGCCTGGCTTATTTCACTCAACACAATGACCTCCAGTGCCATCCACGTTGTTGCAAATGACAGGATCTCGTATTTTATAAGGCTGAATAGTGCTCAAGAGTGTATATGTGCCACATTTTCTTCATTCATCTGTTGATAAACATTTTGGGTTCCTTCCAAATCTTGACTATTGTGAATAGTGCTGCAATAAACATGGGAGTGTAGATATCTCTTCAATATACTGATTTCTTTTCCTTTGGGTATATACCCAACAGTGGGATTGCTGGATCATATGGTAACTATATTTTTAGTTGTTTTGAGGAACCTCAAACTGATTTCCATAGTGGTTGTATTAATTTATATTCCCACTGACAGTATGAGGTTTCCCTTTTCTCCACATACTTGGCACTATTTCTTATTGCTTGTCTTTTGGATAAAATCAATTTTAACTGGGCTGAGATATCTCATTGTAGTTTTGATTTGCATTTCTCTAATGATCACTGAGGTTAAGCACCTTTTCATATGACTGCCATTTGTATCTCTTCTTTTCAGAAACATCTGTTCAGGTCTTTTGCACATTTTTTCACCCTTTTCCTTTTTAGTAAAAGAAAAGTGCAGCTCACTACCAGCACTCATTTAATTTTACATAAACACACTCTTTGAGGCTGGAGCAAATCTGACTGATTTGCAATGTAAAAATAAAATATAAAAACTGTTTTTGGAGTTTTTTTCTAAACAGAACTAACATCAGAATCATCTGACTCATCAGAATCGTCTATTTTGGAAAACTCAGATTCTTCAAATGAATCTTCGGCCAAAAACTGTACAAGAACAATGTTAACGTGACATCTAGGAAGGCTACGTTTTCTAAGATTTGACATTTTTATCAATTGAGATTTACTATATTTTGTAAACGGAAATACCATTACTAAAAACAGAATGCTATAAATAGAATGATGTGTTTTGTTTCCAAAGTCAATGTACTGGAGCAATGCAAAAATAATACTAATCTTACTTTCACTTCCTTGGTTAATACTTGCAAGCACTGTTGGCAAGTGTTCTTAAGTCCAATGGGAAAAGGGCTAATAAGATTGTTAGATTTTTTCCTATAGAGTTGTTGGAACTCTTTATATATTCTGATTATTAATCTCTTGTCAGATGGGTAGTTTGCAAATATTTTCTCCCATTCTCTGGGTTGTCTTTTCATTTTGTTCATTGTTTCCTTTGCTGTGCAGAAGCTTGTTAACTTGATATGATCCCATTTGTCCACTTTTGCTTTGGTTTCCTGTGCTTGTGGGATATGACTTAAGAAATCTTTGCCCCGTCCAATTTGCTAGAAAGATTCCCCAGTGTTTTCTTGTAGTAGTTTCATAGTTTGAGATATTAGATTTAAGTCTTTAATCAATTTAGATTTTATTTTTGTACATGGCAAGAGATAGAGGTTTAGTTTCATTCTGCATGTAGATATCCAGTTTTCCCAGCATCATTTATTGAAGAGTTTGTCTTTTCCCTAATGTATGTTCTTGGCATCTTTGTCAAAAATGAGCTCACTGTAGATGTATGGATTTGTTTCTGACTTTTCTATTTTGTTCCTTTGGTTTACGTATCTGCTTTTATGCCAGTATCATGCTGTTTTCTTTACTATAGCTCTGTAGTATAATTTGAAATCAGGTAATGTGATCCTCCAGTTTTGTTCTTTTGGCTCAGGATAGCTTTGGCTATTCTGGGTCTTTTGTGGTTCCATATAAATTTTAGAATTGTTTTTTCTGTTTCTGTGAAGAATGTCATTGGTATTTTGATAGGGATTGCTATGAATCTGTAGATTGCTTTGGGTAGTATGGACATTTTTACAATATTGATTCTTCCAATCCATGAACATAGAATATCTTTTCTTTTTTTTGTATGTCCTCTGCAATTTCTTTCATCAATATTTTATAGTTTTCATTGCAGAGATTTTTCACTTCCTTGGCTAAATCTCACGTATTTGATTTTACTTGTAGCTATTGTAAATGGGATTACTCTCTTGATTTCTTTTTCAGATGGTTCACTGTTGGCATATAGTAATGCTACTGATTTTTGTATCTTGATTTTGTATCCTGCAATGTTACTGAATTTGTTTGATCAGTTCCAATAGGTTTCTGGTGGAGTCTTTAGGTTTTTCCAAATATAAGATCATATCATCTGCAAACAAGGATAATTTAACTTCCTCCTTTCCAATTTGGAGGCCCTTTATTTCTTTCTCTTGTCTGATTGCTCTAGCTAGGACTTCTAATGCTACGTTAGTAACAGTGGTGAAAAAAAGCATCCTTGTCATGTTCTGATCCCCATTCAGCATGATACTAGCTGTGGGTCTGTCATATATGGCTTTTATTATATTGAGGTATGTTCCATCTATATATCCAGTTTTTAAAGGGATTTTATAATGAAGCGATGTCAAATTTTATCAAATGCTTTTTCAGCATCTATTGAAATGATCACATGGTTTTTGTCCTCCATTCTGTTGATATGATGTATCATATTGCCCAATCTGCATATGTTGAACCATCATTGCATCCCTGGGATAAATCCCACTTGGTCATGATGAATGATCTTCTCAATGTGTTGTGCAACTCGGTTTGCTAGTATTTTGTTGAGGATTTTTGCATCAATGTTCATCAGGGATGTTGGCCTGTAGTTTTCTTTTCTTGATGTGTCTCTGTCTGGCTTTGGTATCAGAGCAATATGGCTCATAGAATGAGTCTGGAATTATTCCCTTCTCCTTTGTTTCTTGGAATAGTTTGAGTAGGATTGGTATTAGTTCTTTAAATGTTTTTTAGATTTCAACAGTGAAGCCATTGGGTCCCAGGCATTTCTGTGCTGGGAGACTTTGATCCTGTTACTTGCTACTGGTCTGTTCAGGTTAAGATTTCTTCATGGTTCAATCTTAGTAGGTTGTATGTGTCCAGGAATTTATCTATTTATTCTAGATTTTCCAATTTATTGGCACATAGTTGCTCATAGTAGCCACTATTAATCCTTTGAATTTTTGTGGTATTGGTTGTGATATTTCCTTTTTCATCTTATTTTACTTATTTGCATCGTCTATCTTTTTTTTCTTAGTGAGTCTGTCTAAAGTTTTGTGAATTTTGTTTATCTTTTCAAAAACCCAACTTTTTCTTTTTTTGGTATTTTCTATTATTTTCTTCATTTCAATTTCATTTATTTTTGTTCTGATCTTTATTTTCTCTACTAACTTTTGGTTTGTTTTGCTCTTGCTTTTCTAGTTCTGTAAGAGGCATCATTCAGTTATTTATTTGAAGTTTTTATTCTTTTTTAACATAGGCACTTACAGCTATAAACTTCACTCTTAGTAGTGCTTTTGCTGTATCTCATAGGTTTTCATATGTTGTGTTCCCATTATTATTTGTTTCAAGAAATTTTTAAATTTTCTTCTTAATTTCTTCATTGACCCACTGTTCATTCAGGAGCATATTGTTTAATTTCCATGTATTTCTTTAGTTTCCAGAATTCCTTTTGTTATTGATTTCTAGTTTTATTCCATTGTGGTCAGAAAAGATGCTTGATATTATTTCAATTTTTTGAATATTGTAAGCCTTTTTTTGTTACCCCAAAATATAATCTATCTTAGAGAATGATCCACGTGCTAAGGAAAAGAATGTGTATTCTGTAGCTGTTGAATCAAATGTTCTGTAAATATCTATTATATTCATTTAGTTTATAGTGCAGACTAAGTCTGAATTTCTTTGTTGATTTTTTGTTGGATATCTGTCCAATGCTAAAAGTGGGCTGTTGAAGTCTCCAGCTATTATTGTATTTGGGTCTCTCTCTTTAGCTTGAATATTTGCTTTATATGTCTGGGTTCTCCAGTTTTGACTGTGTATATATTTAAAATTGTTATATCCTCTTGCAGAATTGACCCTATTATCATTATATAGTGTCTTTCTTTGTCCCTTCTAATAGCTATTGTCTTGAAATCTAGTTTGTCTGTATATGTATAGCTACTTCTGCTAATTTTTTGGTTTCCATTGGCATGGAATATCCTTTTCCATTCCTTTATTTTTAACCTATGTGTGTGTTTGAAGGTGAAGTGTTTCAGTGGGTCCAGCCCACGGTGGGCGAGTCAAAGCAGGGCAGGGTGTCGCCTCACCTGGGAAGCACAAGGGGTCAGGGGATTTCCCTTTCATAGCCAAGGGAAGCCATGACAGACTGTACCTGGAAAAATGAAACACTCCCGCCCAAATACTGTGCTTTTCCCATGGTCTTAGCAACTGGCAGACCAGGAGATTCTCTCCCATACCTGGCTTGGCAGTTCCCATGCCCACGGAGCCTTGCTCACTGCTAGTGCAGCAGTCTGAGATCAACCTGCAAGGCTGCAGCCTGGAGGGGGAGGGGCGTCCACCATTGCTGAGGCTTGAATAGTTAAACAAAGCGACTGGGAAGTTCGAACTGGGCAGAGCCCACTGTAGCTCAGCAAGGCCTACTGCCTATATAGACTCCACCTCTGTGGGCAGGGCATAGCTGAACAAAAGGCAGCAGAAACTTGTGCAGACTTAAATGTCCCTGTCTGACAACTCTGAAGAGAGCAGTGGTTCTCACAGTATGGCGTTTGAGCTCTGAAACAGACCGCCTCCTCAAGTGGGTCCCTGACACCTGTGTAGCCTAACTAGGAGACACCTCCCAGTAGGGGCTGACAGACACTTCATACAGGCAGGTGCCCCTCTGGGACGAAGCTTCCAGAGGAAGGATCAGGTAGCAAGATCTGCTGTTCTGCAATATTTGCTGTTCTGCAGCCTCCACTGGTGATACCCAGGCAAACAGGTTCTGGAGTGGACCTCCAGCAAACTCCAACAGACCGGCAGCTGAGGGACCTGACTGTCAGAAGGAAAACTAACAAACAGAAAGAAATAACATCAGCATCAACAAAAAGGACATCCACACCAAAACCCCATCCACCAACATCAAAGACCAAAGGTAGATAAAACCACAAAGATGGGGAGAAACCAGAGCAGAAAAGCTGAAAATTCTAAAAATCAGAGTGCCTCTTCTCCTCCAAAGAATTGCAGCTCCTTGCCAGCAACAGAACAAAGCTGGACGGAAAAAGACTTTGACGAGTTGACAGAAGTAGGCTTCAGAAGGTTGGTAATAACAAACTTCTCTGAGCTAAAGAAGCACATTCTAACCCATTTCAAGGAAGCTAAAAACCTTGAAAAAAGATTAGATGAATGGCTAACTAGAATAAACAGAGTAGAGAAGACCTTACATGACCTGATGGAGCTGAAAACCATGGCACGAGAACTTCGTGAGGAATGCACAAACTTCAATAGCTGATTTGATCAAGTGGAAGAAAGGATATCAGTGATTAGAGATAAAATTAATGAAATAAAGTGAGAAGACAAGATTAGAGAAAATAAAAAGAAATGAACAAAGCCTCCAAGAAACATGGGACTATGTGAAAAGACCAAATCTACATCTGATAGGTGTACCTGAAAGTGACGGGGAGAATGGAACCAAGTTGGAAAACACTCTGCAGGATATCATCCAGGAGAACTTCCCCAACCTAGGAAGGCAGGCCAACATTCAAATTCAGGAAATACAGAGAACACCACAAAGATACTCCTCGAGAAGTGCAACCCCAAGACACATAATTGTCAGATTTACCAAGGTTGAAATGAAAGAAAAAATGTTAAGGGCAGCCAGAGAGAAAGGTTGGGTTACCCACAAAAGGAAGCCCATCAGACTAACAGCGGATCTCTTGGCAGAAACCCTACAAGCCAGAAGGGAGTAGGGGCCAGTATTCAACATTCTTAAAGAAAATAATTTTCAACCCAGAGTTTCTTATCCAGCCAAACTAAGCTTTATAAGTGAAGGAGAAATAAACTCCTTTAGAGACAAGCAAATGCCGAGAGATTTGTCACCACCAGGCCTGAAGGAAGCACTAAACATGGAAAGGAACAACCAGTACCAGCCCCTGCAAAAACATGCCAAATTGTAAAGACCATTGATGCTATGAAGAAACTGCATCAACTAATGGGCAAAATAACCAGCTAACATCATAATGACAGGATCAAATTCACACATAACAATATTAACCTTAAATGTAAATGGGCTAAATGCCCCAATTAAACAACACAGACTGGCAAATTGGATAAAGAGTCAAGACCCATCAGTGTGCTGTATTCACGAGACCCATATCATGTGCAGAGACACACATAGGCTCAAAGTAAAGGGATGGAGGAAGATCTACTAAGCAAATGGAAAGCAAAAGAAAAGCAGGAGTTGCAATCCTAGTCTCTCATAAAATTGACTTTAAACCAACACAGATCAAAAGAGAAAAAGAAGGCCATTACATAATGGTAAAGGGATAAATTCAACAAGAAGAGCTGACTATCCTAAATATATATGCACCCATTACAGGAGCACCCAGACTCATAAAGCAAGTCCTTAGAGATCTACAAAGAGACTTAGACTCCCACACAATAATAATGGGAGACTTTAACACCCCACTGTCAATATTAGACAGATAAACGAGAAAGAAGGTTAACAAGGATATCCAGGACTTGAACTCAGCTCTGCACCAAGTAGATGTAATAGACATCTACAGAACTCTGCACCCCAAATCAACAGAATATACATTCTTCTCAGCACCACATCGCAGTTATTCTAAAATTGACAACATAATCGGTAGTAAAGCACTCCTCAGCAAATGAAAAAGAACAGAAATCACAATAAACTGTTTCTCAGACCACAGTGCAATCAAATTAAAACTCAGGATTAATAAACTCACTCAAAACTGCACAACAACATGGAAACTGAACAACCAGCTCCTGAATGACTACTGTGTACATAATGAAATGAAGGGAGAAATAAAGATGTTCTTTGAAATCAATGAGATCAAAGACACAACATACCAGAATCTCTGGGACACATTTAAAGCAGTGTGTAGAGGGAAATTTATAGCACTAAATGCCCACAAAAGAAAGCAGAAAAGATCTAAAATTGACATCCTAACATCACAATTAAAAGAACTAGAGAAGCAAGAGCAAACAAATTCAAATGCTAGCAGAAGGCAAGAAATAACTAAGACCAGAGCAGAACTGAAGGAGATAGAGAAACAAAAAACCCTTCAAAAAATCAATGAATCCAGGAGCTGCTTTTTTGGAAAGATCAACAAAATCAACAGACCGCTAGCAAGACTAATAAGAAGAAAAGAGAGAAGAATCAAATAGATGCAATAAAAAATGATAAAGGGGATATCACCACCCATCCCACAGAAATACAAACTACCATCAGAGAATACTATAAACACCTCTACACAAATAATCTATTAAATCTAGAAGAAATAGATAAATTCCTTGACACATACACCCTCCCAAGACTAAATCAGGAAGAAGTTGAATCTCTGAATAGGCCAATAACAGGCTCTGAAATTGAAGCAATAATTAATAGCCCACCAACCAAAAAAACGTCCAGGACCAGACGGATTCACAGCCGAATTCTACCAGAGGTACAAAGAGGAGCTGGTACCATTCCTTCTGAAACTATTCCAATTAATAGAAAAAGAGGGAATCCTCCCTAACTTATTTTATGAGGTCAGCATCATCCTGATACCAAAGCCTGGCAGAGGCACAACAAAAAAGAGAATTTTAGACCAATATCCCTGATGAACTTCGATGCAAAAATCCTCAATAAAATACTGGCAAACTGAATCTAGCAGCACATCAAAAAGCTTATCCACCATGATCAAGTTGGCTTTATCCCTGGGATGCAAGGCTAGTTCAACATACACAAATCAATAAATGTAATCCATCACGTAAATGGAACCAATGACAAAAACTACATGATTATCTCAATAGATGCAGAAAAGTCCTTCGACAAAATTCAACAGCCCTTCATGCTAAAAACTCTCAATAAACTAGGTATTGATGGAATGTATCTCAAAATAATAAGAGCTGTTTATGACAAACCCATAGCCAATATCATACTGAATGGGCAAAAACTGGAAGCATTGCCTTTGAAAACCGGCACAAGACAAGGACGCCCTCTCTCACCACTCCTACTCAACATAGTGTTGGAAGTTCTGGCCAGGGCAATCAGGCAAGAGAAAGAAATAAATGGTATTCAATTAGAAAAAGAGGAAGTCAAATTGTCCCTGTTTGCAGATGACATGATTGCATATTTAGAAAACCCCATTGTCTCAGCCCAAAATCTCCTTAAGCTGATAAGCAACTTCGGCAAAGTCTCAGGATACAAAATCAATGTGCAAAAATCAATGTGCAAAAATCACAAGCATTCTTATACACCAATAACAGACAAACAGAGAGCCAAATCATGAGGGAACTCCCATTCACAATTGCTTCAAAGAGAATAAAATCCAACTAGGAATTTCGGAATCCTAGGAATCCAACTTACAAGGGATGTGAAGGACCTCTTCAAGGAGAACTACAAACCACTGCTCAACGAAATAAAAGAGGACACAAACAAATGGAAAAACATTCCATGCTCATGGGTAGGAAGAATGAATATCATGAAAATAGCCATACTGCCCAAGGTAATTTATAGATTCAATGCCATCCCCATCGAGCTACCAATGACTTTCTTCACAGAATTGGAAAAAAATACTTTAAAGTTCATATGGAACCAAAAAGGAGCCCGCATAGCCAAGCCAATCCTAAGCCAAAAGAACAAAGCTGGAGGCATCACGCTACCTGATTTCAAACTGTACTGCAAGACTGCAGTAACCAAAACAGCATGGTACTGGTACCAAAACAGAGGTATAGACCAATGGAACAGAACAGAGGCCTCAGAAATAAAACCACACATCTACAACCATCTGATCTTTGACAAACCTGACAAAAACAAGAAATGGGGAAAGGAATCCCTATCTAATAAATGGTGTTGGGAAAACTGGCTAGCCATATGGAGAAAGCTGAAACTGGATCCCTTCCTTACACCTTACACAAAAATTAATTCAAGATGGATTAAAGACTTAAATGTTAGACCTAAAACCATTAAAAACCCTGGAAGAAAACCTAGGCAATACCATTCAGGACATAGGCATGTGCAAGGACTTCATAACCAAAACATCAAAAGCAATGGCAACAAAAGCCAAAATAGACAAATGGGATCTAATTAAACTAAAGAGCTTCTGCACAGCAAAAGAAACTACTATTAGAGTGAACAGGCAACCTAGAGAATGGGAGAAAATTTTTACCATCTACCCATCTGACAAAGGGCTAATATCCAGAATCTACAAGGAACTTAAACAAATTTACAAGAAAAAAACAAACAACAACATCAAAAAGTGGGCAAAGGATATGAACAGATACTTCTCAAAAGAAGACATTTATGCAGCCAACAGACACATGAAAAAATGCTCATCATCACTGGTCATCAGAGAAATGCAAATCAAAACCACAATGAGATACCATCTCACGCCAGTTAGAATGGCGAACAGTAAAAAATCAGGAAACAAAAGATGCTGGAGAGGATGTGGAGAAATAGGAATGCTTTTATACTGTTGGTGGGAGTGTAAATTAGTTCAACCATTGTGGAAGACAGTGTGGCGATTCCTCAGGGATCTAGAACTAGAAATACCATTTGACCCAGCCATCCCATTACTGGGTATATACCTAAAGGATTATAAATCATACTGCTATAAAGACACATGCACATGTATGTTTATTGCGGAACTATTCACAATAGCAAAGACTTGGAACCAACCCAAATGTCCATCAATGATAGACTGGATTAAGAAAATGTGGCACATATACACCATGGAATACTATGCAGCCATAAAAAAGGATGAGTTCATGTCCTTTTCAGGGACGTGGATGAAGCTGGAAACCATCATTCTGAGCAAAGTATCACAAGGATAGAAAACCAAACACTGCATGTTCTCACTCATAGGTGGGAACTGAACAATGAGAACACTTGGACACAGGGCGGGGAGCATCACACACCGGGGCCTGTCAGGGGGTGGGGGGCTGGGGGAAGGATAGCATTAGGAGAAATACCTAATGTAAATGATGAGTTGATGGTTGCACCAAACCAACATGGCACATGTATACCTATATAACAAACCTCACGTTGTGCACATGTACCCTAGAACTTATATATATATATATGGTGAAGTGTTTCTCTTGTAGCCAATAGATCAAAGGATATTACTTTTTTTATCCATTCAGCCAGTCTATGTCTTTTGATTGGAGAGTTTAGTCCATTTATTTTCAATGTTATGTTTGATAAGTAAGGACTTACTCCTGTCATTTTGTTATTTGTTTTCTGGTTGTTTTGTGATGTTCTCATCCTTCTTTCCTTCGTGTGTTCTTTCATGTGAAGGTTAATTTTCTCGGTTAATATGATTTAATTTCTTGCTTTAATTAATTAATTTATTTTTGAGATAGAGTCTCATTCTGTCACCCAGGCTGGAGTGCAGAGGCATGATCTTGGCTCACTGCAACCTCCACCTCCTGGGTTCAAGTGATTCTCCTGCCTCAGCCTCCTGAGTAGCTGGGACCACAGGCATGTGCCACCACACCCAGTTAAGTTTTCTATTTTTAGTAGAGATGGGGTTTCACCCTGTGGCCAGGCTGGTTTCGAACCCCTGACCTCAAGTGATCCGCCGCTTCAACCTCCCAAAGTGCTGAGATTACAGGCGTGAGCCACTGTGCCTGGCCATGCTTTTATTTTTAGTGTATTTTTTTATGTCTTTTGATTTCAGGTTACCATGAGACTTGTAAATACTAGCTTATAACCCATTATTTTAAGCTGATAACAACTAAACACTATTGTATAAATGAACATACAAGCAAAGAGAAAACTAATAAAAACTCTATACCTTAACTTTGTTCCCGTGCTTTTTAATTTTTTTTGTTCCTATTTATATCTTATTGTACTGTCTATGTCTTGAAGAGTTGTTGTAGTTATTGTTTTTGATTGGTCCATCATTTATTCTTTCTACTTAGGACAAGGGTAGTTTACACACCACAGTTACAGTGTTATAATATTCTGTGTTTTTCTGTGTACCTACTACTGCTAGTGAGTTTTGTACCTTCAGGTGATTACTTATTGCTCGTTAACATCCTTCTCTTTATGATTGAATTACCCTGTTTAGCATTTCTTCTAGGACAGGTCTGGTGTTGATGAAGTTCCTCAGTTTTTGTTTGTCTTGGAAAGCCTTTATTTCTCCTTCATGTTCGAAGGATAATTTTTGCCAGATACACTATTCTAGGATAAAGTTTTTTTTTTTCCTTCAGCTCTTTAAATATATCATGCCACTCTCTCCTAACCTGTAAGCTTTCCACTGAAAAGTCTGCTGCCAGGTTATTGGAGCTCCATAGTATGTTATTCGTTTATTTTCTCTTGCTACTTTTAGGATCCTTTCTTTATCCTTGACCTTTGGGAGTTTGATTATTAAATGCATTGAGGTAGTCTTCTTTGGGTTAAATCTTCTGGGTATTTTATAACTTTCTTGTACTTGGATATTGATATCTTTCTCTAGGTTTGGGAGGTTCTCTGTTACTATCCCTTTGAATAAACTTTCTACCCTCCCCTACCCCTGTACCTCCTCTTTAAGATCAATAACTCTTAGATTTGCCTTTTTCAGGCTATTTTCTAGATCCTGTAAGTATGCTTCATTGTTTTTATTCTTTTTTTATTTTGGTTTCTCTGACTGTGCATTTTCAAATAGCCTGTCTTCAAGCTCACTACTAATTCTTTCTTCTGCCTGATCAATTCTGTTATGGAAAGACTCTGGTACATTCTTCAGTATGCCTACTGCATTTTTCAGCTCCAGAATTTCTTCTTGATTCTTTAAAATTATTTCAATATCTGTGTTAAGTTTATCTGATATAATTCTGAATTCCTTCTCTGTGTTATCTCATATTTATTTGAGAGTCCTCAAAACAGCAATTTTGAATTATCTGTCTGAAAAGTCAGATATCTCTGTTTCTCCAGGATTGGTCCCTAGTGCCTTATTTAGCTCATTTAGTGAGGCCATGTTTTCCTGGATTGTTTTGATACTTGTAGATGTTTGTCTGTGTCTGGGCATTGAAGAGTTGGGTACTTATTGTAGTCTTCACAATCTGAGCTTCTTTATACCCAACCTTTTTGGGAAGGCTTTCCAGATATTGGTAAGACTTGGGGGTTGTGATCTAAGCTGTATCCACTTTAGGGGGCAGCAGTAACACTGTGGTTCTTGCAGACTTTTAGATATACTGCCTTGATGGTCTTGGACAAGATCTGGAAGAATTCTCTAGATTACTAGGCAGAAACTCCTGTTCTCCCTTACTTTCTCAAATAGAGTCTCTCTCTCTCTGTGTTCTGAGCCACCTGAAGCTGGGGGTGGCATGACACAAGCACCCCTGTGGTCACCACCACTGTGACTGCACTGGGTCAGACCTGAAGCCAGTACAGCACGGGGTCTTGACCAAGGCCTGCTATAACTACTACCTGGCTAATGCCTATGCTTGCTCAAGACCATGGGTCTCTACAATCAGCAGGTGGCAAAACCAGACAGGCCTGTGTCCTTCCCTTCAAGGTAGGATGAGATCCCCCAGGCCCCAGGGAGGCCCAGAGATGCTGTCTGGCAGCCAGGGACTAGATTCAAAAACCTTGGAAGTCTAATGGTGTTCTATTGTACTGCGACTGAGCTGTACACAGTCAACTAGACACGGTCCTTCCCACTCTTCCCTCCCGTTTCCAAATTCAAAGGAGCCCCACCCTGTGGCCAACACGATCACAGGCCCATGAGGAGTATTGTCAGACTACTGTCAATGTTCACTTAGAGCCCAAGGGCTCTTCTGTCAGCTTGTAGTAAATGCTGCCTGGTCTGGGACTTACCCTGCAGGGCAATGGGCTCCCCTCTGACCCAGGGCAGGTCCAGAAATGCCATCAAAGAGCCAAGTCCTGGAACTGGGGACTCCAAGAGCCCATTTGGTGCTTCACCCCCTTGTGGCTGAGCTGGTACCTCCGGAGCAAGGGAAACTCCCCTTTACTTTTCCCTCTGCTCTTCTCAAGCAGAAGGAGTTGCCCCATAGCCACCACAGCCGGGAATGTCTTGAGTCTCACCTGAAGCCAAATCCTTCAGTGTAGTACCTGGGGATTACTGCTGATTATTCAGGGCTCTTTAATTAGCAGGTGATGAATGCTGCCAGGACTGGGTCCTTCCCTTGAAGGCAGTGACCTTCCTTCTGGCCCAGGGTGTGTCTAGTATTGTCGTCTGGGAGCTAGGCCCTGAAAAGGGGTCTTGTGACTCTGACCAATGCCCTATCCTGCTGTGGCTGAGCTGATATCCAAGATGCAAGACAAAGTCCTCCCCACTATTTCCTATCCTTTCCTTAGGTGGAAGGAAGGGGTCTCTTTTGGAGCTGTCAACTGTGCAGCCAGGGGTTAGGGGTTAGGGGAGGGGTGATACCAGCACTCCCTTAGCTGCCTCAGCTGGTGTCTCAGTAGGTCACACGCTCCCCAGTCCATTGTCTCTAGGCCCAGTTCAGCACTAGGACTCGCCTAGAGGTTGCTGTCCTTGTGGCCTAGACTGTCTTTCAAGTTTATTTAGAGCCCCAGAGCACTATAGCCCACTGTAGCAAGGCTTGCACAACTCATGTTTAGACCATTAGGGCTGGTGATTTCCCTCTGGCCAGGGCTGGTTTAAATGCTCCCTCCATGGGCGGGCATCAGCTGAGTTTGATTTGGTTTGTTTTCTGCTATAACAGGACAGCACGAAACTCAATGCCTCACAATTACTGGGCTCTCCCTCCCCCAGTGCACAAAAATGCTCTCTGCAGCATGCTGCAGCTATTAATAGCTGCCAGGGCACATTGTGGGGGTGGTGGCATCAGTGATTCAAGACTGTTTTTTCTACCTCTTCAGTGCCTCTTTCAGCTAAACCAGGTACTGTGAGTACTCACTTGATTTTTGGTTCTTATGAAGGTGCTTTTTCTGTGTAGATAGTTTTTAAATTGGTGTCCTTGTGGGGTGAATGATTGGTGGAGACTTTTATTTCATCATCTTGCTCCTAGAAATCCTCATTGCTTATTTTATAACTTACCTATCATGTTTCATTTTTATATCTGTCAATATTTTCCTATATGGTTTCCAGATTTTGCGTTTGGCTTCAGAAAGCCTTTCCTATCTCAATTTATTTTTTAAATGATCTTATACTTTACATTTAAATATTTAATACATCAGAGTGTGTTTGTTTCTCTTTGGTATCTTTATAAAATTTCTAAATAAATAGCCAATTGTTCAAACACTTTTATCCATTGATTTGAAATGTCATATTTATTAATATGATTATATTTGTATCTGTGGTGTGTCTTTATTTTGTATTCGAAATGCCCGGTTAATTGTTCAAACACCCTTTTGTCTCATTGATTTTATATGCCATATTTATTGCATATTAAATTCCCACAGGCATACAGGTATGTTTCTAGAAACTATTTTATTTGATTAATTTGTTTATGTCTGTGTCAGGCTCATATGTTTTCTGCTATTGTAGTTTTATAATTTTTAAAGTTTTATTTTATTTATAATTAACACAAAAATTATACATAGTTATGGGGCACAGTGCTATCTGGGAGGGTGGTATTTTTCTGAACACAATCTTTTTTTGTCAAGATTTTTCTTGGATATTCTTACACATTTATACTCCCAAATGAATTTTTATCAAATCGTATTTAAAAACTTTTTAGATCATAAGACTTTCAGTTGTGGCAGAGTGAAGCCTTCAGCAAATCCTCTCCTGACAAAACAAGTATTAACTGGACATTACAGGGCTCTGGAAATTGAAAAAAGGAAAACAAAAAATAGAGAAGCAATTATTTATGAAAATCTGCTATAAATTCCAGTAAAAACAGTGGGAGTCTGCAGCTTTCTTGCTTGAGGCCACTCCCATTCAGCTCAATCAGCATGGTAGTTTTACTATGATATTCTGGCTGGGAAAACCAAAGTTTCACTGACAGAAGATGCTGGCTTGACTTGGAGCATAGGGCAGGACCTACACTCAGCAGTTTGCCAATAAAATCATTCTACTATAAAGACACATGCACACATATGTTTATTGAAGCACTATTTACAATAGCAAAGACTTGGAACCGACCCAAATGCCCATCAATGATAGACTGGATAAAGAAAATGTGGCACTTATAACCATGGAATACCCTGCAGCCATAAAAAAGGATGAGTTCATATCCTTTCCAGGGACATGGATGAAGCTGGAAGCCGTCATTCTCAGTAAACTGACACAGGAACAGAAAACCAAACACCACATGTTCTCACTCAAAAGTGGGAGTTGAACAATGAGAACATGTGGACACAGGGAGGGGAAGATCACACACCGGGGCCTGTCAGGGGGTGGGGGGCAAGAGGAGGGAGAGCATTAGGACAAATACCTAATGCATGTGGGGCTTAAAACCTAGATGACAGGTTGATGGGTGCAGCAAACCACCATGGCATGTGTATACCTATGTAACAAACCTGCATGTTCTGCACGTGTATCCCAGAACTTAAAGTATTTTTAAAAAGGTAGTAAACAAGAGGGATGACCTACAGCTTAGCTAGCCTGATGTTGTAGTCCTTGTTGAGGTGAGTAGCAAGTAAACTAGAAATGTAATGGGAATATTCTTATAATGTGAGAGCTATAGACGGGCTACTTAAGCTCTCCATACATCCTTGGCTGATTGGGAAGATAACAAGCATAGACAGGGTAAATCTGAGAAGGCCCAGCAAAAAAATAAAAGTTGATGATATCTTTTTTTTTTTTTTGACAGTCTCACTCTGTCACCCAGGCTGGAGTGCAGTGGTGTGATCTCGGCTCACTGCAACCTCTGCTTCCCGGGTTCAAGCAATTATCCTGCCTCAGCCTCCCGAGTAGCTGGGAATACAGGCGCATGCTGCCACGCCCAGCTATATATATATATATATATATATATATATATTTTGTATTTTAGTGGAAACAGGGTTTCACCGTGTTGCCCAGGCTGGTCTTGAACTTCTGAGCTCAGGCAATCCGCCCGCCTCAGCCTCCCAAAGTGCTGGGATTATAGGTGTGAGCCACCATGCCTGGCCAATGATATCTTAAAAACGTACATTGAAAGAGAGTGGAAGACTTATGGACTACAGTTATTTGAACACATATTTTGTCGAATCATTTGCTGACCACTGAGCTGTGCAATCACAGGGGCAATTCATAGAAAACCAGGATTAAAAAAAAGTTATGATTAAAAAAATGAACAGAGACATCAGTGGGTACACAGCACGGGGAAGACAGATTCTGCAGATTAAGGCCAGGCAAATTATTAAAATACAAAAAGAAAAACAAAAAAGTAAAAAGAAAACATAACATTGAGGGAAAGAGCCAGAATTAAGTTGATGAAATATATTACCTAAAAAAGTTAGGTTTCAAGAAAAATTAAGAGATGTGTGGGAAAACAGCAAAATGAAGCCCATAATCAGGAGTTAAAGCAGAAACTGTATGTTGGATTTAGCAGACAGTGACTTCAAAGAATTGAAGGAAGCAATCTTTAAAGAACTAGATGAAACTAAATGACAATGATCCAACAGATAGAAAATATCAATAAGGAAATAAAACATAAAGAACAAAATAAAAAGTATAGGGTTGAAGAGTATGATTCCCAAAAGAAAAACTGCTGTAAATGGGTTCCACAACATCTTTGGGATGGCAAAGGAAGGAATCAGTGAACCTAAAGACAGAGTGATAGAAATTATCTAATATGAAGAATTCAGAGAAAAAGATTAAAGCAGGGGCAAGAAAGATTGTGGAATAGAAGCCTACACTGTTCATCCCCCCTGCTGGAACACCAAATTTTAACAATTATCTTCACACAGAAAAGCACCATCACAAGAACCAAAAATCAGATGAGCAATCACGGTACCTGGTTTTAACTTCTTATTATGGAAAGAGGCATTGAGGAGGGCAAGAGAGACAGTCTTGAATCATTGATGCCACCCCTCCTCCATCCCCTGGCAGTGGCCATGTGTCACAGTGAGAGAATCTTTGCACTTTGGGGAGGGCAAGCACAGCGACTGGGGGAATTTACATTAAACTCAGTGCTGCCCTGTCACAATGGAGAATAAAGACATGCTGGGCTCAGCCAGCACCTGTGCATGGAGGGAACATTTGGACCAGCCTTAGCTAGAGCAGTATCATGTATCCCAGCAATTGGAACTTGGGTTTCTTGTCAAGCCTTGCCACCACTGGCTGAAGTGCAATAGGGTCCTTGAAAGGACATGAGGACTGTAACTCCTAGGCGAGTTCTAGTGCTGAACTGGGCTCAGAGCCAGTGGACTTAGGGGGCACACAATCTAGTGAGACACCAGCTGGGGCAGCTGGGGGAGTTCTTGCACTACTTCTCATCCAATCACAGGCAGTGCAGCTCACAACTCAGAAAGAGACTCCTTCCTTCCATTTGAAGATGAGAGGGAAGAGTAAAGAGGACTTTGTCTTGCAACTTAGATACTAGCTCAGCTACATCAAGATAAGGCACCAGGCAGAGTTGTGAGGCACCCATTCCAGGCCCTACCTCCCAGACAACATTTCTAGACACACCCTGAGCCAAAAGGAAATCTGCTGTCTTGAAGGGAAGGACCCAGTCCTGGCAGGATTTATCACCTGCTGACTAAAAAGCCCTTGGGCCACGAACAACCACCAGTGATACCCAGGAAGTATGCCATGGACCTTGGGCTCTGAGATATGCTGACTTCAGGGGAGACCCAGCACATTCCCAGCTGTGGTGGCTATAGTGAAAGACTCCTTCTGTTTGAGAAAAGCAGAGGAAAAAGTAAAGGGGACTTTGTCTTGCACCCCAGGTACTAGCTCAGCCACAGTGAGGGTAGAGCAACAATCACACTGTTGGAGTCCCTAAGTACTGGCCTAGGCTCTTAGACAGCATTTCTGGACCTGCTCTGGGCCAGAGAGGAGTTCACTGCCCTGAAAGATGAGTCCCAGGAATGGCAGCATTCACCATAAGCTGATGGAAGTCCTTAGGCTTTACGCAAACATTGGTGGTGGGCTGGCAGAATCCCCCGTGGACTGGTGGTGTTGGTGGCCACAGAGAGAGGCTCCTCTGCTTGGGAAAAGTTGGGGGAAGAGCAGGAAGTACTTTGTATTGTGGTTTGAGTGCCATCTTAGCCACAGTAGAATAGAACATCAGGTAAATTGCTACATTTTTTGACTCCAATCCCTGGTTCCCAAACAGCATCTCTAGACATGCCTGGGGCCTGAAAAAACTTGCCACACTGAAGGGAAGGGCCTTGGGTAAGGCCCAGTGCTGTTCTGGCTTCAGGTCTGACCCAGCACAGTTCCTCTAGTGGTGGCCACAGGGATGCTTGCATCACCACACTCCCAGTTCCAGGTGGCTCAACACAGAGAAAAAGAGATGCCATATGTTTGGGAGAAAGTAAGGAAAAAGAATGAGTCTCTGCCTGGTAGTACAGATAATTCTTCCAGATCTTATCTAAGACCACCACGGTGGTACCTCTATGAGTCTGCAAAAGTGAAAGCATTATTGGACTTGGGGTCCAAATCCCTTTGAATACCTGGAAAGTCTTCCTAAGAAGGACAGACAGAAACAAGCCCGTATTTTGAAGACTACAATGAATGCCTAACACTTCAACACTCAGACACTGAAGAACATCTACAAGCATCAACACCATCCAGGAAAAGAAAACATAATCTCATCAAATGAAGTAAATAAGGCATCAGGGATCAATCCTGGAGAAACAGATATCTGGCCTTTCAGACAGAGAATTCAAAATAGCTGTTTTAAGGAAACTCAAAGAAATTCAAAAAAACATAAAGAAGAACTTCAGAATTCTATCAGATAAATTTAACACAAAGATTTAAAAACTTAAAAAGAATCAAGCAAAAATTCTAGAGTTAAAAATGCAACTGACATGCTGAAGAATGCATCAGAGTCTCTTCATAGCAGAATTGATGAAGCAGAAGAAAGAATTAGTGAGCTTGAAGACAGGCTATTTGAAAATACAAAGTCAGAGGAGACAAAATAAAAAAGAATAAAAAAATGAAGTATGCCTACAGATCTGGAAAATAGTCTCAAAAGGGCAAATCTAAGAGTTATTGGCCTTAAAGAGAAGGTAGGGAAAGAGCTATGAGTAGGAAGTTTTTTTCAAAGACATTATATGACAGAATGTCCCAAACCTAGAGAAAGATAACATTCAAGCACAAGAAGCTTATACAACACTAAGCAGATTTAACCCAAAGACTACCTCAAGGCATTTAACAATCAAACTCTCAAAGGTCAAGGATAAAGAAAGGAGCCTAAATGCAGCAAGAGAAAAGAAATATCATATGATAGAGCTTCAATATGTCTGGCAGCAGACTTTTCAGTGGAAACCTTACAGGCAAGGAGGGAGTGGCATGATATAAGTGTTGAAACAATAAACCTTTTACCCTAGAATAGTATATCCAGTGAAAATATCCTTAAAGCATGAAGGAGAAATACATTCCCAGACAAACAAAAGCTGAGAGATTTAATCAACTCCAGACCTGTCCTACAAAAAATGCTAAAGGGAGTACCTCAATCTGAAAGAAAAAGACATTAATGGGCATTAATGAGAAATTATTTAAAGGTACAAAACTCACTGGTAATAGTATGCACACAGAAAAATACAGAATAGTACAACACTGTAAGTGGTGTGTAAGCTTCTCTTAACTTACATAGAAAGAATAAATAATGACGGGTTGATAGGTGCAGCAAACCACCATGGCACATGTATACCTATGTATCAAACCTGCACGTTCTACATGTGTATCCCAGAACTTAAAGTAAAATTAAAAAAAGAAAGATTAAATGATGAACCAATCAAAAATAATAACCAAAACAACTTTTCAAGACACAGACAGTACAGTAAGACATAAAGGGAAACAACAAAAAATTAAAAAGCAAGGGGATGAAGTTAAAGTGTAGAGTTTGTATTAGTTTTCTTTCTGCATGTATGTTTGTTTATGCAATCAGAGTTAAATTGTCAGCAGTTTAAAATCATGGGATATAAGATAGTATCTGCAGGCCTCATGGTAACCTCAAATTGAAAAACATATAACAGACACAAAAAATAAAAAACAAGAAATTAAATTATACCACCAGAGAAAATCACCTTTTCAAGACAGGAAGGAATGAAAGAAGGAAGAGATCACAAAACAACCAGAAAACAAATAACAAAATGGCAGGTGTAAGTCTCTACTTATTAATAAGGACATTGAATGTAAATAGACTAAACTCTCCAATTAAAAAACAGAATGGCTGCATAAATTAAAAAACAAGACCCAATGATCTGTTGCCTACAATAAACACACTTCACCTATAAAGATACATATAGACTGAAAACAAAGAAATGGAAAATGATATTCCATGCCAATGAAACCAAAAAGAGCAGAAGTAGCTATACATATATCAGACAAAGTAGACCTCACAACAAAAATTGTAAGAAGAGACAAAGGTCATCATATAATGATTATGGGGCCAATTCAGCAAGAGAACATGATTGTAAATACATATGTACCTGATATTGGGGCACCCAGATATACAAAGCAAATATTATTAGAGCTAAAGAGAGATAGACCCCAATACAATAATAGCTGAAGGCTTCAATACCCCACTTTAAGCATTGGACAAATCTCCCAGACAGAAAATCAACAAAGAAACATGGACTAATTATGCTCTATAGAACAAATGAACCTAATGGATATTTATAGAACATTTCATCCAACAACTGCAGGATGCACATTTTTCTCCTCAAAACATAAATCATTCACAATGATAGATCATATGTTAGGTAACAAAACAAATCTTAAAACATGCAAAAACTTGAAATAATATCAAGCATCACAATGGAATAAAACTATAAATAAATAACAAGAGAAATTTTGGAAACTATATAAACATACAGAAATTAAATGATATGCTCCTGAATGATCAGTTGGTCAATGATGAAATTAAGAAGAAAATTCAAAAAGTTTTTGAAAGAAATGATAATGGAAACACAACATACCAAAACCTAAGGGATACAGCAAAAGCAGTACTAGAGAAAAATTTATAGCTATAAGTCCCTACAACAAAAAAGAAGAAAAGCTTCAAAAAAACAACCTAAAGATGCATCTTAAAGAGCTAGAAAGCCAAGAACAAACCGATCCCAAAATTAGTAAATAGATAAAAAGAAATAATAAAGTAAAAATAAATAGCAAAAAAAAAATAGTAAAAAGAAATAATAAAGATCAGAACAGAAATAAATTAATCTGAAATGAACAAAACAATACAAAAGGTCAATGAAACAAAAGTTGGTTTTCAAAAAAGGTAAACAAAATTCACAAACTTTTAGCCAGACTAAATAAGAAAAAAGAGAGAGGCCCAAATAAATAAAATCAGAGATGAAACACAAAGACATAGCAACTGATACCACAGAAATTCAAAGGATCACTAGCAGCTACTATGAGCAACTATATGCCAATAAATTGGAAAATTTAGAATAAATGGATAAATTCCTAGATATATACAACCTACCAAGATTGAATCATGAAGAAATCCAAAACCTGAACAGACCAATAACAAGTAACTAGAAGAATCTGTAATAAAAAGTCTCCCAGTAAAGAAAAGTTTGGGACCCATTGGCTTCACTGCTGAATTCTACCAAACATTCAAAGAACTAATACCAATCCTACTCAAACTATTTTAAAAAATAAAGAGGGAATACTTCTAAACTCATTCTATGATGCCAGTGTTACTCTGATATCAAAACTAGACAAATATGCATCAATAAAAGAAAACTATAGGCTAACATCCCTGATGAATATTGATGCAAATTCTTCAACAAAATACTAGCAAACCAAGTTGCACAACACACTGAGAAGATCATTTATCATGACCAAGTGGGATTTATCCCAGGAATGCAAGAATGGTTCACCATATGCAAGTCAATCAATGTGATACAGCAACAGAATGAAGGACAAAAACCATATGATCATTAAAATAAACGCTTAATAAAGATTTGATAAATTCAACATCCCTTCATGATAAAGAAAAACCCTAAAAAAACCTAGGTATATAGATGGAACATACTTCAACATAATAAAAGCCATAGATGACAGACCCACAGCTAGTATTATAGTGAATGGGGAAAAGTTGAAAGCTTTTCCTCTAAGATCAGAACATGACAAGGATGCTTATTTTTGCCACTGTTATTCAACATAGTATTGGAAGTCCTAGCTAGAGCAATCAGACAAGAGAAAGAAATAAAGGACCTCCAAATTGGAAAGGAAGAAGTTAAATTATCCCTGTTTGCAGATGATATGATCTTATATTTGGAAAAACCTAAAGACTCCATAAGAAACCTATTGGAACTGATAAAACACATTCAGTAACATTGCAGGATACAAAATCAACATACAAAACTCAATGGCATTACTATATTCCAACAGCAAACAATCTGAAAAAAATCAAAAAGTAATCCCATTTACAATAGCCACACAAAAATTTAAATACCTAGAAATTAACTTAACCAAAGAAGTTAAAGATCTCTACAATGAAAGTTGTAAAACACTGATGAAAGAAATTGAAGAGTACGCACAAAAAATGGAAAGATATTCTATGTTTATGGATTGGAAGAATCAATGTTGTCAAAATGTTCATACTACCCAAAGCAATCTACAGATTCAATGCAATCCGTATCAAAATACCAGTGATATTCTTCACAGAAATAAAAAAAAGCAATTCTAAAATTTATATAGAACCACAAAAGACCCAAAGTAGCCCAATCTATTTTGAGCAAAAAGAAGAAAACTGGAGGAATTATATTACCTGACTTCAAATTATATTACAGAGCTATGGTAATCAAAACAGCATGGTACTCGCATAAGAATATACACATAGGCCAATGGAACAGAATAGAGAACCCAGAAACAAATCCACATACCTACAGTGAACTCACTTTCTGTAAAAGTGCCAAGAACATACATTGGGGAAAAGGAAGTCTCTTCAATAAATGCTGAGGGGAATAGTGGATATACATAAGCAGAAGAATGAACCTAGAACCCATCTCTCACCTTATACAAAACCAAATCCAAATGGATTAAATACTTAAATCTAAGACTAAACTTATGAAACTACTACAAGAAAACATTGGGAGAACTCTCCAGGACATTGGTCTGGGCAAAAATTTCTTGAGAATTACCTTGCAAGCACAGGCAACCAAAGCAAAAATGGAAAACTGGGATCACATCAAGTTAAAGAGCTACTGCACAGCAAAGAATACAATCAACAAAGTGAAGAGACAACCCACAGAATGGAAGAAAATATTTGCAAACTACTCATCTGACAAGGAATTGATAATCAGAATAAATAAGGAGCTCAAACAACTCTATAGAAGAAAATATAAAAATCTGATTTAAAAATGGGCAAAAGACTTGAAGACATTTCTCAAAAGAAGGCATACAAATGCAAACAGGAATATGAAAAAGGGCTCAGCATCATTGCTCATCAGATAAATGCAAATCTAAACAACATTCTCCTCTCGCCCCACTTAAAATGGCTTATATCCAAAAGACAGACAATAACAGATGCTAGTGAGGGTGTGGAGAAAAGGGAACCTTTATACATTGTTGGCGGGAATGTAAATTAGTACAACAACTATGGAGAACAGTTTGGAGGTTCCTCCAAAATCTAAAAATAGAGCTACCATACAATCCAGCAATCCCATTGCTGGGTATATGCCCAAAAGACAAGAAATCAGTATATCAAAGAGACATCTGCACCCTCATGTTTGTTGCAGCACTGTTCACAATAGCCAAGATTTGGAAGCAACCTAAGTGTCCCTCAACTGATAAATGGATAAAGAAAATGTACATATACACAATGAGGTATTATTCAGTCATAAAAAATAATGAGATCCTGTCATTTGCAACAACATGGATGGAACTGGCAGTCATTAGTCATTGAACTAATGGAGATAGAGTATAGAAGAATGGATACCAGAGCCTCAAATTGTAGTCGTTAATAGGGAAAAGGTGGGGATGGTTAATGGGTACCAAAAAATAGTTAGAATGAGTAACTTCTAGTATTTGATAGCATAACAATGGGGGAACTAGAGTCAATAATAACCTAATTGTACATTTTAAAATAACTAAAAAGAGTATAATTAGATTGTTTGTAACACAAAGGATAAATGCTTGATGGGGTGAATACTGATTTTCCATGATGTGATTATTATGCATTAGCTATCTGTACCAAAATATCTCATGTACCACATAAATATATATACCTGCTATGTACAGAAATTAAAAATAAAAAATATGAAGAAAGATTGAAGCAAAAATAACAACTTCTCAAATTTGATGAGAAGCATTAATCTACACGTCAAAGAAGCTCAGCAAATGCCATATAAGATAAATACAAACAGCCACACCTGGACACATCCTAGTCAAGATGCTAAGTAACAAAGGCAAAGAAAATAATTTAGAAAGCAGCAGGAGATAACTCATCATGTATAAGGGAATGACTGTTAATGGCTTGCATTTCATCAGAATCAATGGAGGCCAGAAGGCAGTGGGATTATATATTCAAAGTGCTGAGAGAAAAAAATCTGTTGAGCAAGAATACTATGTTATTCAGAATTATCTTTCAAAAGTGAAGGCAAAATAAATACAGTGTCACATAAACAAAGAGTGAGAAAATTCACTGCTAAGAGATCAGCCCTATAAGAAGTTTGAAAGGAACTCTTTGAGCTGAAGGAAACACATACCAGATGACTATGCAAAGTAGAGACTGATAAATTAAGAGCCATATTGTAATCCCTGGAGCAGCCATTAACAAAATAGCTCAAAAATAGAATTAAAAACTCAACAGAAGAATTAAAATTGTATATTATAAAATATTCAACTAAAAAGGAGCTAGTAGAAGAGGAACAAAAAAGATATGACACATGTAGAAAATATTAGCAAAGATCACATGTAAATCTAATCATATCTTTATTAAATTAAATATGAATAAATAATATACTCTAATCAAAAGGTGGATATTATCAAACTAGGTGAAAAAGCAAAATCCAACTATATGCTATTTGCTGGAGACATATTTTAGATTAAAGATACAAGGAGTTTGAAAGTAAAAGGATGGAAAAATACATACCATGCATGTTATAAACATAAGGAGTTGAAATGGCTATATTGATATGAGTACATAGACTTTAAGACAAGAAAGAGTATTAGAAATAAAGGGACCAGTTCATAATCATAAATATGTAACAATTATAAATGCATTCCCACCTAACAACAGAGCCCTAATACACATAAAGCAAAATCTGAAAGAATTGAAAAAAGCAGCAGAGATTTCAAAAATCTTAATAATTGCTAGGACAAATAGATATTAGTAAAGATGAAGAGAAAACTTGAACAACACCAGTGTGACCTGACATTTTAGAACATTTTACACAATAACAACATAATACACATTTTATTGAAGCAAACATGAAACATTCTACGGTATAGACCATATAATAGGCCACAAACCAAGTCTCAATAAATTCAAAAGGTTCAAAACAAATCTATGTTCTCTGACAACAAATTAGATTAGAAATAAACAACAGAAAGAAATTTAGAGCTCCCCAAATATTTGGAAATATTCAACTACACTTCCAAACGATCCATAAATAAAAGAAATCACAAGGAAAGTTATAATGCATTTTAACTGGAGGAAAATGACAACAAAACGTATCGAAATTTATGGTATGCCCCTTAAGCAGTGCTTGGAAAAAAATTTATACTTTAAACTCTTTATCATAATGAAGAAACATTGCAAATCAATAATCTAAACTTCCACCTTCAGAAACTAGAAAAACAAGAGCAAATTAAACCTAAAGCAAGGAAAGGAAAGAAAAGAAATAAAATCAGAGCACAAATCAATGAAATAGAAAAGAAAAAATGTAATAGAAGTAGAAGAAAATCATTTAAACCATAAATTGTTTCTTTTAAAAGATCATCCCATAAGTATTTGGGAGAATGTACCAATGAAATAATATGGGCCTACGGTGTTCTTTTATGGAAAATTTTAACTACAGATTAAAATTTTAAAATAGATGTACCATTGCTATGGTTATTTCTTCTTGGATGAGTTTTTGTAGTTCGCGCCTCCCAGGGATTTAGCCCATTTCATCTAAATTGTTCCATTTGTGAATATAAAGTTGTTCTTAATATTCCTTCATCTTTTTAATGTATGTGTGGTCTTTAGTTAAATGGGAATTATTCTTTCCTGATATTGGTAATTGTCTTCTTGATTTTTTTTTTCTTGATCATTCTGGCTAAAGGTCTATCAATTTTGTTGATATTTTTAAAAAGGCAACTTTTGTTCCATTGATATCTATTAATTTTCTCTTTTAAACTTTATTGATTTTTTCTCAGCTTTATTATTTCCTTTCTTCTGCTTACTGTGGGTTTATTTTGAACTTCTTAGGTGGAAGCTGAGATTATTTATGTAAGACTTATTTCCTAATATAAGAATTTAAAAATATAAATTTCCCTCTAAGCTAACTAATGTAGCTACACCATGCAAAGTTTTATCTGTGGCATTTTCATCTTCATTCAGTTCAAAATATTTTAAAATTCCCTTTCATATTTCTTCTCTGATCATTGGGTGACTTAGATGGATGTTGTTCAATTTACAAAAAAGTTGGGAATTTTTCCAGATTATCTGTTATTGATTTCCAGTTTAATTCTACTGCAATCTGAGGACATACTTTATATGATGAATATTCTTTTAAATTTGCTGAGGTTTGTCTTATGACCCTAAGTATGGTCTACATTGGTGAATATTCCACACACATTTGAAAAGAAATTGTATTCTGCTTTTGTTGGGTGGAATGTTTTATAAATGTCAATTAGTTCTTGTTAGTGCTGTTCAGATCTTCTATATCCTTGTTAATTTTCTGTTTATTCGTTCTACTAGCTGTTGACAGAATTGTCGAAGTGTTCAGCTATAATTGTGGATTTCTGTATTCTTCAATTTCAGTAATTTAAAGTGCTTCATATACTATGTGCTATGTACATAGTACTATGTTGTAAAGAGCATTATGTCTTTTGGATTATGTCTTTTGGAGAGTTGATCCCTTCATCATCATGTATGTCTCTCTATATCCCTGTTAATATTCCTTTTCTGAAGTTTATTTTTGTCTAATATTAGCATAGCTATTCTAGTTTTGTTTCAGCTAGTGTTTGCATTATATGTATTTCTCCACTCTTTTACTTTCAACATATCTATACCTTTACAGTTAAAGTGAGTTTCTTGTAGACAACGTATAGTTGGGTCTTGATTATTTTTAAATCCAATCTGATACTGCCTTTAAATTGGTGTCTTCAGAATATTTACACTTAATGTGATTATTGATATGGTTGGATTAAAATCTACCATTTTCTTAGCTGTTTTCTATTTGTTATATTTCATCTGTGTTTCATTATTCTTCCTTTTCTGCCTTCTCTTGTGTTATTTGAGCATTTAAAAATTCTGCTTTATCTTCTCTTAATGACATTTTAAATAAAAATTTAGTGCCTTCCCAGAGTTTATGATACACATTCAAAAAATCACAGTCTACCAGCAAATATTATTCTCCTACTTCACATGAAGTGTAAGGCTTTTACAACTGTACATTCCCAATTGCTCCCTCCCATCCATTGTGCTTTTGTTAGCACAACTTCTAATTTTATATATGCTATAAATATACAATAAATTATTATATTTTTTCTTTAGACAGTGAGTTATCATTTAGAACAATACAAATAAGAAAAATAATTTAACTTTACCTTCCTATGCTTCATTTCCAGCACTCTTTATTTCCTTGTGTAGTCCCACATTTTAGTCTGATATGATACTCTTTCTGCCTGAAAAACTTTCCTTTATCTTGTAGAATGAGTCTTCTGAAAATGAATTATCTCAGTTTTTGCTTGTCTGATACAGTTTTTATTTCACCTTCATTTTAAAAAGATTTTTTTCTGGATATAGAATCCTGGGTTGACAAATTATTCTTTCTACCTGTTAAAATGATCATTCCATTGTGTCCTGACTTGTATGGCTTATGACAAATAGTCTGCTGTTATTATCTTTTTTCTCTATGTTTGATGTTTCCTTTTCTCTGACTTCAGGATTTTCTCTTTGTCTTTTGTCTTCCAGCAGTTTGAATAAAATATGCCTAATTTGTTTGGTTTTTAAAAAGTCATGTTTGGTGCACTCTGAGCTTGGGTATGCAATTTGGTGTTTGTCATTAATTTAAAAAAAATTCTCAGTCATTATTTTTTAAAATACTTTTTCTGCCCCATTCTTTCTCTCTTTTTCTTTGGTGATTCTAATTACATGAATGTTAGAACATTTGATATTGTCACACAGCTCTTGAATGTTTTCTTTTCCTCATTCTTTTTTTGTCTCAATGTAATCAATTTATTGGTCTAAATTTTTGTTTCAATTTAATATATTTTAAGGTCTATGGATTTTGTCCTCAGAGGTGTCAGTTCTGTTGGGCCCCTCAAAGGCATTCTTCATCTCCGTTATTTTGTTTTTTATTTCTAGCATTTATATTTGATTCTTTATTATAGTTTTGATCTCTCTGCAGAAATTACCCATCTATCTTGTGTGTTGTCCACTTTTTCTGGTGGAACATTTAACTAATTACTCATAGTTATTTTAAGTTACCTGTCAGAGAGTTTCCAAATTTGTGTCGTATCTAATTTTGATTTTGAATATTTCTTGTATCTTTGGGAATGTGTTGATTCTTTTTTTTGCCTTTTCACATGCCTCATAATATTTTGTGGAAAGTTGAATAAGTTGGGTAGGAAATAGAGACCAAGGTAAATAGATTTTATGCCTTGAAATGCACACGCCTTTCCTTCTAGTAGGCCTTTAGTGCGAGGGTTTGCATTATTACAGTTAGTAGTTAGGCTCAATTTGAGATATATTGCTGCTATGGTTACCATCAGTGAACCACCACAGGCTTCAAATTTTTATAGAGAATTTGTGTCTATCATGGAGAATGGTCGACCAGAACAATATCTGTTCAATTATGAGATTAAGGGTTTCCCCAACGAGAACAAAGACACCACATACCAGAATCTCTGGGACACATTCAAAGCAGTGTGTAGAGGGAAATTTATTGCACTAAATGCCTACAAGAGAAAGCAGGAAAGATCCAAAATTGACACCCTAACATCACAATTAAAAGAACTAGAAAAGCAAGAGCAAACACATTCAAAAGCTAGCAGAAGGCAAGAAATAACTAAAATCAGAGCAGAACTCAAGGAAATAGAGACACAAAAAACCCTTCAAAAAATCAATGAATCCAGGAGCTGGTTTTTTGAAAGGATCAACAAAATTGATAGACCGCTAGCAAGACTAATAAAGAAAAAAAGAGAGAAGAATCAAATAGACACAATAAAAAATGATAAAGGGGATATCACCACCGATCCCACAGAAATACAAACTACCATCAGAGAATACTACAAACACCTCTACGCAAATAAACTAGAAAATCTAGAAGAAATGGATACATTCCTCGACACATACACTCTCCCAAGACTAAACCAGGAAGAAGTTGAATCTCTGAATAGACCAATAACAGGCTCTGAAATTGTGGCAATAATCAATAGTTTACCAACCAAAAAGAGTCCAGGACCAGATGGATTCACAGCCGAATTCTACCAGAGGTACAAGGAGGAACTGGTACCATTCCTTCTGAAACTATTCCAATCAATAGAAAAAGAGGGAATCCTCCCTAACTCATTTTATGAGGCCAGCATCATTCTGATACCAAAGCCGGGCAGAGACACAACCAAAAAAGAGAATTTTAGACCAATATCCTTGATGAACATTGATGCAAAAATCCTCAATAAAATACTGGCAAACCGAATCCAGCAGCACATCAAAAAGCTTTTCCACCATGAGCAAGTGGGCTTCATCCCTGGGATGCAAGGCTGGTTCAATATACGCAAATCAATAAATGTAATCCAGCATATAAACAGAGCCAAAGACAAAAACCACATGATTATCTCAATAGATGCAGAAAAAGCCTTTGACAAAATTCAACAACCCTTCATGCTAAAAACTCTCAATAAATTAGGTATTGATGGGACGTATTTCAAAATAATAAGAGCTATCTATGACAAACCCACAGCCAATATCATACTGAATGGGCAAAAACTGGAAGCATTCCCTTTGAAAACTGGCACAAGACAGGGATGCCCTCTCTCACCGCTCCTATTCAACATAGTGTTGGAAGTTCTGGCCAGGGCAATCAGGCAGGAGAAGGAAATAAAGGGTATTCAATTAGGAAAAGAGGAAGTCAAATTGTCCCTGTTTGCAGACGACATGATTGTTTATCTAGAAAACCCCATCGTCTCAGCCCAAAATCTCCTTAAGCTGATAAGCAACTTCAGCAAAGTCTCAGGATACAAAATCAATGTACAAAAATCACAAGCATTCTTATACACCAACAACAGACAAACAGAGAGCCAAATCATGGGTGAACTCCCATTCGCAATTGCTTCAAAGAGAATAAAATACCTAGGAATCCAACTTACAAGGGATGTGAAGGACCTCTTCAAGGAGAACTACAAACCACTGCTCAAGGAAATAAAAGAGGACACAAACAAATGGAAGAACATTCCATGCTCATGGGTAGGAAGAATCAATATCGTGAAAATGGCCATACTGCCCAAGGTAATTTACAGATTCAATGCCATCCCCATCAAGCTACCAATGACTTTCTTCACAGAATTGGAAAAAACTACTTTAAAGTTCATATGGAACCAAAAAAGAGCCCGCATTGCCAAGTCAATCCTAAGCCAAAAGAACAAAGCTGGAGGCATCACACTACCTGACTTCAAACTATACTACAAGGCTACAGTAACCAAAACAGCATGGTACTGGTACCAAAACAGAGATATAGATCAATGGAACAGAACAGAGCCCTCAGAAATAATGCCGCATATCTACAACTATCTGATCTTTGACAAACCTGAGAAAAACAAGCAATGGGGAAAGGATTCCCTATTTAATAAATGGTGCTGGGAAAACTGGCTAGCCATATGTAGAAAGCTGAAACTGGATCCCTTCCTTACACCTTATACAAAAATCAATTCAAGATGGATTAAAGATTTAAACGTTAAACCTAAAACCATAAAAACCCTAGAAGAAAACCTAGGCATTACCATTCAGGACATAGGCGTGGGCAAGGACTTCATGTCCAAAACACCAAAAGCAATGGCAACAAAAGACAAAATTGACAAATGGGATCTAATTAAACTAAAGAGCTTCTGCACAGCAAAAGAAACTACCATCAGAGTGAACAGGCAACCTACAACATGGGAGAAAATTTTCGCAACCTACTCATCTGACAAAGGGCTAATATCCAGAATCTACAATGAACTCAAACAAATTTACAAGAAAAAAACAAACAACCCCATCAAAAAGTGGGCGAAGGACATGAACAGACACTTCTCAAAAGAAGACATTTATGCAGCCAAAAAACACATGAAGAAATGCTCATCATCACTGGCCATCAGAGAAATGCAAATCAAAACCACTATGAGATATCATCTCACACCAGTTAGAATGGCAATCATTAAAAAGTCAGGAAACAACAGGTGCTGGAGAGGATGTGGAGAAATAGGAACACTTTTACACTGTTGGTGGGACTGTAAACTAGTTCAACCATTGTGGAAGTCAGTGTGGCGATTCCTCAGGGATCTAGAACTAGAAATACCATTTGACCCAGCCATCCCATTACTGGGTATATACCCAAATGAGTATAAATCATGCTGCTATAAAGACACATGCACACGTATGTTTATTGCGGCACTATTCACAATAGCAAAGACTTGGAACCAACCCAAATGTCCAACAATGATAGACTGGATTAAGAAAATGTGGCACATATACACCATGGAATACTATGCAGCCATAAAAAATGATGAGTTCATATCCTTTGTAGGGACATGGATGAAATTGGAAACCATCATTCTCAGTAAACTATCGCAAGAACAAAAAACCAAACACCGCATATTCTCACTCATAGGTGGGAATTGAACAATGAGATCACATGGACACAGGAAGGGGAATATCACACTCTGGGGACTGTGGTGGGGTCAGGGGAGGGGGGAGGGATAGCATTGGGAGATATACCTAATGCTAGATGACACATTAGTGGGTGCAGCGCACCAGCATGGCACATGTATACATATGTAACTAACCTGCACATGTACCCTAAAACTTAGAGTATAATAAAAAAAAAAAAAAAAAGAACTTCATTCCTTTTTATGGCTGAATAGTATTCCATTGTGTGTATATGCCACATTTTGTTTATCCATTCTTCTGTTGATAGACTCTTGGATTATTTCCACCTTTTGGCTATTGTGAATAATGCTGCTATGAACATTGGTGTACAAGTATTTTTTTGAGTAACTCTTTTCCATTATTTTGAGTACATACCCAGGTGTGCTAATATGGTAATTGTGTCTAACTTGTTGAGGAACTGCCAAACTGTTTTCCACATCAGCTGCACCATTTCACATTCCTATTGCTAACTTATAAAGATTTCAATTTCCCCATATCCTCAACAACACTTGTTATTTTCCATTTTTTAATAATAGTCATCATAGTAAGTGTGAAGTGATAGCTTGGAGTTTTAGTTTGTATGTCTCCATTGACTAATGATGTTGACATCTTTTCAAGTGCTTATTGGCCATTTGTTTATCTTCTTTGGAGAAATGTTTATTCAAGCCTTTTGTCCATTGTAAGATGGACAAAAATGGTTGTCTTTTTGTTGTTTGTTTACAACCATTTTGTTTTAAAATGTTTTGTCTTTTTGTTGTTGAATTGTAGAAGTTTTTTATATACTTTGGGTATTAAACCTTAACATATATACAAAAAAAAAAAAAAAGAGATTAAGGGTTTCCATTTGTGCTGTGCCCCAGAGAATGTGTCTTTGTTCCTTTCTCATTCATCTCCAAGCAGAATTCTGTTGTTATTTACTATTTTAGGCTTTTTAGCTTGATGGTAGTTTGGGGTGTGGCCTCTGTTGTTCTGATTAAGAGTTAGTTATAGGCATGCACTATGTTCTTGCATCTTAGGTATATGATCTGATAGGTTTTCCTGACTCTCCCCAGCTGTAGTTGTAGGCTCAACATATAACCCTACTCCTTTCTCAGAAGTAAAGCTTTCCTCCTGTTCCCTTTCCCCAGAGGCAATAAGTGTTCATCAATGCCATAATGCCAGAGGTTCTGGTTGCCCTTCCCTCCATAGTTCAAGGCTTCATTTTCTGTATTGGAAGTAGAGGAGAAATATCCAGTGGGAGTTTCTTGTTCCTCCAGCATAGCTACTGATATCTTACTCCAAATCTGCATCACAACATACACTTCTAGAACGCTTTCTGATATTTTCTGGGAGCACCCGTTGAGGTTCATGGAGGACCGTGCAAGGTGACACTGACCCCTCCAAGTTCTTGGCACATAGGGGTTTCACGCTGTCTTGCCAGATTACTCTCAGGCTTCACCACGTTGTCAACTATTCTAGCTCAATGCTTCTTACAAGGTTCTTGTTGTGTCTTATATGAGTGTGTAATTTTGTCTTCTCTTTTGTCACATGCACCATTCTTTCTCCCTTAGATACGGGCCAACTGTTTGCTCTGAAACCCAAGCTCCCTGATGGGTTCAAAAAAACTATGAGTTCTAGAAGTTTTTCTGTAGACTCTTTGGGATTATCTATAGAGACACTGTTGTTGTCTGTGAATAGAGAGAGTCACCTTTCTTACTTTCCAATCTGTTTGTCTTATATTTCTTTTTTCTTACTTAAATCTTAGCACTGGCTAGGGATTCCAATACAATGTTGATTATGAGTGGTGTTAGTGAATATCTTTGCCTTCTTTTCAATCTTAGTGGAAACAAGAATTCAGTCTTTCATTATTATGATGTTAGTTATAGTCCTATGTGGATACCACTTATTAGGTTAAATTTTGATATAGGATATTCATTGACTGGGGAAATCTCTACACCATTGATTTTCACATGTAATACCCAACTACACGTTGATAGCCATTCCGTATTAATCAGCACAGTCTAACCAGATTGTCTCTAGTGCAAATGGGGAAGGAAAGAGTCACAAAATATTAAAGTGGATGGTGAAATAGGGATAGATAGTTGATTACTTGCTTGCTTCTCAGCATCCATTACTCCCTACTTCTGATAACAATACCTTGAATTCCCTTTTTGAAACTACTCTTCTCACATTCTCAACCATCTTGGTCAAAGTAATTGATTTGGGGATTGGTACACAATTCATTGAGAGCCTATAAAATGAAAAAAATATACTGGTTAAAGATAAGTTATTTCTCTTCCCTGGGAATTGATGGCATGAGGATGTGAGCTTTAGATAAGCAGAAAACATCTTGCCACCATATCAGGGTTAGCCTGAAGATGAAGTTTATACAGCAAAGAAGGAAGAACTAAGAGATGCAGAGAAATGGAATGTGGTAGACACTGCCAATTAGCTGACCCAACATCCATTCCCAAATCCATTTTTTATGTGGTTTGCCACTCTAAAGGCAGAAAAATCTGAATATTCACTTTATCATCCTCCTTTGTAACTAGATGTGGCCATATGACAGTTTGCCAAAGAGATATAAGTGAAATTTTGCTGAGGAATTTCCAACAATTTTTTGTTTTTTTCTTGATAAAGGGGACATATATGAGTGGTACTACTCATCCATCTTTATTTCTTGCATTGAATGCAGATTTGATCTCTGGAGCTGCAGCACTACTTTGTAGCCATGAAGTGACAAGCATGAGGGAAGTGCAAAGATAATTGTAAAAATTGTGACATTGTCAGGCTGCTAAACAAACCCATGAAGCAACCTACTTAGAAACTTCTTGATATATGATAATAATACATTCTTGTTTGAGTAAGCCTCTGTAAGGCATTCTTTACTAATATATGAACCACATATTCACTATTTTTTGAGAAAGATTGAATTAGGTTTTCTGTTATTTATAACCAAAAATTTCTAACTGATACAAATAGTATCATAATGGAATTTCCCTAGGGACTCAGGATTACCTAAGTTCAGTCTTACCTCATCTACTCTTCCTGCCCAAAGAGAAACCAGGACTCAAACTCAAATCCATGTCTAAGTTTCTTTATATGAGAAATGGGTTGCATTAGTCAGCGTTCTCCAGAAAAACAGAACCAATTTATACACACACACAGACACACACACACACACACACACCCCTACCTACAATGCACAACCAGGCACTATTCTAAGTGCTTTATGCATATAATCTCATTTAATCCTCACATTGTCCCACAATCAGATATATATGTGTATATATATATATATGTGTGTGTGTGTGTGTGTGTGTATGTGTATAATAAAAAAATTGGCTAATTGGCTCGTGTGTTTGTGGAGGCTGAGAAGTCTCACAGTCTTCCATTTGCAAGCTGGATATCCAGAAATGCCAATGGTGTAGTTCTAGTCTGAATCTGAAGGACTGAGAACCAGGAGAAAGGAGGCTGTAACTTCCCGTCCAAATTCAAAGGCAGAGGAAGACCAATGTCTGAGCTTAAGCAGTCAGGAAGAGAAAGAATCCACCTTTCCTCTACCTTTTGTTCTATTCAGGTCCTGAATGGATTGGATGATGCCCACCTACACTGGGAAGGGCAATATTTTTATTCAGTCTAACAATTCTAATGCTAACCTCATGTCGAAACACCCTCACAGACACAACCAAAAATAATGTTTAGCTAGACGTCTGTGCATTCCATGGCCCAGTCAAGTTGACACATAAAATTAACCATCACAGGGGTACAATAATAGTTCTTACTTCACAGGACTACTGTGAGGATTAAATGAGATGATATGCATAAAGCACTTAGAATAGTGCCTGGTGGTACATTGTAAGTACCCATTACTAGATTGTACTATCCTGATTCTTAAGATATACTTAAAAGGTCCTTGATCACAGATTTAATCTTGACATTTAAAAAGGAATAACTATAAAAGTTCTAGTTGTTTTGAGAATACATGTCAAAATCACCAACCCAGAAGTTTCCAATACTCATGTCTTTGAGGAAAGTGAAATCATTTATCTAAACCAGAAACTCAGTTGGATTGTCCATACTGAATTATGGGGTAAAACCCTGGAATGAAGGTTCTGGTTTTGTTAGTGGTGGCTAGTGGTGGCTGTGTTTATTTGTCATATTAAACCTTATTTTATGACCAAGTTATTCTCAATGTCAATACAAAGGGGCCTAGACACAGAGGTCTTGAAATTATTGTCTGCCCAACTACATTAGGCTTAATTTTGTTGAGTGCTATTAATTGCAAGAAGAGAAAAGATTATGCAAATGAAAGGAGAAAAATGATTTTGACTTCTGGGAAAATGATTTTTAAAATTTAGCAAGTTGCTGTGTATATTTGTTTTAACTAAACTCAGTTATCAAAGTCTTGGGGGTATAAAAGGACACTTCAAAATATCAAATTTACCTTTAAACAATCAAGAAGGAGGTGCTGCCTCAGAGATGACATGATAAGTGCTGTACGGACCAATTATGCCACAAATAGCAACCACTATTAACTCCAGACTCTCTCTCTCTCTCTCTCTCTGTATATATATGTATATATATATGTGTGTGTGTGTGTGTGTGTGTTGTGTGTGTATGTAATAAACACTTGAGAATTGTGAAGTATAAACAAAAGAAGGAAGATAGAGTAAGGTAGTCAAAACTGGCAAGAGGGCAAGTTCCCCGTTAAATTTTCTGAGACAACAAAACATCAGCATTCATTGGACAAATATAACAGAACCCAGATCCTCCATAACATAATGTCCACAATATTCAGAGTATAATCCAAAATTACTGGACACACAAACAGCCAGGAAAATGTGACCAATTCTCAAGAGAAAATATAATCAGCACAGGCCAACTCTGAGATGACCTAGATGTTAAAATTGTCATATGAGGACTTTAAAGCAGCTATTATAACTATATTAAATTAATGAAAGAAATTACACTAGAAGTGAATTGGAAATATCAGCAGAAAAATAGAAAACACAAAAAAGAAAATTTTGGAGATAAAAAATGCAAAAGCTGAAATTAAAACTTCATTAGATGGGCTTAAGAGAAAAATAGAGGTGACAGAGGAAAAAGAAAATGAATGTAAATATAGATTCATAGAAATTATAATACCTGAAAATGAGAAGGAAAAAATATTTTAAAATGAACAGATTATCAGATATTTGTAGGACAATATCAAAATGTTCAGTATATGTATAATTGGAGTCAAGAAACAGAGGGAGAAAATGGGGCAGAAAAATATGTAAAGAAATTATGGCTGAAAATTTTCCAAATTTGATGTAAGCCATAAATGTACATATCTAGAGATTTCAATCAGAATACATTAAAAAAAATTCCTAGGCACATTATAACCAAACTACCGAAAACCAAAAAAAAGAAAATCTTAAAAGCATCTAGAGAACAGTGACACATTACATAGAAGAAAACAATAATTTGAGTGACTGCAGACTTCTCATCATAACCCATAGAGAGATAACCCATAGAGACAATGAAATGATTCTTTAATATGTGGAAAGAAAAAATGATCAATCTAGTTTTATAAATTGTGAAAATATTATTCAATAATGGAGATGAAATAACAACATTTCTAGATAAGGAAAACTAAGAAAATTCATGCAGAGCAAACCTGCATTAGAAGAAATGCTAAAAGAAGGACATCAGAGACACTAAATATGAAAGATTATTTTTTCCCTCATAATTTCTTTAAAATGCATATGCCCTTTTAAAGCAAAAATTATAGCATTATCTTGTGAAATTGTTAATACATATAGTTTTAATATGTATGAGAACTATAACATAAAGCAAGGGTCCCCAATCCCTGGGCCACAAAGCAGTACCAGTCTGTGGCCTGTTAGGAACCAGGCCACACAGCAAGAGGTGACCGGCAGGCAAGTGAGTGAAGCTTCATCTGTATTTACAGCCACTCCCCATCGCTTGCATTACCACCTGAGTGCTACCTCCTGTCAGAACAGCAGCCACCACATTAGATTCTCATAGAAGCGTGAACTCTTTTGTGAACTGCGCATGTGAGGGATCTAGGTTGTGCACTCCTTTTTAGAATCTAATGCCTGGCGGTCTGTCACTGTCTTCCAACAACCCCAGATGGGATTATCTAGTCACAGGAAAACATGCTCAAGGCTCCCACTGATTCTACATTATGGTCAGTTGTATAATTATTTCATTATATATTACAATGTAATAATAATAGAAATAAAGTGCACAATAAATGTAATGCACTTGAATCATCCCAAGACCATTGTCCCTCACCCACCCCGGTCCATGGAAAAATTGTCTTCCATGAAACTGGTGCCTGGTGCCAAAAGGACTGGGACCACTGATATAAAGAATAATCAGGGTGTGTAGAGAGGTCTGTATGTTTCCAAGGTGTCTAAGTTTTCTAAGAAGTGGTACAATATTAACTGTAAATGGACTGTAAAGATGACGCATATTTCAATCCTTAGAGAAGCCACTAAAATCACAAACACGTACACACACAGACACACAAATATATTATCTTAAAAGGCCACAGAGAAAACTGAATAATAAAAAGATTACAATAGTCTGAAAGAAGACAGTAAATGGGAAATGGAGGAACAATAAAACAGAGGGAACAAAGATAAAACAATAAAATGGTAGAGCTAGGTCCAATGACATAAAAATTGCATTAAGAATTAATGGTCTATGGCCAAGCATGGTGGCTCATGCCTATAATCCCAGTGCTTTGGGAGGCCAAGGCAGGAGGATCACTTGAGGTCAGGAGTTTTAGACCAGCCTGGGCAACATAGCAAGACCTTGTCTCTACAAAAAATAAAAATTAGCCAGGTGTGGTGGTGTGCACCTGTAGTCATTCCTAGCTACTCAGAAGGCTGAGGCCAGAGGATCACTTGAGCCCACGAGTTGGAGGCTTCAGGGAGCTATGATTGTGCCATTGTATTCCTGCCTGAGCAACATAGCAAGACCCTGTCTCTAAGAAAAAGAAAAAAGAATTAAACATTCCAATGAAAATACAGAGATTATCAGTATGTATAAAAATATAATTATATCCTGCCTCAAAATGGCACACTTTAAACTTAAAGATACAAAGAGACTGTTTATCAGGAGGACATAAGAATGATATATGTGTACATGCCTATAATAGAGCCTCAAAGTGCATGAGACAAAAATTGACAGAGAGAAATAAACAACCCTAAAATTGTTGTAGGAGATTTTAACACCTATGCTTTAGCAATTGACACAACAACTAAACAAAAAGGTCAGTAAAGATATACATGACATGAACAACTTTAGCAACTACTGTGACTTAATATTTATAAAATACCACACCAGGCAATTGCAGAATACACATCATTATTGTCAAGTACACATGGTGCATTTACTAAGGTGGGCTATATTCTGGGTCATAAAACAAGTTTCAATAAATATAAAGTGATTGAAACTATGCAGAGGATGTTCTCTGACCACAGTGGAATTAAATTAGAAATAAATATCAATAATATACATCAGAAACTCCAAATATTTCCAGATTTAAAAATACACTTCTAAATAAATCATGAGTCAAATAATAAATTATAAGAGGCATTAGATAATATTTTGAGATGAATGATAATGAATATGTAACAAATATTTGTTGGATTAAGATGATACAGTAGTTAGAACGAAAATCAAAGTTGTAAATGTTTTTTGGAAAGGAAAAAGGCCTTAAATCAATGATTAAGAAGCTAGAAAAAGAGCAAAGTATAACTGAGGTAAGTGAGTAGAAGAAAGAAAAAATAAAGAGGAAAAAACAATGAAATAGAAGAAAAACGTAATAAATAAATTAAAGATCAACTAAAGATCAAAATCAACAAACATCCAGATAGATCAAGAAAATAAAAGAGAGAGAAAACAAACAATATCAGAAATAGCAAAGAGCACATCAGTACATATCATTAAGTCATTAAAAGTTAATAAGTATGTATTGTGAACGATTTTATGTTAGAATATTTGACAATTTAGATGAACAAATTCCTTGAAAAATATAACCTACAAAAATGGACAGAAGCTAAAACAGAAAATATGAATAACATTATATGTAGTAAATTTAATTTGTTACTAAACATCTAAGAAATCCCAGGTCCAGATGGCTTCACTGAAGTATATCAGACATTTAAGGGAAAAAAATACCAGCGAAGTGACATATAGATTTAATGCGATAACAATAAAAACCTCAGCAGATTTTTTTCTATAAACATTGACAAGTTGATAGTATAATTTATATGGAAACACAAATAACCTAGAAAATGCAAATCAATTTTTTAAAATATAAACAATATTAGAGAAATTACAGGGCTTAAGTTAGCCTTATTATAGTTACAGTAATCAAGAGAGCTAGACATTGGTGAAAGCATAGACATATAGGTCACTGAAACATAATAGACTCAGACATGTTCAGTTCATTTTCTACAAAGATTCAACGGCAATTCAATGGAGTAAAATGTGTTTTCATCAAATAGTGCTAGAACAACTGGATATTCACATGGAAAAAAAAATGAACATTGACTTTTGCCTCACAGTGTACACAAAATTTAACTCAAAATCAACCAGGGAGCTAAATGTAAAATATAAAGCTGTACCCATTTACTATTCCCTCTTTATCCCTCCTCCCCACTAACCTTACCAGTCTCTGGTAACCATCATTCTACTCTCTATCTCCACGAGTTCATTTTTTAAGCTCCCAATATGAGTAAGAATATGTAATAGTTATCTTTCTGAGCCTGGCTTATTTCACTTAACAAAAAGGGTACAAAAATACACTTACTATTTGGGAAGTTGATGTGGGAAGATTGCTTGAGCCCAGGAGTTTGAGGCTAGCCTGGGCAACACAGTAAGACCCCATCTTAAAAAACATATAGTTAGATGGAAATAAAAAAATCTAGAGTACAGTATCACAATAGGGCAACTATAGTTAACAATAATTTATTGAATATTACTAAATAACTAAAAGAGTGAAACTGGAATGTTCCTAAGATGAAGAAATAATAAATGGTTGAGGCGATGGATATCCCAGTTACTGTGATTTGATTATTGCAGTTGTATGCTTGTATAAAAATACCACATGTACCCTATAAATGTGTACAACTAATATCCATAATAGTTAATCCTTTTTCCATTTAGAAAAAAAAGTGCAGCTCACTGCCAGCACTCTTTTAATTTTACACAAACACCCTCTTTGAGGCTGGAGCAAATATGACTGATTTTCAATGTGAAAATAAAATATAAAAACTGTTCTTGGAATTATTTCTAAACAGAACTAACATCAGAACCTTCTGAATCATCAGAATCATCTATTTCAGAAAAATCGAATTCATCAAATGAATCTTTGGCCAACAATTGTTTGAAAATAATGTTAACATCACGTGTAGGAATGCTGTGTATTCCAGAATTTGAAATTTTCAGCAATCAAGAATTACTGGATTTTGTAAATGTAAATACCACCACTAAAAACAGAATGCTATAAATAGAATAATGCCTTTTGTTTCCAAAGTTGATATAATTGAGCAATGCAAAAATAATAATAAAAGTGAAATATTTTGCGGCAAAGTTATCTCAGGGTAAATGCTGCAGCTGCAAGTGCCACTGATGAGTATTCTTGGGGCAAACAAGCACAGGGTTAAACACGAAAAATTAAATAGATAAAACCGTAACAATTCTAGGAGAAAACATAGGAAAAATATTTTCAAATTTGTAGGAAGGCAATACTCCTTAGATAGGACACAAATCATATACGATAAAATAAAAATGTTACAAAAATTTAACTTAATCAAAATTAAAATCTTTTGCTCTTTGAAAAAAGTTGGTAAGAAAATGAAAAAGCAAGCTAGAATGAAAAAAATTCATCACACATATATTGATAAAGGTATATCCAGAATTGATATAAGTTCATCCAGAATAGAAAAAGAACTTTTTCAGGTCCAATTGATTCAGTGCTGAGTTCAGGTAAATGTCTTTGTTAATTTTCTGCTTTGATGATCTGTCTAATACTATCAGCGGGGTATTGAAGTCTCCCACTATTATTGTGTGGGAGTCTAAGTCTTTTTGAAGGTCTCTAAGAACCTGCTTTATGAATCTGGGTGCTCCTGTATTGGGTGAATATATATTTAGGAGAGTTAGGTCTTCTTGTCGAATTGAACCCTTTACCATTATGGAATGCCCTTCTTTGTCTTTTCAAAACTTTGTTGGTTTAAATCTGTTTTGTCTGAAATTAGGATTGAAACCCCTGCTTTTTGCTGTTTTCCATTTGCTTGGTAGATTTTTCTCCATCCCTATATTTTGAACCTATGGGTGTCACTGCATGTGAGACGAGTCTCTCAAAGACAGCATACCAATGGGTCTTGGTTCTCTATCCAGATTGCCACTCTATGCCTTTTAATTGGGGCATTTAGCCTGTTTATATTCATGGTTGTTACTGATATGTGTAATTAACGTGACAGACATCAACTCTCTACCCAAAAGCAATAGAATGTACATTCTTTTCATCGCCACATGGCAATGCTCTAAAATTGACCACATAATTGGACACAAAACACTCCTAAGCAAATGCAAAAGAAGTGAAATCATAACAACCACTCTCTTGGACCACAGCACAATCAAATTAGAAATCAAGACTAAGAAATTTGCTCAAAACCATACAGTTACATGGAAATTAAATAACCTGTTTCTGAACAACTTTTGGGTAAATAATGAAATTAAGGCAGAAATCAAGAAGCTCTTTGAAACTGATGAGAACAAAGACACAACATACCAGAATCTCTGGAACACAGCTAAGGCAGTGTTAAAAGGAAAATTTATAGCACTAAATGCCCACATCAAAAAGTTATAAAGATCTCAATTTAACAAACTAACATCACAACGAAATGAACTAGAGAACCAAGAGCAAACCAACCCCAAGGCTAGCAGAAAATAAGAAATAACCAAAATCAGAGCTGAACTGAAGAAGATTGAGACATGAGAAACCATTCAAAAGATAAATGAATCCAGGAGTTGTTTTTTTTTTAAATCAATAAAATAGATAGACTGTCAGCTAGACTAAGAAAGAAAAAAAGGAGAGAAGATCTAAATAAACACAATTAAAAATGACAAAGGGGATATTACCACTGACCCCACAGAAATACAAAGAATCGCTGGGATATTATGAACACCTCTATACACATAAACTAGAAAATCTGGAAGAAATTGATAAATTCCTGGACACATACACACTCCTAAGACCAATAACAGGCTCTGAAATTGAATCAGTAATAAATAGCCTACCAACCAGTAAAAGCCCAGGACCAGTTGGATTCATAGCCAAATTCTATCACATGTACAAAGAAAATCTGGGACCATTTATATTGAAACTATTCCCAAAAAATGAGGAGGAGGAACCCCTCCCTAAGAGGCATAACAACAACAACAATAAATGGTGCTGGGATAACTGGCTAGCTATATGCAGAAGATCGAAACTGGACCCCTTCCTTACACCATATACAAAAATTAACTCAGGATGGATTAAATACTTAAATGTAAAATCCCAAACTATGAAAACCCTGGAAGAAAACCTAGGCAGTACCATTCAGAACATAGGCATGGGCAAAGATTTCATGATGAAAACACCAAAAGCAAATGCAACAAAAGCAAAAATTGTCATACGGGATCTAATTATTCTAAAGAGCTTCTGCACAGCAAAAGAAACTATCAACAAACAGACAACCTACAAAATGGGAGAAAATTTATGCAAATTATGCATCTGACAAAGGTTTAATATCCAGCATCTATAAGAAACTTAAACAAATTTACAAGAAAAAGCTGAGCAACTCTATTAAAAAGTGGGCAAAGGATATGAACAGACACTGCATGTTCTCACTTATAAGTGGTAGCTGAACAACGAGAACACATGGACACAGAGAAGGAAACAACACACACTGGGGCCTGTCGGAGGAGGGCAGTGGTGGGGAGAGCATTAGGGAAAAGAGCTAGGTGATGGGTTGATAAATGTAGCAAACCACCATGGCACATGTTTACCTATGTAACAAACCTGCACATCCTGCCCATGTACCCCAGAACTTAAAAAAAAAAACAATTTAAAAAAAGACATACATGCGTCTGACAATCATATGGAAAAAAGCTCAACATCACTGATCATTAGAGAAATGCACATCAAAACCGCAATGAAATACCATGTCAGATCCGTCACAATGGCTATTATTAAAAAGTCAAAAAAATAACAGATGCTGGAAAGGTTTTGAAGAAAAAAATGCTTTTACACTGTTGGTGGGAGTGTAAATCAGTTCAAGAATTGTGGAAGACAGTGTGGCAATTCCTCAAGGAGCTAAAGACAGAAACACTATCTGACCCAGTAATTCCATTACCGGGTATATACCCAAAGGAATATAAATCATTCTATTATAAAGACATATGCATGCATATGTTCATTGCAGCACTATTCCCAATAGCAAAGACATGGAATAAACCTAAATGCCCATCAATGAGGGACTGGATAAAGAAAATGTGGTCCATATACACCATGGAATACTATGCAGCTATAAAAAGGAACGAGATCATGTCCTCTTCGGGGACACGAATGGAGTGGGAAGCCATTATCCTCAGCAAACTAACTCAGGAACAGAAAAGCAGATACTGCATGTTCTCACTTATAAGTGGGAGCTGAACGATGAGAATACATGGACACAGGGAGGAGAACAACACACAATGGGGCGGGGGAGGGGTGGGGGGAGGGAGAGCATCAGGAAGAATAGCTAATGGATGCTATGCTTAATACCTCGGTGATGGGATGATCTGTGCAGCAAACCACCATGGCACACATTTACCAGGCTTTAAGCCCTGCATGCATTAGGTATTTGTCCTAATGCTCTCCCTCTGTATCCATTCACTTTCCATGCTTTGGATAAAGCTCTCTATTTCTAATTCCAAGAATTTACATGCCACACAGGTCTGGCCAATCACTCTTGTAAGCCACAATATGTGGTTAAGATATGAGCATGTTACTCAAGTACACTATTCTGATCTGATCAGAGATAATGCCAGTAATCTCGTTCAAGTAATAGACAAACAGATGTTTTCTATTCTGCTGGACTTAAAGTCATGAAATTGTAAACCAGGAGTTACTGGCAACTACCCTGCTACAATGAGGGAAGAATCTGTAAGAAATGGATATAATGCTGAGGAAAGCATAACTGAGAAATGGATAGAGCTCATGCCTTGACATTATTTGAGTTCCTGGATTCAGTCATGTTATCTAAAACTAGATCTATCCCTGGGCTATTCTGTTACATGAGCCAATACATTTCCCTTTTGATAAAGTCAATTTGGATTAAGTTCCTGACCAGTTGTAAATATGAGTTCTAATTGAAATATTAGTCTTGTGAGTATAGACAACTGTTTTTTGTCAAATGGAGTTATCCTGGTCTATACTGAGAAAGGAAAGCAAGCATGTCAGTCAGGCTCAAAGCCTAAGCCAAGTTGGGCTTGGCACATTGCCTGATCAATTTATAAATGATGTTTTGTTGCAAACTCCCTGTTCTGGGTAATGTGCAAGTTGAAAATTCTAAAGGACTTATGTGGAAAACCTTTCAGTTCTTGCACAGGTGGAATAATAATGTATACCTTCCTTTCTCTCCCACTGAACTGAACTTCAAAATGTGGACAGAATGCATGAACAGCTATTTGAGAATGCTAAAAAGTAAATAGCAGATATATTATGAAAAAACATCACAATTCAAAGTACCAACAAACCAGCATCATGTTTTTTTGTTCTGGCAGCCCCTGGCCTCAACTCAAATCTCAGAAGCCTGGCTCAAGGAGCAGGAAAGGTAATATCTAAAATTCAGGGGTGGAAGAATATCCCGTTTCTTCTTTCCTTTTTCTTCATTCTCATGTTCCCAGCCTCCAGATAATATTGTGGCAGCAATATAGCCTGGCAATGAAAGTATGCAGGAGCCAAAACTCTGAGAGAAGGGAACATTCTTCTCTATTGGATGCAGATATAGCTCCAAGAGGGCAGGGCCAAATCCCATTGCTTTTAACCCTTTCTTTGTCCTTCTGCTGGACATAGTATAATTATGGAAGGGGCAGTTTTGGGCTGGAAGACTGAAAATATGTTACTTAGGAACAGAAAAATACTGGGAGATAACAGAGAGAGGAACTTGGAGAAGTGACTCCATAAAGCTGTTGAACTCATGATGTTACCCTGACTCATTTATTCATGGATTTGATACTAACTATTATACTAAAGACTTTGAAAACTGAGCTAACAAGTAGATCTTCACCTACGCCTCAGACTGACCACTGGGTGGCATAGACCCAAATAGCACTGCAAAAACTTTGAAAACTAAACTTACAAAGAAGACTAAAAAATATCAATATTTTCCTAGGATTTAAATCAGATTGAATGCCTTAAAATGTAATATTCAAAATGTTCAGGATATAAACCAAAAACCAGCTGGCGTACAAAGAAGCATGAAAATCTCGGCTTGCATGGGAAAGGACAATAGATGCCAACAATAATTATCTGACAAAAACTTTAAAGAAAGTATTATGAAAATTATCTAGTGGGCAATTGTGAACACTTTTGAAACAAATATTAAAAAAGAAGGTATCAGCAAAGAAATAAAAAATATAAAGGAGAACACAATAGAAATTTTAGAACTGAAATAATCAGTTAAATAAAAATGGAATATGGTCGGGTGCAGTGGTGCACGCCTATAATCCCAGCACTTTGGGAGGCCAAGGCAGGCGGGTCATGAGGTCATGAGATAAAGACCATCCTGGCCAACATGGTTTCTACCAAACCCCCGTCTCTACTAAAGAATACAAAAATTAGCTGGGCATGGTGGCACACACCTGTAGTCCCAGCTACTCGGGAGGCTAACACAGGAGAATCGCTTGAACCCAGGAGGTGGAGGTTGCAGTCAGCTGAGATCGCGCCACTGCACTCCATCCTGGCGACGGAGCAAGACTCCATCTCAAAAAACAAAAAAAGGAATACTATGCAGCTATAAAAAAGAACAAGATCATGTCCTTTGTAGGGACATGGATGGAGCTGGAGGTCATTACCTTAGCAAACTAACATAGGAAAAGAAAACCAAATACCACATATTCTCACTTATAAGTGGGAACTAAATGATGAGAACTCATAGACACATGGAGAGGAGTAACACACACTGGGGCCTGTTGGAGGGTGGAGGGTGGAAGAGGGAGAGGATCAGGAAAAATAACTCATGGGTACTAGGCTTAATACCTGGGTGAGGAAATAATATGTACAACAAACCCTTATGACACAAGTTTACCTATGTAGCAAACCTGTACTTGTATCCCTGAACTGAAAATAAAAGCTAAAAAAAAAAAAAAGAAATCCCTACAGACAAACAAATATTACTACATGGACTTACTGGAAAAATAGAGATTATAGAGAAAAGAGTCAGTGAACTTGAAGATAGAGCAATAGAAATTATCCAATCTGAACACAGAAAAAAAGATTGAAAAAATGAACCTCAGAGACCTGTGGAACAATAACAAAAATTCTATAATTCACAAAATTGGTGTCCAAGAAGGAGATAAGAAAGTGCTGAGTTGAAAAAATATTTGAAGAAATAATGGTTGAAAACTTTTCAAGTTTGACAAAGACAAATCTATAGATTTACAATGATGAGCCAATCTCATTCAGGATAAACCCAAAGAAATCCATGACCAGATACATCATAATCAAATTGCTGAAAGATAATGAAAAAGAAACAAGTCTTGAAATCAGCCGTAGAAAAACAATGTATTCTATAGGGAAAATGGATTTCTCATTCAAAAGCACGGGGCCCAGAAGTAAGTAAACAACATTTTTCAAGTACCAAAATGAAAGGTTGTCAACCTAGAATCCTAAATCCAATGAAAATATCCTCAATAATGGTGAAATAAATACATTTTAGGATTCAGAAAAAGAGAATTCAAAACCAGCAAACCTGCTTTCAGAGAATTGCTAAAAAAAAAGTTTTCTGACAGAGAGGAAATGATGCCAAAAGAAAATCTGGATCATCAAGAATGAAGGAAAAGCAATAGAAATAGTAAATATCTGGGTAAAAATAATAGACTTTTCTCCTCTTGAGTTCCTTACAACACGTTTGATGATTGAAAGCAAAAACAAACAAACAAAAACAAGAAAATGTCTGATAGGATGTTCAATGTATATAGATATAATATGTAAGGCAACTATAGCACAAAGATGTGGAAGGTAAAGGAATCTATATGGTGGTAAGGTTTCTACATTCCAATTGAATTAGTAAAATACTGATTCTAAATAGATTTATTGATTCTAAATGAATTGTGAAAAGCATACATTTGGAAAACCCTAAAGCAATGTCCCCCCTTTCCTTCTGTTCTGACGGAGAAGGGTTCCTACTCCTTTTTAAGACCAGTCCCTTCACCTGCTGCAAGCTGGATCCCAAGCTCCTTGGCCTTCTCTGATTTCTTATAATAGTGATCATTCTCTCTAGCTCACTCTTTCTCCTGTATTTTCAACATCTCCAATATTCAGGAAGCAAAAAGGAAAACAGTCTCCTTCAAAACTACATCCCCTCCTCTCTCCCTTAACCTTCCTCTTCCCTGTCAACCCCCTCAAACACTCCATCATCTCACTTCTCACTCTCTCTCAGTCTACTCCAGTCTGGCCTGGCTTCCATGACCCCACCAAATCAGCTTGTTGTCAAGGCCACCAATGACCTTCATGGTGTCACCACCCCTGGCCACCTGTCGGCCCCCATCTTCCTTGACCTCTCAGTGGGCTGCCCATGTCCTCCTGATGAAAACAGTTCTTTGCTGGCTTCCAGGACAGCACACTCCTGACTCGAACTCTCCAGACACTCTTCATTCTCCTTAGTTAGATCATTTTCCTCTACTCTTCCCTTAAAAGCTAGACTTTCCCAGGCTTCTGTCCCAGGCTGTCCTCTCATCTCCTTCTGTATATTCTTCCTGAATCATCTCATCCATTTGTATGATCAAAATTATTATTACTGTCTATATGCCAATGGCTCCTAAATTTACATCTCTGGCCTAGTCATCTTTCCTTAGCCAGATCTATATATCCAACTGCCACTTTAATACAAGCATATCTCAGAGATATTGTGGGTTCATGTTCATACCACCACAGTAAAGCAAATATCACAATAAAAATAGCCACATGAATTTCTTGGTTTCCCAGTACATGTAAAGGTTATGTTTACACCAAACTGCAGTATATTCATTGTAAAATTACGTCTAAAAAGTAATGTACATACCTTAATAAAAGATACTTTATTGCTAAAAAATGCTAACAATCATCCCAGCCTACAGTAAGTCCTAATCTTTTTGCTGGTAGAAGGTCTTGCCTCAATGTTGGTGTCTGCTGACTGATCAGGGTGGTGGTTGCTGAAGGTTGGAGTGGCTGTGGAAATTCCTTAAAATAAGACAACAATGACATTTGCCCACTCGACCGACTCTTCCTTTCACAAATATTTCTCTGTAGCATGCAATGCTGTTTGATAGCATTTTACCCACAGCAGAACTTCTTTCAAAATTGGAGTCAATCCTTTCAAACCAGACCACTGCTTTATCAACTGGAATATTCTAAATCCTTTGTTGTCATTTCAACAATGTTCATAGCATCCTTACCAGGAGTAGATTCCATCTCAAGAAACCACTTTCTATTTTCATTCATTAGAAGCAACTCCTCGTCATGTTAAAGTTTTATCATGATATTGCAGCAGCTTAGTCACATCTTCAGGCTCCACTTCTAATCTTTCTGTTTTTACCACATCTGCAGTTACTTCCTCCACTGAAGTCTTGAACCCCTCAAAGTCATCATGAGGATTGGAATCAACTTCTTCCAAACTCCTGCTAATGTTAATATTTTGACTTCAACTCATGAATCGTGAATATTCTTTATGCCATCTAGAATGTTGAATATTTCCAAAAGGTTTTCAATGTACTTCTCCCAGATACTTCAGTGGAATCACTATGTATAGCAGCGGTAGCATTAAAAAATGTATTTTTTAGTCTGAGTGACATAGTAAGGCCCTATCTTTACAAAAAATTTTAAAAATTAGCCAGGTGCGATGGCACACATCTGTAGTCCCAGATACTCAGGAGGCTGAGGCAGGAGGATCACTTGAGCCCAGCAGGCTGAGGCTGCAGTGAGCCATGATTATGCCATTGCATACCAGCCTGGATGACAGAGTGAGACTCTGCCTCAAAAAATGTTTTTAAAAAAATAACAAGGCTTGAAAGTCTTTGTACCATAGGAGGATCCACACAAAAAACTTGAAAGTCAAAATTACTCCTTGATCCATGAGCCACAGAATGGTTGTTGTGCTAGCAGGCATGAAAACAACATTAATATTCTTGTACATTTCCATCAGAGCTCTTGACCTAGCAGGTGCATTATCAATGGGCAGTAATATTTTGAAAGAAACTTCTTTTTCTTAGCAGTAGGTATCCACAATGGGCTTTAAATATTCAGTAAACTATGCTGTAAACAGGTGTGCTGCCTTCCAGGCTTTGTTGTTCCATTCACAGAGCAAAAGTAGAGTAGACGTAGCATAATTCTTCAGGGCCCAAGGATTTTCAGAATGATAAATGACCATTGGCTTCAACTTAAAATCACCAGCTGCATTAGCCCCTAAAAAGAGAGTCAGCCTGTCCTTAGAAGCTTTGAAATCAGGTGTTGACTTCTCTCTAGCTATGAAAGTTCTAGATGGCATATTCTTCCAATAGAAGACTGTTTCATCAACATTGAAAATCTATTGCTTAGTGTAACCACTTTTATCAGTTTTCTGAGCTAGATCTTCTGGATAACTCACTGCAGCTTCCCCATCAGCACTTGCTGCATCACCTTGCATTTTTGTTATGGAGATGGCTTCTTTCCTTGTAACTCATGAACCAACCTCTGCTAGGTTCAGACTTTTCTTCTGCAGCTTTCTTGCCTCTCTCGGCCTTCATTGAATTGAACAGAGTTAAGCTCTTGCTCTGGATTAGGCTTCAGCTTAAGGGAATTCTGTGGTTGGTTTGATCTTCTATCCAGAGCACACAAACTTTCTCCAGATGAGTAATATAAGGTTACCTCACTTTCTAATCATTCATGTATTCAGGAAAGTGGCACTTTTAATTTTTTCAAGAGCTTTTCTTTGCATTTACAACTTGGCCAGTGGTTTAGTGCAAGAGGTCTAGCTTTCTCCCTAACTCAGCTTTTGAAATGCCTTCCTCCCTAAGCTTAATCACTTCAAGCTTTTGATTTAAAGTGAAAGATGTGCGACTCTTTCTATCACTTGTATTAGTCCATTTTCATGCTGCTGATAAAGGCATACCTGAGACTGGGCAATTTACAAAAGAAAGAGGTTTAATTGGACTTACAGTTCCACGTGGTTGGGGAAGCCTCACAATTATGGTGGAAGGCAAGAAGGAGCAAGTCCTGTCTTATGTGGATGGCAGCAGGGCAAAGAGAGAATGAGGAAGATGCAAAAGCAGAAACCCCTGATAAAACCATCAGATCTCGTGAGACTTATTTACTCCCATGAGAACAGTATGGGGGAAACCGCCCCCATGACTCAATTATCTCCCCTCAGGTCCCTCCCACAACATGTAGAAATTATGGGAGTACAATTGAAGATGAAATTTGGGTGGGGACACAGCCAAACCAGATCACACTTGAACACTTAGAGGCCACTGTATGATTATTAATTTAAATATTGTTGTGTCTCAGAATAGAGAGGCCCAAGGACAGAGAGAAAGACAAGGGAATGGCTGTTCAGTGGAACAGTCAGAACACATACAACATTTATCAATCAACTTTGCTATCTTACAGAGGCACAGTTAGTGGCATCCCCAAATAATTACAATAGTAACATCAAAGATCACCGATCACAATCACCATAACAGATATAATAATAATGGAAAGGTTGAAATATTGTGACAATTACCAAATTCCCAAAATGTGACATACAGACATGAAGTGAGCACATGCTGTTGGAAAAAATGGTGCCAATAGACTTGCTTGACATAGGATTTCCACAAACCTTCAATTTGTAAAAAATGCAGTATCTATGAAGCACAATAGAGCAAAGCACAATAAAATTAAGTATGCCTGTATCTCTATTTGAATATTTCACATTTATCCGAAACTCAGTGTTCAAATTGAACTGATCATCTCTTTCCTGCCAAAAAATAAATAAGTAAATTCCACTATTCTAGTATTTTGTATCTCAGCAAACAATCCTGCCATCCATCCCATCAGCCAAGTCAAAATGACTGTGGGGGAATATCCCACATTCAATCTAGAACTAAGCCATGTGTATTTTACCTCCTAAAAGTCTCTCAAATTAGATGACTTATTCCCCATGCCCATAATTTCCCATTTCTACCTTAAGTCGTCACCATTCTCTCATGGTGATTTTAGTAACCTTAAGACTGGTTCCCCTGTTACCTTTCTTGGCCTCCTATATACTAGTCTCCATACTAGGGCCAGAGTAGTAGTAGTATCTCTATAAAATACCAATTTGACTTCTTCTCTTCTCTTCTCTCTCTCTCTCTCTCTCTCCCTCAAACACACACACACACACACACACACACACACACACACACACACACACCAGCATTGCTTAAAATCTTATCTTTCAGTGGCTCCTCATTGCTATTAATATAAAGTCCCATGTTTAAAATCTTGAACCCTGCAAGAACTGTCCCATATCTCCCATTGTGGTTTCACTTTTTGATACACTCTCTTGGTTTCTACTTTCTAGCCGCACTTTCTAGCTCTTAATTATTCTACAATAGCAGACACTCATGACTTTGGTCCTCTTCATATACTGTTTCCATTGCCTTGAATGTCTTCCTGCTCCCTCTCTTCGCCTACCGTCTGCTTACCCCACTTTTACTCATACTTTTGCTTTCAGTGTAAACATCTCATTCATAGGAAAACCTTTGCCGATCATTCAACTCAGATAAGATCAGGTTTATATGTTCTCATAGCTCTCTGTATTTTTCATTTATAAAGGCTAATACAGACTGCTAGTATGTAATTATTTAATGACTATCTCCCCTCACTATATTTGAAAGTTCCATGAGGACAAAAACCATATCTATTGTTTACTCATTGCTATGGTTTGAATGCATGTGTCCCTCCAAAATTCATATGCTGGAACTTAAACCCCAATGTGATAGTATTAAGAGGTGAGACCTTTAGGAGGTGATTAAGTCATGAGGGCAGAGCCCTCATGAATGGGATTATTGACATTACAAAAGGGCTGGAAGGAACTAGCTACTCCCACCCCCACCCTTTTTGGCCTTCCTTCTGCCATATGAGAAGGCAGCAAGAGGCACCATCTTTGAAGCAGAGAGCAGGCTTCATCACACACCAAATCTACTGGTGTCTTGATCTTGGACTTCCCAACAACCTGTGAGCAATACATTTCTGTTACTTATAAGTTACCTAGCCTCAGATATTTTGTTATAGCATCATGAATAGATTGACAGTCTTATTCTTTTTTTAAAATTTGTATTCATGGTTTTTATTTTTAATTTTTATTTATTTACTTATTTATTATACTTTAAGTTCTAAGGTACATGTGCAGAACACGCAGGTTTGATACATAGGCATACACATGCCATGGTGGTTTGCTGCACCCATCAACTCATCATTTACATTAGCTATTTCTCCTAATGCTATCCTTCCCCCAGCCCCCCACGCCCCTACAGGCCCTGGTGTGTGATGTTCCCCGCTCTGTGTCCAAGTGATCTCATTGTTCAATTCCCATCTATGAGTGAGAACATGCGGTGTTATTCTTAAGACATGAAGGTGCCTGGTACAGAGTAGGAGCTCAAAAATATTTGTTGAATGAATCTGTCCTCTCAAGACTGATCAGAGTGTAAAAGAACTCATTATACTCTAATTTTCATTGAAAAAACATACAAGTTTTCAAAATCAAACGTTGCTGAGAAAATAAAATGCACAGTCATAAGTGAGATGATAGATTACAGGTTTGTCATTCACATTTATATAAAATCTAGTCCAGATTGACTTAACTTGCACAGTTTGCAAGGCATCACAGTTTTCTGTTTCTTTCCCTCACTTCAACCAAGTATTTAAAAATGCCATACAAAGCCACTCTTTTCAGTTCTTTAACAATATGGTTATTCCTCCCCTCTTCTTTTGGGTCTCTTTTTTACTCCAAGGGAAAGGGCTGATTTGGGAGCTCTGGCGAAGAAACACAGACTGTTAACTCGCTAAGTATTTGCTAAGGGGTTTCTCCAGCCAGAAAAGAAAGGACATTCGAATTAGATACTTTATATATTAACATAACAGAATCACAAGTAGATAGGCCAGTGTCTTACTCAGCATGGTTTTTACTGTCCCTTCTGAAGGGTACTGGAGTCATTCTACTGCAATCGTTAAAGACTTTTTTCCATCTTGATAATATTATAGGAACTTCTTCCTAACTATTTTTGGAGGTAGAACGTTTTCTCACAAATTCAGAGCACAGATAATTAAGGTAAGGAGAGAAGAATTTCTATTACATGAGGAGAAATCCCTTTTGACAACAAGCCCATTCAGTCTAGAAATACTACTCCATTAGGGTCTGTAGGGTTCCCTACATTTCAGTCCAGGCCATCTCATTCAATAAGACAGTACTGAGATACCCCCAGAAATAGCTATGTCTTTTTCAAACCTGCACAAGCTTGTGTGGAAGGGGCCAGTAAAGCTAAACACAGGTATTAGGTTTTTCCATAAGACCACATCTGGTGTGTTGCCTTCCTTGTGGAAGTTTTCCAAGGTTACTAGGGTGTCTAGTACCAAATTGTCACACAGTAGGCATTTCAGTCTGTCAATGGGGGTAGTGAAAGACTATTTCATCAAAGTGTTGGCCAGGAAAATAGATAATCTTTCTGCTCTGATAAACATTTATTGGAATGACTCCCCAGATACACAATGGAGCATGACTGAAGTCCACAGACATTGCATGTTCCTTCTAGGTTTGTAGGACTTCTACTTTCTGGTTATAAGAGTTTTAAGGATGGCACAATATAATTCACTCTGTCTTTGCCTGAGTTTGGGACCAATTGAAAGATAGAAAAGTGATACACATGGAGGTCAAAACATTAGCTTTGTTACTGATAAAGCTGATATTGGAGAATGTGGCTTCCCTAATATTGCACCACAGGTAATGCTATATAACCATAGGTATCCTCATGGGAAAGTCTCTCCCTGTAAAACTTAAAGCATAAAGGAGCAGACAAGAATGCACACTTCCAATGAGCAACTGGCTCCAAAGAAAATGGAGAGGAAGGAGAGTGAATTACACTTGCTCATTTCATGCTCCTAAATTCACCAACTGGGTTAAGTCATCAGAATTAGTAGGTGAGAAAACAGACAGATGCCAGGAGAGTGTAAGGAAAATGTTTCCTGGTGGAACCCAGAGGAGAGTGGAAAAATTGATTCCCATCTCCCAGAACATCAGTTTTCACATGCAACATCTAACATTCTATAAGTCTATGTCTCCAAGTAATGAGACTATTCCAAAGTTTGCATCAGTATCTTTTTACTGATAAGTATATATCTTTAAATTGATGTTACTGATAACTTTATTTATGGTTCATTTGCAAATGACTCTTTTTGATTTGTTGGTGTTTCTCACTGTGAACATTCTGTGAGAAATGCAAATATACAATTATATGATTTAATTAATATCTTCAATAGCCGATCCGAACTGACTGAAAGAATACATCTGGAAATGGAAAGGATGAAAGAAAAACACAGGAATAACACAAAAGAGGCCCAAGATGTCTGTAGGGAAAATGGATAACATAAAAGCATGAATTCTATGGTTTGAATGTATCCCCTCAAAAATTCAGGTGCTGCCAATGTGATAGTATTACGAGGCCTTTGAGAAGTGATTAGGCCATGAGGGCTCCTCCCTCAAAAATGGAATTAGGTGTCCCTATAAAGGGGCTTCACAGAGGGAGCTGGTTCCCTCTTCCCCACCACCTTCCGCCATGTGAGGACACAAAAAGAAGGCCCTCACAAAATGCCAGTGTTGTGATCTTGAACTTCCCAACCTCCAGAATTGTGAGGAAATACATTTCTGTTTTTTAATAAATTACCTAGTCTCAGCAATTTTGTTATAGCAGCACAAAACAGCCTAACATAGTGAGCATCTATGATTATAGAAATTTAATATTCTAATAGATGCTTAGAATCACAAAGCCTATAGAAGAGCTTAGGCATCACTTGACCCACTTCATTTGCCACTAAGGTCCAGAGAGGGGAAGGGACTTGCCAAAAATCATAACAGCAAATATGAGCACAGGGAGGGAAGTGAGATTAAAATCTAGGTCTTCTGATTTCCATTACAAAAGATAACACCAATATTTATCCTTAGATCATAATTACTCAGCTACCATGTTGCCACCATCTTCTTTGTCAAAGAATGTTATTCACACTGGATATATTAGAACATTTAAAAGGGAGATTATAACCCAAGATAGATGAAAAAAATAGAAGAAAGTATATAGTTTACTCAGTAAGTTCAAGTCTTATGACCAGATGAATCATATTCATATTGAGAAAAATTATGAATTAGATCCTTCTTGGTGATCTTTGAAGACTCATGGAGAATGAGAGAGGCACTCTAAAATAGAGCCTAGAAAATGTATTTCTTCATTTCAAAAAAAAATAAGAGAAATTTTCAGAGCTTAAAAAATATGACTTCGATGTAAAACTCAGTCAAGGCTTTAGAACTGATTACCAAAAAAGAACTAATGATGAGCAGAAAAAGAAGTGGTGATTACCAGGAATGAACATGTATGACCAACAGCTAGTTTTGATGAAATAATCTAATTACCTACTGAAAACTCCATGCTTATTTTTGATACGACAAAGGATCCAAATTAAGTTACTGTAAATAACAAATCTTGGTATGTGGTACATCTAGAAATATCTGTTATACTAAGACAAGCAGCTTTCTTTTCTCCTAAGCATAATATTTTGCATTTTATGCACTCTTGGCACAATGTTACACTAAGTTCAATTAACAAAAAACAATATATAACAACATTGTCAATAGCTGGCATAGGCAGCTGGCCAGCTATACCTTTCCCACACTGGCTAATTTATAGTCATTTGGATGTCCTTT